>NC_000002.12:195368405-195671436 GCF_000001405.40 Homo sapiens
GAAGGAAGGAAGGGAGGGAGGGAGGGAGGGAGGACCAGGCTCTCAGAGGGTTGGCTAGATGCACACAAGTTGCCCACAGCCAACTCAGCTGAAGATAATAATTTATTCTAATTTGCTAAGCTGGACTTTGAAAATGCAATGTGAGTGAGTAACCATCCTCTAACATGTCTATCATTATGAAAGGAAAACTAACAGTTATGCCCGAGAAATCTATAATATCAACCACTGGTATCTGCATTCAATGCTGACCTACGTACACTATTGGCCCTACTTACACTCTTAAAAGAGAAAATTCAAAACAGATGTGCCTTGATAATTTATTCCTTTTCAATGAAATAGATTTCAGGAACTGAATTTCAACTACAGTGTTATTGGAAAGGAGGCCTAATCCAGACCCCAAGAGAGAGTTCTTGGATCTCATGCAAGAAAGAATTCACGGTGAGTTCACAGAGCAAAGTGAAAGCAAGTTTATTAAGAAAGTAAATAGAAGGGTGGCTACTCCATAGACAGAGCAGCCCCCAGGGCTGCTGGTTAGCTATTTTTATGGTTATTTCTTATCATCTGCTAAATATTGGGTGGATTATAAGTTTTCTTATCATATGCTAAATATGGGGTGGATTATAAGTTTTCTAGGAAAGGGGTAGGTATTTCCTGGAACTGAGGGTTCCTTCCCCTTTTTAGACCGTATAGGGTAACTTCCCGAGGTGGCTATGGCATTTGTAAACTGTCATGGCACTGGTGGGAGTGTCTTTTAGCATGCTAATGTATTATAATTACCATATAACAAGCAGCGAGGATGACCAGAGGTCACTTTCCACACCATCTTGGTTTTGGTGGGTTTTGGCTGGCTTCTTTACTGCATCCTGTTTTATCAGCAGGGTCTTTATGACCTGTATCTTGTGATACCAGTCCTGTTGACCTCCTAGCTCATCCTGTGATTGAGAATGCCTAACCTCCTGGGAACGCAGCCCATCAGGTCTCATCCTTATTTTACCCAGCCCCTATTCAAGATGGAGTCACTCTGGTTCATTTGAACTCTGACAACACCACTAAGAACCATTATAGGGATGCTTCAGTCTTCAAATTTTTCTGAGGTAGTTTTGGATGTAGTTAGAAATTAATCCTATGAGAGGGTAATAGAAAGCCAAGGCTCAAAGTTTTGAATCATCTATGGGCCAGTTGGCATCACTGTATGAACTGCATTCATAGTTTCTACCAGTTCCTGATTATAAAGGGAACCATTCATTGATTCACTCATTCATTAAATTAATATTTGAGGATCTAAGCATGTGAGAGAATAGATGGCTGAGCAAAAATCTAACACTTCTTGAAATTTTTAAATCAGAGGCATTTGATTTCATGAAAAATTAATTACATGCCTATTGTGCATTGAGACCTATGCTGTTAAGCTGATTGGCAAACCACTGATTTTAATGTAATTAGATAAAGCTTATGATAGATATATGCAAATGATGCTACTGAAAGGTAAAGTAAGAAGCAGGCAACTGCTCTATGAGGACACAGAAATATTTTTGTTGTTGTTATTGTCATTTATTTCTGTGTGTGTTTAATCTTGTGTTATTACATTCTAAGCACTGTACTAAGTATTTTTTGGGAATTCTGGTTTAATATTTACAGCATCCTAGGAAGTGAGCATTCATTTTCTCTACTTCAGCCTTACATGTGTGGAGGGAGAGGATGGGAGTGGGGAGAATGGCGGGACATTAAAGTTGGCCAGGTAAGAAGAGCCAGGCAATAAATGGTTTTATAGCGTAAGTAACTTGAAGGCAGGAACTACCAGAGAATTTTTATGCAGAATAGTAACATGGTCTCCTTTCATGTTACGAACAGCATTCAGCCTTTGCATTAGATTTGTGGGCATATGCCCTCAGCAGCTTTCTTGAAAGAAGTTCTGCTAGGTCATAAACATTAGACATTATAAAAGTGTTCTCCACAGCTGTTACAGAATAAGTTACATAAAGAATCAGAGGGAGCCCTGATTAAGATAACCTTGCCAAAGCAAGGTAGCGTGTGCAACCATCATATCAATAGCTCCAGAAGCACTGTTTGAAGGCATGGCTCATTCATTCCATGGCGTTGTTTTTCTCCTGTTGGTACTTTATAGGGATATGAAAATTAGTGATTATCTGTAAAATACATTATCAATTTATTCCTGATAAATGTGATAAAGTTGTTCATTTGCTGTACCCAGAGAATGAAACAGAGTTGTACCAAGGTTAAGCATTAAGTATTATAAAAGAAGAACACACACACAATCTTCTGTGAACACACACAACCTCCTGCCAACACACACAACCAGGAAGTTCTGCTTGATCTAATAAATGTGGATTCTGTGTTTTATATTGTTATAATCAGAATATACTAATATCAGCTTCCCTGGACACACTGAGTAATATGCCATGGCTATAGTGGAGTGGTTATCATTCTAGCTACAGACTAGAATCTCTGAGCAGCTTTTTAAGAATATTCACTTTTAGATCTCACCCCAGACTAATTCTTTCAGAATTTTTCTAGGCCAGTCCCAGTATTGGTATTTTTTTAAAGGTCTCCAGTTGATCTGTTACGTAACTGGGGCTGAGAACTGCAAACTCTTAGGGGATGCATAAGGCTGCATGAGTGGCTGAGTGTGGTGTGGCGAATTTCAGTTCTTTCCAGGGTAAAGACCTTCTTTAGGCCTTTGGGATTTTTAATGTAATCAAAACAAATTACTTGTTTGATTGTCTCAGCATACCTGTGAGGACATCTGTAAAGGCGAAGATCAAACTGATGAAGAAACTGTCAAGAAATGCTGTTGAATCTCAGGTACTATCGTTGGCCCATTTTAACAATTTTAAGGAATCAGGTTTTGAAATTTGGTCCACAAAGAATTATGTATTTACTCATACATTTTACCCGCAAATAGTATATGTTACCTCCAAAGGAGCAATGCTGGTTGAATTATTTATAAAATGATAAGCTTCTCAAGGAAGCTATTAAGAGAGAGAAACCAGGGCCTTTTTCCTACACAGTGATGGTTAATAAATCAAAATAGACACTTTGTTAATATGGCTAAATATAATAACAATACTGACAACTATAAAAGTCAAATTATTACAGAAAACAAAACTAAGTATCATATAATGCCTTTCTTATTGATCTGAGCAGTTCCAGTCAACCCTTACTAAAACTATTTTTATTAGAAGATTTAAGGGTTATGCTTTTATTGTTTTCAACTCATCTTGAATCTTTCAAGCTGGAGATTAACTCCCTAGGGACTACTTCTGACTGTGACGCTTTCAGGACAACATAGTTCAGCCACCTAGAGATTATCGACATGTCGCAAATAAGATTCTTTTCTAGGGCTGCTTTCTGGAAATGAAAGCAGTCTGTAGTGGGCTCTTCCATCCCCAGTCAGGTGAATAAGCTCAAAGGATATGTGTACCCTTTCTCCATAATAAAAGAAGATAAATGTTATAGTAGATGAGGCATAATGCTGTTTGCCTGTGCAAAATTACAAGATGGGCTTTTCCTAATCATAAGAAACCAATTTTCCAATGTCAGTCTTACAAGGAGTGGAAGTTTCTCACTTTCAAAGGTCACCATGGCTAAGTGGTCATTTTAGAAACCACCTCTAAGACAGGCTCAGATAAATCTTTTTCAGATATAGTTTATAGTCATAAAAAGACCATATTAAACCCTACGTTGAAAAAAGACACCATGTATTCCAGAACATATAATTATGAAACAACATGTACAAAACTTTTAAATAATTTTTTCAAAAAATTTTCAAGTACATTTATATTTCACTTTATTTTCTGAGGATGAACTGAATTATAATACAAAGCCTAGAAACTCAGAGTTTTGTAAAGGAGATGACCACCTCCCTGAAGAGGATCCAATATTTCCTAATGGAGGCTATTACATAATTACATGTTTAAAATTGCATTAGCTTTCTGTCCTTTAATTCTACTCCTTGAGTATATTTGGCATAACTATTGTTTACTCTCTTTCAACTTTACCCTATCCAAATTCATTTGTAAACATTAAACTTATATGCTAAATATCAATATGCAGTTTTCTTCCTTTACTTAAAAACACACATGTATCAATTTCTTTGATTACTGCAATCCTGTCTGCAGTACAGATATATGCATGCTGTCTGTAATTTCTGTTGTGTGTCTGCATCTTATCGCCACACAGGACTCTTAAGTTCTTGGATGGTAGAGATGTATACATTCCTGGTCTGATCAATATCCTCAAGAAAAGAAACAAATAAGCCTTCCCTTATTAAAAGTCTGCTGCATTTTCTTAATATTATGGAAATTCCTTCCTACAATTAAAACAGCGTGTGTGTGTTTGTGTATACTTTCAGAAACAGAAATTTCAATGACTCAGTAACATTCAAATAACAATATAAATACTGGTTTCATTAAATCTTCCATTGTCTTCAATGGTGCCCTGTTGCAATTTGAGAATAAAAAATTGGAAAAACTCTGCTGTGTCAGTTATGCATGCTTTAACAACATCACCACTAAAATCTAGTAGACTTTTCTCATTTAATTCACTGTGCAAAGCCTCATGGATTAGGTGGAAAGTTACAACTTGATGGTTATTTGATGGGGGTGGGAATGTGAGTAGAAAAAGATTCTTTGCATTTCTTATAGATATTTTGAGTACTCTTTGATACCTTCTGTATTAGCAGCTAATCAAAATATTCTCCTGGGAGCATGCTAAAACATTTTCCTAGCAATTTAATCTGGGTGAAATAATAACGTATTAATACCTGTTTATTTTCTTGTTTTTTTTATTTATTTATCTTTATTGTTATACTTTAAGTTTTAGGGTACATGTGCACATTGTGCAGGTTAGTTACATACATATACATGTGACATGCTGGTGTACTGCACCCACTAACTCGTCATCTAGCATTAGGTATATCTCCCAATGCTATCCCTCCCCCCTCCCCCCACCCCACAACAGTCCCCAAAGTGTGATGTTCCCCTTCCTGTGTCCATGTGATCTCATTGTTCAATTCCCACCTATGAGTGAGAATATGCAGTGTTTGGTTTTTTATTCTTGCGATAGTTTACTGAGAATGATGGTTTCCAATTTCATCCATGTCCCTACAAAGGACACCAACTCATCATTTTTTATGGCTGCATAGTATTCCATGGTGTATATGTGCCACATTTTCTTAATCCAATCTATCATTGTGGGACATTTGGGTTGGTTCCAAGTCTTTGCTATTGTGAATAATGCCGCAATAAACATACATGTGCATGTGTCTTCATAGCAGCATGATTTATAATCCTTTGGGTATATACCCAGTAATGGGATGGCTGGGTCAAATGGTATTTCTAGTTCTAGATCCCTGAGGAATCGCCACACTCACTTCCACAATGGTTGAACTAGTTTACAGTCCCACCAACAGTGTAAAAGTGTTCCTATTTCTCCACATCCTCTCCAGCACCTGTTGTTTCCTGGCTTTTGAATGATTGCCATTCTAACTGGTGTGAGATGGTATCTCATTGTGGTTTTGATTTGCATTTCTCTGATGGCCAGTGATGGTGAGCATTTTTTCATGTGTTTTCTGGCTGCATAAATGTCTTCTTTTGAGAAGTGTCTGTTCATATCCTTCGCCCACTTTTTGATGGCGTTGTTTGTTTTTTTCTTGTAAATTTGTTTGGGTTCATTGTAGATTCTGGATATTAGCCCTTTGTCAGATGAGTAGGTGGTGAAAATTTTCTCCCATTTTGTAGGTTGCCTGTTCACTCTGATGGTAGTTCCTTTTGCTGTGCAGAAGCTCTTTAGTTTAATTAGATCCCATTTGTCAATTTTGTCTTTTGTTGCCATTGCGTTTGGTGTTTTAGACATGAAGTCCTTGCCCATGCCTATGTCCTGAATGGTAATGCCTAGGTTTTCTTCTAGGGTTTTTATGGTTTTAGGTCTAACATTTAAGTCTTTAATCCATCTTGAATTGATTTTTGTATACGTAAGGAAGGGATCCAGTTTCAGCTTTCTACATATGGCTAGCCAGTTTTCCCAGCACCATTTATTAAATAGGGAATCCTTTCCCCATTGCTTGTTTTTGTCAGGTTTGTCAAAGATCAGATAGTTGTAGATATGCGGCGTTATTTCTGAGGGCTCTGTTCTGTTCCATTGATCTATATCTCTGTTTTGGTACCAGTACCATGCTGTTTTGGTTACTGTAGCCTTGTAGTATAGTTTGAAGTCAGGTAGTGTGATGCCTCCAGCTTTGTTCTTATGGCTTAGGATTGACTTGGTGATGCGGGCTCTTTTTTGGTTCCATATGAACTTTCAAGTAGTTTTTTCCAATTCTGTGAAGAAAGGCATTGGTAGCTTCATGGGGAAGGCATTGAATCTATAAATTACCTTGGGCAGTATGGCCATTTTCACGATATTGATTCTTCCTACCCATGAGCATGGAATGTTCTTCCATTTGTTTGTATCCTCTTTTATTTCCTTGAGCAGTGGTTTGTAGTTCTCCTTGAAGAGGACCTTCACATCCCTTGTAAGTTGGATTCCTAGGTATTTCATTCTCTTTGAAGCAATTGTTTATGGGAGTTCACTCATGATTTGGCTCTCTGTTTGTCTCTTGCTGGTGTATAGGAATGCTTGTGATTTTTGCACATTGATTTTGTATCCTGAGACTTTGCTGAAGTTGCTTATCAGCTTAAGGAGATTTTGGGCTGAGACAATGGGGTTTTCTAGATATACAATCATGTCATCTGCAAACAGGGACAATTTGACTTCCTCTTTTCCTAATTGAATACCCTTTATTTCCTTCTCCTGCCTAATTGCCCTGGCCAGAACTTCCAACACTATGTTGAATACGAGTGGTGAGAGAGGGCATCCCTGTCTTGTGCCAGTTTTCAAAGGGAATGCTTCCAGTTTTTGCCCATTCAGTATGATATTGGCTGTGGGTTTGTCATAGATAGCTCTTATTATTTTGAAATATGTCCCATTAATACCTAATTTATTGAGAGTTTTTAGCATGAAAGGTTGTTGAATTTTGTCAAAGGCCTTTTCTGCATCTATTGAGATAATCATGTGGTTTTTGTCTTTGGCTCTGTTTATATGCTGGATTACATTTATTGATTTGCGTATATTGAACCAGCCTTGCATCCCAGGGATGAAGCCCACTTGATCATGGTGGGTAAGCTTTTTGATGTGCTGCTGGATTTGGTTTGCCAGTATTTTATTGAGGATTTTTGCATCAATGTTCATCAAGGATATTGGTCTAAAATTCTCTTTTTTGGTTGTGCCTCTGCCCGGCTTTGCTATCAGGATGATGCTGGCCTCATAAAATGAGTTAGGGGGCATTCCTTCTTTTTCTATTGATTGGAATAGTTTCAGAAGGAATGGTACCAGTTCCTCCTTGTACCTCTGGTAGAATTCGGCTGTGAATCCATCTGGTCCTGGACTCTTTTTGGTTGGTAAGCTATTGATTATTGCCACAATTTCAGATCCTGTTATTGGTCTATTCAGAGATTCAACTTCTTCCTGGTTTAGTCTTGGGAGAGTGTATGTGTCAAGGAATTTATCCATTTCTTCTAGATTTTCTAGTTTATTTGCGTAGAGGTGTTTATATTATTCTTTGATGGTAGTTTGTATTTCTGTGGGATCGGTGGTGATGTCCCCTTTATCATTTTTTTATTGCGTCTATTTGATTCTTCTCTCTTTTTTTCTTTATTAGTCTTGCTAGCGGTCTATCAATTTTGTTGATCCTTTCAAAAAACCAGCTCCTGGATTCATTAACTTTTTGAAGGGTTTTTTGTGTCTCTATTTCCTTTAGTTCTGCTCTGATTTTAGTTATTTCTTGCCTTCTGCTAGCTTTTGAATGTGTTTGCTCTTGCTTTTCTAGTTATTTTAATTGTGATGTTAGGGTGTCAATTTTGGATCCTTCCTGCTTTCTCTTGTGGGCATTTAGTGCTATAAATTTCCCTCTACACACTGCTTTGAATGCGTCCCAGAGATTCTGGTATGTTGTGTCTTTGTTCTCATTGGTTTCAAAGAACATCTTTATTTCTGCCTTCATTTCGTTATGTACCCAGTAGTCATTCAGGAGCAGGTTGTTCAGTTCCCATGTAGTCGAGCAGTTTTGAGTGAGATTCTTAATCCTGAGTTCTAGTTTGATTGCACTGTGGTCTGAGAGATAGTTTGTTATAATTTCTGTTCTTTTACATTTGCTGAGGAGAGCTTTGCTTCCAAGTATGTGGTCAATTTTGGAATAGGTGTGGTGTGGTGCTGAAAAGAATGTATATTCTGTTGATTTGGGGTGGAGAGTTCTGTAGATGTCTATTAGGTCCACTTGGTGCAGAGCTGAGTTCAATTCCTGGGTATCCTTGTTGACTTTTTGTCTCGTTGATCTGTCTAATGTTGACAGTGGGGTGTTAAAGTCTCCCATTATTAATGTGTGGGAGTCTAAGTCTCTTTGTAGGTCACTCAGGACTTGCTTTATGAATCTGGGTGCTCCTGTATTGGGTGCATATATATTTAGGATAGTTAGCTCTTCTTGTTGAATTGATCCCTTTACCATTATGTAATGGCCTTCTTTGTCTCTTTTGATCTTTGTTGGTTTGAAGTCTGTTTTATCAGAGACTAGGATTGCAACCCCTGCCTTTTTTTGTTTTCCATTTGCTTGGTAGATCTTCCTCCATCCTTTTATTTTGAGCCTATGTGTGTGTCTGCACGTGAGATGGGTTTCCTGAATACAGCACACTGATGGGTCTTGACTCTTTATCCAATTTGCCAGTCTGTGTCTTTTAATTGGAGCATTTAGTCCATTTACATTTAAAGTTAATAGTGTTATGTGTGAATTTGATCCTGTCATTATGATGTTAGCTGGTTATTTTGCTCGTTAGTTGATGCAGTTTCTTCCTAGTCTCGATGGTCTTTACATTTTGGCATGATTTTGCAGCGGCTGGTACTGGTTGTTCCTTTCCATGTTTAGCGCTTCCTTCAGGAGCTCTTTTAGGGCAGGCCTGGTGGTGACCAAATCTCTCAGCATTTCCTTGTCTGTAAAGTATTTTATCTCTCCTTCACTTATGAAGCTTAGTTTGGCTGTATATGAAATTCTGGGTTGAAAATTCTTTTCTTTAAGAATGTTCAATATTGGCCCCCACTCTCTTCTGGCTTGTAGGGTTTCTGCCGAGAGATCTGCTGTTAGTCTGATGGGCTTCCCTTTGAGGGTAACCTGACCTTTCTCTCTGGCTGCCCTTAACATTTTTTCCTTCATTTCAACTTTGGTGAATCTGACAATTATGTGTCTTGGAGTTGCTCTTCTCGAGGAGTATCTTTGTGGCGTTCTCTGTATTTCCTGAATCTGAACGTTGGCCTGCCTTGCTAGATTGGGGAAATTCTCCTGGATGATATCCTGCAGAGTGTTTTCCAACTTGGTTCCATTCTCCCCATCACTTTCAGGTACATCAATCAGATGTAGATTTGGTCTTTTCACATAGTCCCATATTTCTTGGAGGCTTTGCTCGTTTCTTTTTATTCTTTTTTCTCTAAACTTTCCTTCTCACTTCATTTCATTCATTTCATCTTCCATTGCTGATACCCTTTCTTCCAGTTGATCGCATCGGCTCCTGAGGCTTCTGCATTCTTCACGTAGTTCTCGAGCCTTGGTTTTCAGTTCCATCAGCTCCTTTAAGCACTTCTCTGTATTGGTTATTCTAGTTATACATTCTTCTAAATTTTTTTCAAAGTTTTCAACTTCTTTGCCTTTGGTTTGAATGTCCTCCCGTAGCTCAGAGTAATTTGGTCGTCTGAAGCCTTCTCCTCTCAGCTCGTCAAAGTCCTTCTCCATCCAGCTTTGTTCCGTTGCTGGTGAGGAACTACATTCCTTTGGAGGAGGAGAGGCGCTCTGATTTTTAGAGTTTCCAGTTTTTCTGTTCTGTTTTTTCCCCATCTTTGTGGTTTTATCTACTTTTGGTCTTTGATGATGGTGATGTATAGATGGGTTTTTGGTGTGGATGTCCTTTCTATTTGTTAGTTTTCCTTCTAACAGACAGGACCCTCAGCTGCAGGTCTGTTGGAGTACCCTGCAGTGTGAGGTGTCAGTCTGCCCCTGCTGGAGGGTGCCTCCCAGTTAGGCTGCTCGGGGGTCATGCGTCAGGGACCCATTTGAGGAGGCAGTCTGCCCGTTCTCAGATCTCCAGCTGCGTACTGGGAGAACCACTGCTCTCTTCAAAGCTGTCAGACAGGGACATTTAAATCTGCAAAGGTTATTGCTGTCTTTTTGTTTGTCTGTGCCCTGCCCCCAGAGGTGGAGCCTAGAGAGGCAGGCAGGCCTCCTTGAGCTGTGGTGGGCTCCACCCAGTTCGAGCTTCCTGGCTGCTTTGTTTACCTAAGCAAGCTTGGGCAATGGCGGGCGCCCCTCCCCCAGCCTCGCTGCCGCCTTGCAGTTTGATCTCAGACTGCTGTGCTAGCAATCAGTGAGACTCCCTGGGGTAGGACCCTCAGAGCCAGGTGCAGGATATAATCTCGTGGTGCGCCGTTTTTTAAGCCCGTCGGAAAAGCGCAGTATTCGGGTGGGAGTGACCCGATTTTCCAGGTGCCGTCCATCACCCCTTTCTTTGATTAGGAAAGGGAACTCCCTGACCCCTTGCGCTTCCCGAGTGAGGCAATGCCTCGCCCTGCTTCGGCTCGCGCACGGTGCGCGCACCCACTGACCTGCGCCCACTATCTGGCACTCCCTAGTGAGATGAACCTGGTACTTCAGATGGAAATGCAGAAATCACCCGTCTTCTGTGTCGCTCAGGCTGGGAGCTGTAGACTGGAGCTGTTCCTATTCGGCCATCTTGGCTCCTCGTGTTAATACATGTTTAATAAGAATGCTAGATGTCCGTTTCTTCAAATTGGATCCTGTTCAGGGAGGTGCTCATCTCCTTTAGAAAATTATGAGGCTTTATTTTATGATTCAGTTGATACACAAAGGCAAAAATAAAATAATAAATGTACTTGAAATTTTTTGAAAAAAATCTTTAAAATTTTTTTCATGTTGTTTCATAATTGTATGTTCTGGAATACAAGATGGATATGGTTTGGCTCTGTGTCCCTACCCAAATCTCATCTCAAACTGTAATCCCTATGTATCAGGAGAGGGACCAGGTGGGAGGTGATCGGATCATAGGGGTGGTTTCCCCATGCTGTTCTTGTGATATTGAGTGAGTTCCCATGAGAGCTGATATTAGAGTGTGGCAGTTCTTCATTCTCACTCACACTCTCTCCTGCCGCCTTATGAAGAAGGTCCTTGCTTCCCCTTCACCTTCTGCCATAACTGTAAGTTTTCTGAGGCCTCCCCAGCCATGCGGAACTGTGAGTCAATTAAACCTCCTTTGTTTATAAATTAACCAATCTCAGGTAGTATCTTTATAGCAGTGTGAGAATGGACTAATACAATGGTCTATGTTTTCAACTTAGGGTTAAATATGGTCTTTTTATGACTATATATCTGAAAAAGATTTATGTAAGCCTGTCTTAGAGATGGTTTCTAAAAAGATCACTTAGCCATGGTGACCTTTGAAAGTGAGAAACTTCCACTCCTTGTAAGACTGACATTGGAAAATTGGTTTCTTATGATTAGGAAAAGCCCATCTTGTAATTTTGCAAAGGCAAACAGTGTTATGCCTCATCTACTACAATGTTTGTCTTCTTTTGTTGTGAAGAAGAGGTTCACATATCCTTTGAGTTTATTCACCTGACAGGGGATGGAAGAGCCCACCATAGACTGCTTTCATTTCCAGAAAGCAGCCCCAGAAAATAATCTTATCTGTGAGATGCAGATAATCTCTAGGTGACTGAACCATGTAATCCTTACTAAAATTTCAATGTCATTTTTCACATAAACAGGAAAAAACAATTTAAAAATTCATATGGAACCATAAAAAACAAACCAAGACAATCTTGAGGAAAAAAAAAAGCTGAAGACATTACACTACCTGACTTCAACCTATATTTGAAAGTTACAGTGATTGACATTTTTTGAAAAAATCCTTTGTTTATACATAGTATTGGCATAAAAATAGAAACACTGACCAATGGAACAGAGTAGAGAACTCAGAAAGAAGCCCACACACTTATGGTCAATTGATTTTTAAAAACTTTTCCATAAGTTATTTAGGTACAGGTGGTATTTTGTTACATGAGTAAGTTCTTTAGCAGTGATTTGTGAGATTTTGGTGCACCCATCACCCGAGTAGTATACACTGCACCCTATTTTTAGTCTTCTATCCCTCACTCCCTTCCCACCCTTTCCCCCTAAGTCCCCAAAGTCCAATGTATCATTCTTATGCCTTTGTGTCCTCACAGCTTAGCTCCCTCATATCAATGAGAACATACCATTCCTGTGTTACTTAGTATAACAGTCTCCAATCTCATCCAGGTTGCTGCAACTGCCATTAAATCATTCCTAACCATGGCTGAGTAGTATTCCATTGTATAAATATATCACAGTTTCTTTACCCACTCGTCAATTGATGGGCATTTAGGTTGGTTCCACAATTTTGCAATTGCGAACTGTGCTGCTATAAACATGCATGTGCAAGTATCTTTTTCGTATAATGACTTCTTTTCCTCCGGGTAGATATTCAGAGGTGGGATTGCTAGATCAAATGGTAGTTCTACTTTTAGTTCTTTAAGAAATCTCCACACTGTTTTCCATAGTGGCTGTCCTAGTTTACATTCCCACCAGCAGTGTAGAAGTGTTCCCTGTTCACCGCATCCACGCCAATATCTACTGTTTTTTTATTTTGTGATTGTGGCCATTCTTGCAAGAGTAAGGTGGTATGGCATTGAGGTTTTGATTTGCATTTCCCTGATGATTAGTGATGTTGAGCATTTTTTCCTATGTTTGTTGGCCATTTGTATATCTTCTTTCAAGAATTGTCTATTCATGTCCTTAGCCCACTGTTTGATGGGATTGTTTGTTTTGGTCAATTGATTTTCAATGAAAGTGCCAAGAACATCACAATAACAAAGATGAACATCACTGATCACTAGGGAAATGCACATTAAAACCATAATGAGCTACCATCTAATACCTGTAGAATGACAATTGTCAAAAATATGAAAGATAACAAGTGTCAGTGAGGATGTGGAGAAAAGGGAACGCTGTACAATATTAAGAGAATGTTAACTAGTACAGTCATGGAAAACTGTATGGAGGTCCTGCAAAAACTAAAAACAGAATTACCATGTGATCCAGTACCACTTCTGGGTATATACCCTAAAAACTTGATATCAATATTTTAAAGAGATATCTGCACTCCCATATCCTGCAGCATTATTTACAATAGTCAGGTTACAAAATTAACCTAAGTGTTTATCAATGGATGAATGGATAAAGAAAATGTATTACACACACATACACAAACATAAAGAAACACATACACAATGGAATACTAGTCAGCCTTTAAAAAAAAAAGAAATTATGTCATTGGCAACAACATGGATGAACTCAGAGGACATTATGTCAAGTCAAATAAGCCAAGCACAGAAAGACAACAATTGCATGTTTTCACTTTTATGTGGAATCTAAAATAATCAAACTCATGTAAGTGGAGAGTAGAATGGTTGGTCACCAGAGGCTGGGGGTTAGGCAGAATGGAGAGATGTTGATCAAAGAGTAGAAAGTTACAGTTAGACAGAAGGAATAAATAATAAGTATTTAAGGTAACTGAAATGTTAATTAGTTGGTTCAATCACTTTACACTGTATACATACATCATAACATCACTGTGTACCACAGAATTATATATGATTATAAATTGTCAATAAAAAGAAAAGAAAAAGAAACAAGAATTATTTCTTGTACAAGCCTTTTCAACCACTTGTGATGAGCCTGTGCAACTTCCTGTTCCCTCCACAACCATCTGAAACAGAACAAAGCACACTCCCAAGGCTGTGCAGCTCCCCCAAGCAGGGGATGCTTGTGATGTGCATCTCAGATGTGGTCACAGAGGAAAATGAGCAAGGAAGTACCTCTGAGCAGGCGAGGTCAGAGGTCACGAACACAGGTAGATAAGGAAGAAGAAAGATTCCCTCAGAGAACACAATCAGGTGCTTCCAGACAGTTTAACAAGGAAGTTACTTACTACACTGCCAGGTAAGTGATAGATGCTTTTCTGATTCTTGCTTTTGGTGAAGAGTTGGTGGCATTAGATGTCAAGTAAACTCAGGAACCTCACTTTTGGGTACTTTCAGTTGGGAAAACATTCAATACTAAATACATTACTAAAAAATAAATAAATAAATAACAGTCCAGTTGCGGTGGATCATGCCTATAATCCCAGTACTTTTGGAGGCCAAGGTAGGAAGGTAACTTGAGCCCAGGAGTCAAGACCAGCCTGGACAACATAGTAAGATTTCATCTCTACAAATAATCTTTTAAAAAATTAGCCTGGAATAGTGGTGCATTCCTATAGTCCTAGCTACTCAGGAGGCTGAGATGGGAGGATCACTTGAGCCCAGGAGGTCAAGGCTGCAGTGAGCCATGATCATGCCATTGCACTCCAGCCTGGGTGACAGAGCAAGACCCCATCTCAAAAAATAAAAAATAAAATAAAATAATAAAATAACGAATGTTCATTGTTTTAGTGTACAGACCATTACCTCCTTGATTAAATTTTTTTTTTTTTTGAGACGGAGTCTCACTCTGTTACCCAGGCTGGAGTGCAGTGGCTCGATCTCAGCTCACTGCAAGCTCCATCTCCCAGGTATCTCCTGCCTCAGCCTCCTGAGTAGCTGGGACTACAGGTGCCCACCACCACACCTGGCTAATTTTTTTGTATTTTTAGTAGAGACGGGGTTTCACCGTGTTACCTAGGATGGTCTCGATCTCCTGACCTTGTGATCTGCCTGCCTCAGCTTCCCAAAGTGCTGGGATTAGAGGCGTAAGCCACCGCACCTGGCCTAGATGCCTTTTCTTTTTCTTAACTAATTGCTCTGGCAAGGACCTTCAGTGTTTTATTTAATAGAACTGGTGGAAATGGACAGCCTTGTTTTGTTCCTTATCTTAGAGTAAAAGCTTTCAACTTTTCATAATGTAAGCTATGAACTTGTTATATATGGCCTTTATTGTGTTGGGGTATATTTCTTCTATATTTAATTTGTGGAGAGTGTTGAGGATGTAGAATTGTGTCAAATGCTTTTTTCTGCATCTAGAGAGATGATCCTATGATATTTGCCTTTCACTCTTTTAATGTGGTGTATCACATTTATAGATTTGTGTATATTGAATTATACTTGCATCCCTGGGGTAAACCCCATTTCATCAAAGTGTATAATTCTTTTAATGTGCTGTTGAATTCAGTTTGGTTGTATTTTGCTGTGAACTTTTCTATCTATGTTCATCAGGGATATTGACTTGTAATTTTCTTTTCTTGTAATGTCCTTGCCTGACTTTGGTAACAAGGTAATGCTGGCCTCAAAGAAGAGTCAAAAGTATACTGGTTCTCTTCAATGTTTTCAAAGAGTTTGAGAAAGCCTGATATTAGTTCTTCTTTAAATGTTTGGTAGAATTTTGCCATAAAGGCATCTGGTCCTGGGTTTGTTTGCTTTTTTGATGGGAGACTTTTTAAATTATTGATTCAATCTCCTCACTCATCATTGGTCTGTTCTTATTTTCTATTTCTTCTTGATTCAGTGTTAGTAGGTTCTATGTGTCTAAGAATTTATCCATTTCTCTAGGGTATCCAATTTGTTGACATATAATTGTTCATAGTAATTAGGCCATTCTTGCATTCCTATAAAGAAATACCTTTGAGTCATAAGTTTTATGAGAAAAAAGAAGAAGAAGAAGAAATACCTGAAATTGGGTAATTTATTAAGAAAAAAATGTTTAATTAGTTCATGGTTCTGTAGGCTGTACAGGAAACATTGCAGTATCTGCTTCTGGACAGGCCCCAGGAAGTTTCAATTATGATGGAAGGTGAAGCGGGAGCAGGCACATCACACAGCGAAAGCAGGAGCAAGGAAGCAAGAGTGGGGAGGTGCCACACACTGTTAAACAACCAGATCTTGCAAGAACTCACTCCCTATCATGAGGCCAGTACCAAGGCGATGGTACTAAACCATTCATCAGAAATGCACCCCCATGATCTAATCACCTCCCGCCAGGCCCCACCTCTAACATTGGGGATTACAATTCAACATAAGAGTTGGGTGGAAACACAGATCCAAACCATATCAATAATCTTCTATGATCATTTGTACTTCTGTAATATCAGTTGTAATGTCTCATCTTTCATTTCTGACCTTATTTATTTGAGTCTTCTCTCTTTTTGTAGTTAATCTAACTAAGAGTTTGTCAATTTTATTTTTTCAAAAAACCCACTCTTGCTTCCATTTATTTTTGTATTGTGTTTCTAATCTCTATTGCATTTATTTCTGCTCTGATCTTTATTTCCTGCCTTCTGCTAAATTTGGGCTTACATTGTTCTTCTTTTTCTAGTTCATTGAGGTATAATATTGGGTTGTTTATTTAAGATCTTTCTCTTTTTCTGATATAGGTATTTATTGCTAGAAATCTCCCTCTCAGAACCGCTTTTGCTTCAACCCATAGGTTTTGGTATGTTGTGTTCCCATTTTCATCAGAGTCCTTGCTACTTTGGCAAGAAATTCTTTGAAATTTTAGTAAAATTTTAATCTACTTCTTTCACATCAATTTCCTATGCATATGACCCACCCCAAAAATCTTATCTAGAAATATATTTTAAGTCTAGACATTTACTCTTGCAGTTACTGGCCTCATAAAATAACTCTTCCCCTCATTTCTCTTAAAGGTATGTGCCTTAAAGCCAATGGAAGGCAATATCTAAATCTAATTTTTGCTGCTACACAGCTTCTGGCACAGAACTCCTAATGAAAGGTCTTTTTAAAGGGCTTGAAAACACAGCCTTCCTTGGCAGAATTGTGTTTCTTTTCATCTATACTTGTAGGCCAGCTAGTTTTAGCCTGAGTTTATCTTCTTCTTCCTCACTAAGCTTAATCATTTCTAGCTTTTGATTTAAAGTGAGACACATGTAACTCTTCCTTTCACTCGAACACTTAGAGACCATTTTAGGTTATTAATTGGCTTAATTTCAATATTGTTTTGTTTCAGGGAATAGGAGGTCCAGGGAGATGGGAGAGAGATGGGAGAACAATCAATCAGTAGAGTAGTCAGAACACACACAACATTTATCAATTAAGTTGCTGTCTTAATTAAGGTGCACCAAAACAATTACAGTGGTAACATCAAAGATCACTGATAACAGTTCATCATAACAGATGTAACAACAACAACAATAATAATAATAAACAATTTTGAAATATTGCAAGAAATTACCAAAACGTGACACAGAGGCACAATGTGAGCACATGCTGTTGGAAAAATAAACGACAGACTCGTTCAAAGCAGAGCTGCCACAAACCTTCAATTTGTAAAAAGCACAGTGTTTGCAAAGTACTGCAAAGCAATGAGCAATATAATAAGATATGTATGTATTTCAGGTAGCACTATACTTAGTTAAAGATTAAGAGTTCGATAATAGGTAAGAAGACAATGTTAGGAGCAGCTAACAGTATCTATCAAATCTATAATAAAAAAAATCCATAACGTAACAGAAGAAATATATTTTCAAAGACTAGAAAACATTGAAACCAATACTATAGAGTCAACTCTATCTTCGAGTCATCATAAATGTATTTAAGTATATAGATTAATGACCTGGAAGAGTGATTGTATTTGAACCCATTAGTACCCAACACAAAAGACAGATCTTTTGGTAAATCTTCCATTTTTCAGCAATGTCAGATTATGTTGTCATATTTGCACGTTATTTATGTAAAAAGGAACCACGTGAAAAAAATGCACAGCTGTGTAAGAGAGTTTAAGGATTGAGGTCTGAACAGCAAAGCCATGTCAGCCATATAACATATATTCCGGCCTCACCAGCACAATCCTAGCTTATTTCTGCTGTCCTACTGTCCCAATTTTTGGGGTTTTTTTGTGGGGTTTTTTTTGTTTTTTGTTTGTTTGTTTTTTGAGACAAAGTCTCACTCTGTCACCCAGGCTAGAGTGCAGTGGCACAATCATGGTTATCACAGCATCAACTTCCTGGGCTCAAGTGATCCTCCTGCCTTAACCTCCTGAGTAGCTAGGACTACAGGTCTGTGCCACCACATCTGATTTTTCTTTTTTCTCTTTTTTGTAGAGATGAGATCTCATTATGCGGCTCAGTTTGGTCTCAAACTCTGGGCCTCAGGAGATCCTCTCATCTGAGCCTCCCAAAGAGCTGGGATTACAAGAGTGAGCTCCCCTACCCAGCCTGCTCCAGTAATTAATAACAGAGAGCTTCTATATACTGTCAAAAGTGCCCTGGTTCAGAAAATAAAGTATATGGTCACCCTAGCTATACTCCCATGTATAATAAATTTCTACATTAAGTTTAATTTCATGAAAAATACTGTGTTTAACAACACATGCCCATTGTTTTCTATATTAGTAAGAATGTTCTCATTTGTCAAATAAATAATAATACCCACAAGCTACCCATCTCAACATAGCTGAGAGAAATGTTAAATGAAAATTCATAGTCCTAATGCTATAACCTGTCTGACAGATGCCAGAGAGAACCTACTTCTATCAGATTAGCCCTTCCTCTTTATCTTTAAATGTTTTATCTTGAATTATTGCTTAAACTGCTTCAAGTCTTTCCTAAAGTAAGAAATATATTATGTCATAATATGAATAAATACTTATACAATTAAGTAAAAGATCAGAATGCAAGATTGTGTATAGATTCATTATATCTGCGTTGGAGGAACTTTATGCATATAAAGGAAAGCTAAGAGGAAAACATCAAAACTTTAATACTGATTGTGTTCAGAAGATAAGTAATATGGTTTGGCTGCTATGTCCCCTTCCAAATGTCAACTTGAATTTATCTCCCAGAATTCCTATGTGTTGTGGGAGGGACCTAGGGGGAGGTAATTGAATCATGGGGGCAGGTCTTTCCCATGTTATTCTCATGATAGTTAATAAGTCTCATGAGATCTAATGGGTTTATCAGGGGTTTCTGCTTTCACTTCTTGCTCATTTTCTCTTGCTGCGCCCATGTAAGAAGAGCCTTTCGCCTCCTGCCATGATTCTGAGGCCTCCCCAGCCATGTAGAAGTGTAAGTCCATTTAAACCTTTTTGTTCCCAGTTTTGGGTATGTCTTTATCAGCAGCATGAAAACGAACTAATACAGTAAATTGGTACCGGGAATGGGGTATTGCTGAAAAGATACCCGAAAATGTGGAAGTGACTTAGGAACTGGGTAACAGGCAGAGGTTGGAACAGTTTGAAGGTTCAGAAGAAGACAGGAAAATGTGGGAAAGTTTGGAACTTCCTGGAGACTTGTTGAATGGCTTTGCCCAAAATGCTGATAGTGATATGAACAATAAAATTCAGGTTGAGGTGGTGTCAGATGGAGATGAGGAACTTGTTGGGAACTGGAGTAAAGGTGACTCTTGTTATGTTTTAGCAAAGGGACTGGTGACATTTTGTCCATGCCCTAGAGATTTGTGGAACTTTGAACTTGAGAAAGATGATTTAGGGTTTCTCATGGAAGAAATTTCTAAGCAGCAAAGCATTCAAGAAGTGTCTTGGGTTGTTAAAGGCATCAAGTTTTATAAGAAAGCAGAACAGAAAAGTTCAGAAAATTTGCAGCCTGGTTATGCAAAAAAAAAAAAAAAAATCCCATTTGCTGGGCAGAAATTCAAGCCAGCTGCAGAAATTTGCATAATAGCAAGGAGCCTAATGTTAATCCCCAAGACCATGGGGAAAATGTCTCTAGGCCATGTCACAGACATTCAAGGCAGTCCCTCCCATCACAGGCCCAAGAGGCCAGGGAGAAAAAGTGGTTTTGTGGGCCTGGCCCAGGGTCCTATGCTGTGTGCAGCCTAGGGACTTGGTGCCCTGTGTCCCAGTCATTCCAGCCATGGCTGAAAGGAGCCAACATAGAGCTCAGCCTGTGGCTTCAGAGAGTACAAGCCCCAAGACTCGGCAGCTTCCATGTGGTATCGAGCCTGGGAGTACACAGAAGTCAAGAATTGAGGTTTGGAAACCTCCGCCTAGATTTCAGACAATTTATAGAAATGCCTGGGTGCGCAGGCAAAAGTTTGCTACAGGGGTGAGGCCCTCATGAAGAACCTCTGCTAGGGCAGTGAGGAAGGGAAATGTGGGGTGGGAGCCCCCACATAGAGTCCCTACTGGGGCATTATCTAATGGAGCTGTGAGAAGAGGGCCACTGTCCTCCAGAACCCAAAACAGTAGATACACCCACGGTTTGCACCGTGCACCTAAAAAAGCCACAGACACTCAATACCAGCCGGTGAAAGCAGCCTGAAGGAAGTCTGTACCTTGCAAAGGCACAGGGGCAGAGCTGCTCAAGACCATGGGAACCCACCTCCTGCATCAGTGTGATCTGATTGTGAGACCTGGAGTCAAAGGAGATCATTTTGGAGCTTTAAAATTTGACTGCCCCCCTGGATTTCAAATTTGCATGGGCCCTGTAACCCCTTTTTGTTTTGGCTAATTTCTCCCATTTGAAATGGCTGTATTTACCCAATACCTGTACCCTCATTGTATCTAGGAAGTAACTAGTTTGCTTTTAATTTTACAGGCTCATAGGCGGAAGGGACTTGCCTTGTCTCAGATGAGACTTTGGACTGTGGGTTTTTGGGTTAACGCTAAAATGAGTTAAGACTTTGGGGGACTGTTGGGAAGCCATGATTGGTTTTTGAAATGTGAGGACATGAGATTTGGAGGTCAGGAGCAGAATGATATGGTTTGGCTATGTCCCCACCAAATCTCAACTTGAATTGTATCTCCCAGAATTCCCATGTGTTGTGGGAGGGACCCAAGGGGATGTAATTGAATTATGGGGACTGGTCGTTCCATGCTATTCTCATGATAGTTAATAAGTCTCATGAGATCTGATGGGATTATCAGGGATTTCTGCTTTTGCTTCTTCCTCATTTTCTCTTGCCACAGCCATGTAAGAAGAGCCTTTCACCTCCTGCCATGATTCTGAGGCCTCCCCAGCCAAATGGAGCTGTAAGTCCAATTAAACATTTTTTTTGTTCCCAGTTTCAGGTATATCTTCATCAGCAGCGTGAAAATGAACTAATACAATAAGATTATGAATAATGTTTTTCTACTTTTCTCTATTTTCTAAATTTTCTTCATTTCTACTTTGTTATTTATATTAATAAAAATGAATGTGTCATGTATAATTTTTACTATTGTTAATTATTAGCAATAATCATAATAAATTATAATTCAACCATGATCTTCTTGCTTAACTTTTGTTATTTTTCTTATAGCATTCTATTCAGGGAAGCACATATATAGGGTCATTATTGAAAGTATACCAAATTTTACTGCTAAATTTGTCATACAAACTGCCTCTGAGAATAAGCCTTGCACCATGTATTTAATAGAATCATTGAAATACGGAAATATTTGTGTGTAACAACTTATAATTTCAAAAGATGAACAGAAAGAGCATTATCTAAAAACAAAGAGTATAGATTATACAATCTGAGGTTAATAATATATTTTAATAATTAGTACCAGAGCAAAATTATTTTTTGCAAAGATCAGTGGTGATTTGCAAGGCTCTAAAGATGAACAATTTAAGATACTTAGGAATAAAACAATGAAATAAACTCCACAAGTAAAGTAGTAAAATGAAATCTACCTACCATACATAAAGTAGAAAAATAAGCCACAAGTTGGGAAGAAAATATTTGTAACCCAAATAAACCACAAAGGAGTCACACCAGGATATATATTTTTAAAATCCACAAACTAATCAAAAAAAGACCAAAAGCCCAATTAGGAAAGGGCAGGAATGAACAAAGAATGTGAAAAAACAATTCCCTCAGTAGAAAACTATAGTATACCTTTTAGTCTTAGTATATATATATATATATATAAAGATGGCCAATATCTCTTATAATTAGGGAAACACACATTAACAAACAGTGAGATACCATTTATGATAATATTAACTTATCTGACAATTTTTTATATCTGACAATACTTTATGATTGAGTCTTTTTTAATTCACCTCTTCATTATCAATTGTTAGTGAGGGCATGGAACAACATGTGGGAGGGCAAATTGGTACTACTACTTACTTGGAAAGCAATTTTGGTAATACCTAGTGAAATGGAAGATGTGCTCACACAACAACCAGAAAAATGGCCCCCAAAATGACTTAAAACACTTGGTAAAATATAAGAAACATTATCTGAAAAGCATAGATGATGCATTCACAAGAAAATAAGACAAATGCTTTGGGACCAGAAAAGAAAAGGAAAAACTACAATTGTGTTATATGAGTTGTCAGTGTGGCTGTCTGGGGAGTTCTGCCAATCCTTGTAAATGTAGACACATGGATCGTCATGACCACAAGGGTAAAGAACAAAAGGTCTTTGTTTTGAGAGAAGCTGAAATTTAGAACTGGGACTACCATCCCTCCCTCCCACAAGACACCAAAAACACTCACAAAAACATGCACGCACACATGCACACATTGACAAATGTGGTGCTTGGATGCTAGAAGCCTACACCTTCAGTGAAAGGGTGGAATAAAAATAGATCTACCCATTAGCAATGGGAAATACATAAGTCATTTGTTTTGTATGGGCTCTGGGTAGAAAATTATCTCCTCTGAGAATTTTTAACACCAGGTCTGTGCATACATAAATTTGAAATTTGAATGTACATTACCACATGGCCTAGGAGTCTCTGATTTAAGAAATTAACTCTAAAGTGGTGTAGGCTGGATGCATAGCACAAACAAAAGCAAACTTTGCTGGAAGCAACACCCTGAATCTGTCCCAACCCCTTTTACAAAAGAACTCTTTATAAATTTATGGATATAAAGGGAACTATAAGAGATAAACACTAACCGAGGACTAGGGGTAGCAGAGGCTGTTATCACTTCTAGCAAGAAAGGGGAACGGAAGAAGGTGAATACTGGAATCTAGGTGAAAATTAGGTAGATAAGGTCATTGTGAGTAGAGCAGTTGACCTTCACTTGATAAACACCTGAGAACATGTGAGATTAACAAAGACATGTTCTGCATCACTGTTTGTAAATGAAAAAAAAAAACAAAACAGTATGCTTTTTAAATGCCCATTTACTGGACAAAAAATTAATAAATTGTGGTGTGGTCATTCACTGGAATAATGAATAGCACTTATAATAAATGAAAAGTACTACATTTATCAATCTGTATATATTTCAAAAAATATAACAAGTGAAATAAGTAGCTTGCAAAAGATTCTTACAATAAAATCACTTTAATAATAATAACTTCAATATAAATTTTTAGTTTGTAAAGCAATATTTTGCTGCTTATATGTGCATACTAACTACCCACCCCTTTCCACCAGCACTGCACTAGTTCATCCTTATTATGTTAGACGTAGCTCCAAAGTCCATTGTGAAGTTTCTTCCAGATGCATATTATCCACACCCACCATCCTCTGAACCTGACATTTTTGTCTCACTCACTTTCCCTCTCCTCATTCCATCAGACTTACAAGGAGAAAACTATCCTCCCTTCCTGCATGGCAGAAAATTTCCATTATTCCTGACTTATACAAACAACATTCAAGCCCACCAGATCTAGCTTTCAGTATACTAATGGAAGCTTTCAATATTTAGAAAATCCATACTCCCTCTACAAACCCTAACTGTGGGGCTTTTTACTTTTCATTTTTTACTTGTACTAAACCCAGATTCCAGAGAACTCGAAATGGTTTACAAGGAAGGAGTCTCAGAAACCCATCAGCATTCCATTCCCTCCTCATCCAGGAGGATATATTTATTGCAGAGAAGGAATATGGAGTGTTCATTAAATGTTTCTTTTCTTGGCTATGGTGGGCCATCAGATAGTCCTCTGTGTCATGGTCAAAACAAATCCATCTGCTTCTATACTTCCAAAGTTCTGGGCAATGGTGGGCTGATATGGCTTTTATCCCATGTTGAAAGACATCCTCAAGATCCATAAAATTAGTGACTAGCTGGTAAAACATTTGTAAATCTTGTCACACTGGAAGCAGGCTAGGATTTCAGAGCCAGAAAATATTATAAAATTTACCTAGTCTTATATTATCACTTACTGATGAGTAAATTGAAGACTAGTGAGGTTAGAAAGTTCCCAGTGTAACTCAGCTAGTGAGTGAGGCAGGTAAGAACCAGAGACAGGTCAAGAATCAAGCTGCTTAATTCCTACTCCAGTGCAATTTCCTCTGAAGGAGAAAAACTGTCTCACACCTGGTACGAAAGCCAACCTTTCTTCCTTTGGGGAAGAAATTAACATTTCTGGCAAAATGCTTAAGCAAATTTCTTGTGAAGTTTAATAAAAATCTTGTTATGGGACACCATTTCCTTCCCACACAGCTGTCAGTCAAGAGTGACCCTTAACCAAACTTTTTCTTTCATTTATATCTAATCCAGTGACTTCTAATTTTACTGCACATAAGAATCACCCAGGAAGGTTTTCTAATTCTCAACATCCAGATCAAAACCCCATACTAATTAAATCAGAATGTACAGGGATAGAAGCCAGGTATCAATATCCAATATCTTTTAAAGCTTCTCTCCTAGATGGGTCCAATGTGTAATAAAGTTTGGAAACCACTGATATAGCCCAACAATGATTAACCATCTCTCTCTCTCGCTCTCTCTTTCTCAATTGCTCTCTTTTCTCTTTTTCTCACAAATGACCTATGAAGGATGAATCTTGGAACTGGCCACAGGAGGCTTTTTCCCTGGCATGAATTTACTATTTTTCTAAAGTTTATCCCCCTTTGCACTGTCTTCCAAAGTTAAATGATAGACTTGGATGCTTTAAAAAAGAATACATTTAAAAGACAAAAAAAAATTCTTAAAATTTTTACATTTATATTAGGAAAATCTAAGATAATTTAGTTATTCAGGGTAAATAAAATCACGACTAGTAATTTACTGCCAGAAAAACAATCTTTGATTAACACCAAATAACTATTTAACTAAGCACTTTATGTTTCTCCCGTAATTGTGGAAGTACTCGCTTGCTCTTCATTATACAATTATTGGACTGCTAATGCTTTCACAAGCTATAATCACTATTTTTGGCCTCTCCCCATCCATAGCTATAGCTCTAATTGAGTTTACTAAGGAAGTACATTATGCAGTTGTCCATCAGAGACTGAGGCCAATTTCCTGACTTCCTAAATAGCTAGTCACAGAACTATAATATCTGGCAGAGAATACTAGAAATCTGAAATACCTCCATTATTGAACATCTGATTTTTCTGTCAGATTAACTGTTTTTCTAAACTGTGTTTCCTATGCATTCATTAACCTGCAAGACTAAATATGTGGTTAAAGTATATGAGAGCAGCCACAACTAATATTATTGATACAGGAGAGATATTTATTGAACTTCCAATATGTACCAGGCCCTAATTAAGCACTTTATAGACCTTACCTTATTTAATCTTTACAAAAATTTTAAGAGGCATTTTATTTTATAGTGATGTAAATTGAAACTCTGGGAGATTAAGCAGCGTGTCCAAGGCAGCCTGTTTGGGAGATGACAGTCAGGATTCATTCTGTCAAACAATGAAAAAAATAAAAAGGCTGCCAGATTTGTTGTTGTTGTTAAATTCCAAATCTACTAACTTGCCAGAGAAGAGAACATAGGCCAATGAAAAAAAGTTACTGAGCACTTGACTGAAGGAAAAAAGTCAGAGTAATTACTAGAAAAGAGGAGTTCATGGTGTTTATGCTAGTTAAGTATTAAAAATTACTCTGTATAGAATCAAATAAATACATATTATTTGTAAACAGTCTGTTAAAACAAACCCCAATTCCCACAAAGGGCTTGTATTCAGAATTTACATGTTTTTTAAAAAACTCTTAAAATTCAGTAATAAGAGCCCGGTTTTTAGAAATTAGGCAAAAGATTTAAAGCAACATTTTACTAAAGCAAATATACAAATGGAAAATAAACACATGATAATATGCTCAACATCATCGGTCTTCAGAAAAATTCAAATTAAAACCATAATATGATATCACTGCAAATCAATTTGAGTAACTCAAATTCAAAAAACTACAAATACCAAGTGCTGTCAAGGATGCAGAGTAAATAGAACTCTTATACATTGCTGGGGCCAGGAGAGGATACAAAGTGGTACAAATGTTTTGGGAAATCATTTGACAGTTTCTTAAAAAATTAAACATACACCTATCACATGACACAGAAATCTCACATTTCATACAAGAAATAAAAATGTATTTCATACATAAACCAATACATGAATAGTTATGGCAGTTTTATTCATAACCTCCAAAAACAGGAAAGGAAAGGGAAGGGGAATATTTATGGCAGCCTTATTCATAACCTCCAAAAACAGGAAAGGAAGGGGAAAGGGAAAAATATATCCTTCAATAAGTGAATGGGTAATAAAGCGTGTTATGTGAAAGAAGCCAGTTTCAAAGGCTGTAAACAATATGATTTCATATACACAACATCCAAGAAAAAACAAAAATATGGAAACAGAAAAAAGACTAGTGGTCAACAAGGATTAGGGATAAGGACAGTATTTGACTGCAAAAGGTCAGCAAGAAGAAATTTTGGGGAGCAATGGATTTGTTCTGTGTACTGATTATAATGGTAATTACACACATCTATAGAAGAGTTAAAACTCATACACACATATACACAAAGATAAGTTTATGACATGTTAGTATTTTTTTAATAAAATGAAATCTTTAGTCAGTGGGGGAAAAATGTTTCATTGCTCATTTGTCAGGAAAGAGGCTTCATTTAGGCTTACTAGGGTTCTGGCATACTGGAATTACACTAAGTTCATGGACATTTATTAGCTTCGGTTGATTGGCATCAACTGTGATGAAGCCCCACAACATTCAGCTTTTATATCTCCTAGGAAAGGGTAGCTGTGACTTAAAAAAGTTATTTTTCCAGTCCCTCTTCTTGATGTTTCTACACCCTAAGGCAACAAAATGAACACACAAAAGATAAGCAAATCATCAGATTTTAGAGTTGCATCACCATGTTGGTTTTAAGTGTCAGACTCCCAAAATTCCATTGTGTTTATTTAAGTTAACTGGATTTTCTTTTGAGGTAGAATTATCTGACATATGAACCAAAAGGATGATGGAAGCCCAAAGGCACTTAAGGCCCTATTAACAAACAATACACTGGAAAATGGCAACAACTCTAGGTACAACATAACAAATGTTTATAAAGCACCCCTTAGACAGTTGTTTTTTATTTGGACAAGCCCAAAAGTACAATATCCAAAGGGTTGGTTTTCCCTACCTTGGACATCAAATTGATTTGTTCTTGGATTATACATTAGGATACAAATGCAATAGGAGTAACCAGAACACAAATGCTACCTTATTTAGTGAGGAAATATCTAAAGTGATTCTATTATCTAGCACCTTTGTAACAAGCAAGTTGAAGCTTTTATGTTGAGTTTATATAGCACACACAGTCTACAAAGTTTCATTTGCTGTTAGTATCATTGTAAGGATAGTTTCAAATGCAGCACTTAGGAATCTCAAGCCAAAGGGGAAAACTGTGCTCTAAGCAATGGAAACCAGTATCTCCAACCTCTCCAAGGAGACTGTCATGTCAACAGACAGTTAGATGAGAGAAGAATAAATCATCTTGGACACTACTAGTATAGAAATATTAAACCCAAAGTGTCATATAAACCTTTCCCATGTGGTACCCTCCTTACTCTCTCCAAGGCCCACAAAGTGACATGATATTACTGTGGTATAAGTATACTAAGTCACATGCACACAGCCTGGAATTTTGGTAAGTTCTGTCAGTATACTTGAGTATCTTAAGTTACAACAGTAAAGTATAGCTAATCCAAGCAGTGTGAAAAAAATTTTCCTTGATCATTTGTTGAGTGAAAAATGTTGTTATTTACTGTGATATCCCATCAGCAGTATTTTACAACATATGGGTTACAAAAAAGCTATGATCTTTTATATGAGCTATTCATGGCATATTTATAAGGATTAAAGTAACACTTGGAATATATTTTGAAGTTTTTGCCTTATAATTAGTTTTGGTTTTTTACAAAAGCAGTGGCTGCATATCATCAACAAGGAAGGTATAATTTTTACAGAAAGGGTTATAAATCATGAAATAATCACAAACAAAAATTGATTTCCAGGGATGAATTTTATCATAATTGCAGCTGGCAATATTTTTAGCAGAATGCCTTAATAGACAGAAACTTCCTTGGTATTCCAGAAGGATGACAAACTCACGTTAATTAAATTTCCTGATACAACAGTGGCCTTGCTGAATCTAACGAATAGTTGTTTATATAAAGAGATTTTCCTAGAATTAGGATGGGCAGAAAAATATAATACTTAATTCATTATTACAAATAATTAACAAATTAAAATGCAAGCAAGTAGTTCTATTTGTAGAACATTGACCTGAATATCAGGTTATCTGCTTTAGGTTAATCTGAGTAAAGTAGAAATGAATTAAACACTAAGGGAAGAATCTTTGAAACATCTAATACATTCTTTTGGGAGGGTGGGGATAAAACATGAACAAATTTAAAAGATGATAATGATGAAAACTAAAGACTGGCAATCAACAACACTACCTAGTACACAACTCAAAAATTCTGGAACCAAAGCACACTTGGAAAGGACTCAAACATCAGGCTATACCCATGGGATTTCTGAGGGAGAAATTGTCAAGGAAATCAGTGTAGCACAGGCTAACAGAGAATGGGAAGCAAACAAAATGTGCCAAGTCAGGCACAGAACTGATAGAAGCTACTTGGGTGCTGAGTACAGTTGGTCCAGGATGAATCTCAAGACAAAGATCTTTTGCTATCATATCCCTTATATGTAGGCCAATTACTCATCCAAGCTGGAACTCATGAAGAGAAAGAAGGCATTAAAAGTAATTAAAATTACCTGATTTTTTTGAAAGATTATTGATCAACAAATTATTTGCATTATATTGTTAGACTATTTAAATAGTACTATCCAACTACTACTTTTTTAAAAAAATTCTCTAAAAAACTGAAAATAACCATGTTCATGTATACTAAACACAATTTTAAAAACTCATATTAGCAGGGCATGGTGGCACAGGCCTGTGGTCCCAGCTACTTAGGAGGATTGCTTGAGCCCAGGAGTTTAGGCTACATGCAGTGAGCTACGCACTCCAGCCACTACACTCCAGCCTGGGCAACAGAATTAGACCCATCTCTAGAACAAATAAATG
Source organism: Homo sapiens (assembly GCF_000001405.40). Classification (NCBI taxonomy): domain Eukaryota; kingdom Metazoa; phylum Chordata; class Mammalia; order Primates; family Hominidae; genus Homo; species Homo sapiens. The sequence goes on from NC_000002.12 coordinate 195,397,764, forward strand.
ACTAAATAACCATTTTTTAAAACTCATATTAAATATGTGAACACTAACAAATAACAAAAGCAGAAAAATTATCATCATTTTCATCATTTTTAAAATAATATTTTTCCCTAATACTATATCCTGGTGTTTTTCTGAAGACTTCATTTTTCTGTATAATTTTTTTTTTTGTTTCATAAAACTGCCTGCATTTTCTTCAGTATTTTGGAAAATTATTGACATCTGCAATGGATACTTCTCTGTAGACCACAGGTTTTAAATACAGAATTCTCTGGATAGGTGCCAAGATGCTTGATAAACTCAGTGTAATTTCTGCTAAACAGAGAATATTATCAATGATAATTTCTGTACTAGTGATTATTTAAATCCAAACATTTTCACAGGCACTGTCTTTTGCCTCACAAAGTGCTTTTCAAAGGCCTTTTCTTCAACAAATATTTTTACAAGACAAATCTTATCAAATAAGTCATCTCTCTTTATGAATCTTTTTAATGCTTTGCCAAACTTGAATGCTGCAAAATTATAGTCCTTCTCAGTTTCGTTCCATTCTGGCATAAAACATAAATTTATCTAATTAAAAATAGAAGCTCCATCAAAAGATTCTTCTCACAAGTCATGATACTGCAATATGCAGCTATAGAATTTCAAATTTAAATCTTATACTACATTTGAGATCATAAATTAATTTGTTCAGTTGTGTCACTGGAAAAAGTTCAATGTCATAAGGTTTTGCAGTAATTATACTTTGTTACAAGTTTCAAATGCTGAGATTTTGGAAGCTATGTTTATTACTACATTGATTAAATTTTTCAACTTAATTTGATGAAAATGCAATAAAAACTTAGCACTTGTTTAAATTTCTTTACCATTACAGTTAGACTTAAGATGATTTACAAAGAAATTCTTCAGATTTAAACATTCCTAAAATTCATTTGATAATAGACAGTAAGAAATACATGCCATCATGCCACAGTACTTTTTAAAATTAAAACTTAGCTATATCACAAAAAATGTGGTTTCCTAATTATATATTAAAATATTTGTAAATTCTTATAACTACAACTTCTACTTTGAATGGTAGAATTTCAGCTCCTATTGTATAGAATATTGCATCACAACCAATCCCAGAGTACAAGTTTTAATTTAATGAGAACATTGCTTTTACCACAACCCTGTGCTCCACCAAAATATATATGCATATTACCATGAAAAACAAATGATTTTATCAACAGTGTTAACTGTTTTAACTGGATTTTTGATAACATTCATAGTTAATGCCAGTTGCTTCAGCTTTGACAAAATGAACTTCCACGTTTTTCTTTAACTTCTATGAATTGGATGAAAATATCAAACCATTATAGGAATAAACAAACAATTTTCTATTTTAAGTATCTGATGGCAGACTATTTTAAAAATTGTTATCATTTAACTGATTGCAAAGTGCTGCTAATGGAGCTGACACATATACAATCAGTATTGTTTCATAGGTATACTAGAAAACAGAATCAAAAAGGAGCAAAACTAATATAGAAGAGTAGTTATTTGGTATAAATAAAGTGTTGTGCTTTCCACAGTGGTGTACGTAGACACATTCTGCAGACTTACCTATTAAATTGTGGTCTTCAGACATAATCTTCTTAAAATAACGATTCATTTTTGAGGCAGATGCTAATATTGTTTCAGCATGCGCTCCCCCTGCCCACCATTGGGTGGTAAATGTCCACAAATATTTTGTATTAATTATCTGTAAGAGTCAAAAATTGCACTACTTAATCTGACGTCTTAATGCACTTTTGATGTTTTGAGAGTTATTAAAAATTTAAAAGTGTTACCAAATACTAAAAATGTAAAAATAGTTTTAGATTTATAACTTATGATAAGTGACAATACCACTGTAGGGAGAGCAATCAGATCTCTAGATATTCTCTGGTGCAGGGCAGCTCAGCCTCTGTTCTCTGTACAGAGCATCTAAGCTAAAATTCCCATTTCCCTCTGACTCCAGCAATTGGTGATGCCTTCATGAATTTCACAGCATGGGCCATAGCTCAATAGGCTGTTACTTCAAGAGGCCACTTCCGACCATCACCTGAGACCAGAAGGAGTGAGCTGTCCCTAATTTCATATGCTTGTATGATCTGTTTTATCAACAAGGACCCTCCCTACCATTCTTGAATGGAAGGCATCAGATACATTGCCTCCAAAAGGGTCAGGTTATTGCTGCTTTTCAAATTTATTTATCATACACCTTAATGAGAACCCTGGTCACTGCACAAGCATCTGCAAGGGACCATGGCAAAAGCTGAAAGTACAAAACAGGATGTTCAAACCCATTCCTGCTTTCTTTGAGGTAAATATTAATAACATAGTTACTGCCTTTAAAAAACAAAAATCGAGGACAAATGATCAATCAGACAGACATGGGTACTACAGATGTAAACTGGGACTGACACTGATCTTATATGAGCTCTGTCATACATGGTTAGTAGTCTCAAGTGATGGTCCTACCAAAAAAAACACTATTCAACTCATGGAAAAAGTTTCCTCATGCATCCTACAAATGTTGTTAAGTTCCATTGTATGAGAAAAAGCTTTCTTGTTCACAGAGGTAAACATTTTGGCAAGGCCATCCAGTATGACAGTTTAAGGTTTACTGTGCCCTGAAATTTCAAAATGCCCCCAAATTCTGTATTATGAGGTGGAGATAAGTGAAGACAGTAGCAGAAACTCAGGAACTGCTACTTAGGTGTGCTGAATAACTGGTACATCAGATTTTCTTTTCGCAACACCTCTAAGTTTATAACCTAGATTTCCGGAAACATTTTAAATCAACAAGTATACTCTTGCTTAAACAATTACCATCTATCAAATTTCTTTAAGTGTTTATGTTATAAAACAAAAACATTTGTCACAAAACCCCTAATGCTAATATGTAATTTCATAAAATGTTAATTATCATCCATGATAAAACTTTTAACTCCTAACTTGATAAGAGCTTATAATGAATCTTTAACTCACATTACTTACACAGATCAAGATTCCATCGAGGTAACTGACGAATGTGAGTCAATAGTTTTAGACTGAAAAAATAATGTTCCAAAATTCATATGTTTATTCAATAATAAAATGATAAGTTCCCATTATATGCAAGACCTATGCTAAGGGTTTCAGGTATATTCTGATGAATAAGATATGGTTTTATCCATGAGAGGTTTATTATCACCTTAAGAATTTACAGCAGCACTTTAAATCACCCAGGGCCCTGTTCTCACATAAATTTCTTTGATAGGCATCAAAAATAAAGGAGATCTACTAAGCTGTATATATGACCAGTAAATAATCTGAAATTGAAATTAAGAATACCATTCCATTCACAATAGCATACAAAAAGAATAAAACACTTGGGAATATATTTGATGAAAGAAGTATAATACTCATACATGGAAAGTATAACACTTTGCTGAGGAGAAAATAAATATCTAAACAAATGGAGAGACACTTCATGTTTATGGATTGGAAAACTCACTATTGTTAACATTGTAATTTTCCCCCAGATTGATCTATAGATTCAATGCAACCTTATCAAAATTCCAATGGTCATTTTTGTAGCAATTGAAAATCAGATCCTAAAATTTACATGGCAATGCAAAGCTAGAATAGCCAAAATAATTTAGAAAAAGAACAAAGTTGGAGATATTTCACTTTCCAATTTCAAAACTTACTACAAAGTTATAGTCATTAAGACAGTGCGATATTGGCATAAGATAGACATATATAGATAAATGGAGCAAAATTGAGAGTCCAAAAATAAACCTTTATGTATATAGTTGATAGGGTTTTGCTATGTCCCCACCCAAATCTCATATTGAATTGTAGTTCCCATAATTCCCACAGGTTGTGGGAGGGACGAGGTGGGAGGTAATTTAATCATGGGGGCAGTTACCCTCATACTGTTCTTGTGATAGTGAGTGAGTTCTCATGTCTGGTGATTTTATAAGGGGCTTTTCCCCCTTTTGCTCAGCACTTCTTCTCTCCCTTACCACCATGTGAAGAAGGATGTGTTTGCTTCCCCTTCCACAATGATTGTAAGTTTCCTAAGGCCTCCCCAGCTATGCTGAACAGTAAGCCAATTAAACCTCCTTCCTTTATAAATTACCCAGTCTTGCATATGTCCTTATAGCATCGTGAGAACAGACTCATAAAACAGTCAATTTAGTTTTGACAAAGGTGCTATTTCCAGTGTTTTTAAAGTGTTCATAACTTTTCTAGGCTCAGTTTGTGTTACAAATTGAATGCAGAACCTGCCATGCCTCCGTACTTTAAAAATACAGAACCCAAAATATTATGACCCCTTGAAAAGCTAATAGAATATGTTCTACTGATCTCCTACTTAAGAATTATTCAATAAACTCAGAGATTATTTGCACTTAGAAAGTAAATTCACTATATCACATTTTAGTTATAAGTGTGTACGACAGATGATTTCTTGATGCATAGCCACTTAGCCACTCACAAAAAGACCTCCCTAATCCCTTTCTAAAGCACACTGATCTACCCATGGAATGTTGAGTGCTCAAAGTCTGTAAGACTCTCACATAAGCATGTGCATATATGTTCCCATCCATTATATCACATGTTTATCCAAAGCCTGCAGTTTACTTCCATAGCATTATTGCAATTACATTATTTAATTAAATATTATCAGTGAGTCCACTAAATGGTGAATAACTGCCAAAAATTCTTTTTTCCAAAAAAGTAATGAAAATGCTAAAAAAAGATCAGAATCAACTTTTTTATAACTCTGAAAATTAAAGTTTTACAGCAATTCAGGGTGCACTTACTGGGAAAAAAAAATGTTAAATCACAGTAAAAAGAGAGATCTTTGTGACATTTTAATTTGTTCTATTTCCACTTCTTTCTCTTTCACTCTGTAATAGCCTTAAAAACCAACAGCAAACAACCATGGTAAAAACCAATAGCCTGGAAGCCAATGGAAGGGGCAGAACGGGTCACAGCTCTTTCAAAGTTCCATTCTCAGAGAATGGGCATTATTTGACGTATCTAGTGAATCTCTAGAAGATCTCACTCACAAGCTTTATTTGACCTGACCTGACTCAGAGCTCATCTTGTGCAAACAGCCTTTTCCCCAGGAACGTTTGTCAAAAATAAGCACAGACAATTGTTCAACATTGCAGCTGCCTGAGATATTGAATAAGAGTTGGGACTTAATGATGTACTTTAATTCCTGTAAGTTTTCTTTACCCCATTCTTTTTTTCTTTTTGTTCCTCTGACTGGGCAGTTTCAAATGACCTATCTTGTTTGTGTGTTTGTTTGTTTGTTTTGAGACAGGGTCTCACTGGGTCATCCTGGCTAGAGTGCAATGGTGCCATCTCAGCTGACTGTAGCCTCAGCCTCCTGCGTTCAAGTGATCCTCCCACCTCAGCTGGCAGGGTAAGTGGGACCGCAAACACACGCCACCACAGGTACACACCACCATGGCCAGCTAATTTTTTTGTTTGTTTGTTTTTTAGAGAAGGAGTTTCAGCATGTTGCACAAGCTGGTCTTGAACTCCTGGACTCAAGCAATCCACCCACTTCAGCCTCCCAAAGTGCTGGGATTACAGGCATGAGCCACTACACCTGGCCTCAAATGACCTATCTTCAAGTTCACTGATTCTTCTGTTTGACGGAGTTTGCTGTTGAAATTCTCTGTGAAATTTTTCAGTTTAATAACTGTGTTTTTTTTTTTTTTTTTTCTGAGACAGGGTCCAGCTCTGTCACCAGGCTAGAGTGCAGTGGTGCAATCACAGCTCACTGCAGCCTTGATTTCCTGGGCTCAAGCAATCCTCCCACCTCAGCCTCCTGAATAGCTGGAAACACAGGTGTGAGCTACCACGCCTGGCTAATTTTCATTTTAATTTTTTGTGGAGACTTGGTTTCACCACGTTGCCCAGGCTGGTCTCAAACTCCTAGACTCGAGTGATCCAACCACCTCAGCCTCCCAAAGTGCTGGGATTACAGGTGTCAGCCACCATACCTGGCCCAATAGTTGTGTTCTTTAGCTCCAGAACTTATGTTTGGTTCTTTTTATAGTTTATATCTCTTTATTGAAATTCTCATTTGGTTCATGTATTGTTTTCCTGATTTTATGTAGTTGTCTATCTGTATTCCCTTGTAGCACATTGAGCTTTCTAAAGATGATTGTTTTGAATTCTTTGTCAGGAAGTTTACAAATATTCATTTCTTTAAGGTTGGTTATTTTGTTCCTTTGACACCACATTTCTGATCCTTGCAGGCATGCTTTGGTGCTGCCCATTTGAAGAAGTAGGCATTTATTTTAATATTTAAAGACTGGCTTCATCGGGGAAAGTCCTTTCCCAGTCAGTCCATCCAGAAATTCTGGGCTGGCCATCTGGTATGGTCAGTGAACAGGTTTGCTGCTAGATCCTTCAGGCAGGCTTGCCTGGTACTTGGGTCAGCAAGTTGGAAGGCCACATGCCTGGGTCCATGGGGTTAAGCCTGGAGCCTTGGTCTACTGGGGTGGACATGGAGTTTAACACCACAATGAGCTATCACTTCTCGTCTGTTAGAATGGCTATTATCAAAAAATAAAATCAGAAATAACAAGTGGTGGAGAGGATGTAGAGAAAAGGAAACTTTGTACACTGTTGATGGGAATGTAAATTAGTATGTATGCCCATTATGAAAACAGTATAGAGTTTCCTCAAAAAACTAAAAATAGAACTACCCTATGATCCAGCTATCCCATTACTGGGCATATATCCAAAGGAAATAAAAATCAGTATGTCAAAGAGATATCTGCACTCCCATGTTCAATGCAACATTATTCACAACAGCCAATATATCAACCTAAGTATCAATCAACAAATGGATAGATTTTTTAAATGTGTGTATATCCACAGTGAAGGAAGTCCTCTCATTTGTGACAACATGGGTTAACCTGGAGGACATTATGCCAAGGGAAATAAGCCAAGCACAGAAAGACAAATGATCTCACTTCTATATGAAATCTAAAAGTCAAATTTATAGAAGCAGAGATTAGAGTGGTGGTTATTAGGGGCTGCAGGGGGCGACTGAGGATAGAGATTGGGGAGATGTTGGCCAAAGGATTCAGAACTTCAGTTAGGAGGAATTATTTCAAAGAGATCTATTGTACAATACTACAATGACTATAGTTATTAAAAATCTATTGCATACTCGAAAATTGCTGAGAGTAGATTTTAAGTATTCTCACCACACACACACAAAATGTGAGGTAATGCATATGTTCATTATTTTGAATTAGTCATTCCACAATGTATACATATTTCAAGACCCTGTGTTGTATACCGTAAAAATATACAACCTGTATTTGTCTAACTAAAGATTAATTTTATTTAAAAGATTTGAGACAAACAATAGACTAATCAAAAAGCTTACAAGGAAAAGCTGGGAAGGAGATATCCATAGGGGCCTTTGAAAAGACTCCTGGGAACTAGAAGTTCATGTGCCTGTGTAGGTCATCCCAATTGCCTGAACTTCTGCTGTAATTATTGCCAAACCACATCATTTTAAAATTATATGGAAGCACATATGACAATTATGTTAGTTTCATCTCTCCAACATTATATTAACATCTAATTTTTGTGTACCACTGACTATGCTCCAGGAACTGTTGTAAGTGCTTTAGATGTGTTGACTCATTCTCATAGGTTAAACATTATTGTTACTCTCATTTTACATAGGAGAAAACTGAAGCTTAGAGTTTTTAAAATCTCAAGGCCAAAAAGCTATGAAGTTTTGGAACTGGGATTCAAATGCCAGTCTTTCAGCTCAAGAGGCCATTCTTCTGAACACCAAGGTATATCTCCTCTAGCTTGGCCTCTAGCTTATAGAAAGGGCAAAGGCTTTGGAGTCAAAGACTTGTGGATATGCCACTTTCTAACTTGGGGAAATCATTTTATCCCTCTGAGGGGTCAGGCTGATGCTACCACCTATTTCATTAAGATATTACAAAAATTAAATCCGAGTGTGAATAGAAATATACTTTGTGTATTGAAAAGTGCTAATAAAAAAAATTCACTCATTAAATACCTGGATCATGGGGAAGGTAAGAAAAACTGTATGGTAGAGCAGAGTTAGTAAGACCTGAGTTTGATTCTGACTTGAACAGTTGCTATTTCTGAGACCTTGGGCAAATCATTTCATCTGTATGGGTCTTAGTTTTGGCATATATAAACAAATGCACCTCTGAGTTCTGAGGGTTAACAAGAAAAAATAAACAAAACACCTGACAAATACAGCAAACTCAATAAATACCATGTCCCTTCCTACTCTCTTTCAATGTCACAGAGCAATGCCCTATTTCCACTCACTTAGCTTTTCTACCTAAACTTGTCAGCTTCTGACATATTACTTACTGATTTGTTTCTCTATTTTGTTTATTTTCTGTCACAGGTAAACCCCTTGAGAGCCAGAGCTTGTGTTTTTCTTTACTGCTGTATTCCTAACACCTAGAACACTATCTAGAAAATAATAAGTGTTCAGTAAATATTTATTGAAGGACCCATTATTATTATTTATTATTATCATTATTATGATCAGTGTCATGGGCTATATAACTGCAATAACAGCACAATATGAGGCAAATATTAATTAAGTAGCATTAAAGTGTATAATATGCTCTCAATCCAGTTTTCTTGAAAATTAATTTTCAGAGTACCTGAATCAGACTCATTTTTGGTACTCATTACATCAGAATTGCCAAATCAAAAGAGAGTTATTCCAAGAATTTAACCTTTAAATATATTTCACCTTTTCTTCCTTCTGTTTTCATATAATCCAGAGTCTTGTTTACCAACCATTTGAACATTCTACTACTTAAAGTAGTATAAAGTTTTGTTATAATTTGGATGAGGCGAAGATAAGGCTAAGGAGAAGATAAATTTTAAATTCAAAGGTTGGCTCTGAAATTAATTTTATTTTCTTAACTATGTGTACATGGATTAAAGCCAGAAAAAAAATTTATAACCCAGTTGCCATATATCTGAAGTCCAAATATTTTCTCTGGCCCAGAACATTTGTCATAATTTTTATGAAATGATTTTTCTAATTTTTTTCTCACTTCACTGTTTTTAAGACAACTTTGGATAACATGAATTCATTAGAGTTTAACATTTGTGGTCAGCTAACAGGCTATCATTCAAAAGATATCTAGGAAACCACCTATATGTTACAAAGAAAGATATACTTTCAGGCCACGCACGATGACTCATCCCTGTAATCCTAGCACTTTGGGAGGCCGAGGTGGGCGAATCTCTCGAGCCCAGGAGTTCGAGACCAGCCTGGGCAACAGGGTGAAACCCTGTCTTTACAAAAAACACAAAAATTAGCTGGGTGTAGTGGCATACACCTGTAGTCCCAGCTATTTGGAAGGCTGAGGTGGGAGGATCGCTTGAGCCCAGGAGACATTGCAGTGAGCAGAGATCTCACTACACTCCAGCCTGGGCGAGAGAGTAAGACTCTTTCTCAAACAAAAGAAAGATAAACTTTCACAATCAGAAAATAGAAAATACGGCATTCAAGCAACTGCCTCATTCTCATCCTAAACGATTTCACTGCACTGTGGACCTACACTAGGTTAAATACGGTTACAATTTCAAAACTGCAGCAGCAGTCAAGGCCACCCAGCTACTCCAGAGTTCAGCCTCAGCAGGAAGGGTATTCAAACCCACTCGCACACTAGGTCTTTAGCTCTAAGTACAGTGTCAGTTTAAACTCCAGTTCTTATATGTTCTGGAGGTCAGAATTTGGAAATGCTTATCTTTACGTAGATTATATAATTTACTCAACTAAATCTTAAGCACAAATAGTTTTATACTGTGATCTACCTCTTGTCTACCTGCTCTTAAAGCTGGGCAGAGGGATGAGTGAAGAGATCATGGGAACAAGTAGCCCCAAATATTAATAACACCTGGAAAAGGATCCACAATAAGTGGAGTAGAGGGTGGTCAAGGGAAGCCCCTGCCTGACTGCTTAGCCAATGTTTCTTTCCTTTCGCTCACTGACCATAATCTTGAGGCAGCACAGAAGTGAAAATCTGCAAACGATGCTGTTATATTGGAAGTGATTTCTCTAGCATCAATACTTCAGGTATATCAAAAGGAATCAGCAAATGCCTTTCACAAATGGTAAAGAGAGGAGGCATCCAGAGCCAGGTGATGAAATAGATGCTTAGTCATGCCTATGAGACAGCTGGGTGAAACATGAAGACATCACTACTAGACGATAAATTTTTTTTTAGGAACATATATTAGAAGCCAGAATCTCTTCAAGAAAATGGGATATAGGACAATCAATATTCTACTCTGAAAAAGAAAAAAAAACTCTTTATTCCTATGAAAGAATCATTAACTGTAACAGAACAACAACTCTGTGATAAACATCAAGATTTCATATCCACAGTAATGCACACACTTTCATGGTGTTCTCTGCAGCCTAAATTGTCTTTGTTCCAGTTGCTATTACTTAAATAAAGCGGTCATGGTCTCCCTGTCTCAAAAGACACTTAGAAGCCTGCAACACCACTGTCTTCAGCAGCCTGCCTCACCACTCCCAGAGGCAGCAGATGCCTAAACTAGAAGGATTATAGCGGCCTTTAATTTCTCTAATGACAGCACTTAGACCCTAATTGTCCAGGCAAATAATGCATGCTACAACCGTGGGAGCAAAGGCTCCTTTTGGTCTCTTTCCTCCCAGTGTTTTCCTGAAACCAAACTGAAAGAGGAGAGCATAGCAGTTATGCAAGGTGGACTTGCCCTGAAACAGAATAATGCCTTTCTGGGGTCATGACTGCCTTAAGGATACTTGATCACAGAATGGGAACAATTTTCTAAGTCCTGCAATTTAATTAAGCCTCATTAACCACTATATAACAGTCACCTGGCCACTGGTAACTACGACTCTTAAAATCTAGTCTTTTAAAAATGCAGAACATTTCTATCTAAATATGTTCTTTAAAAATATAGAGCCAAAGTTTTCATAAGAGACAGGACCAGCATAAAGACAAGAAAAGAAGAACATAAAGTACCATGTTTTTCAAGAAAAAGAAAATAAGGTCTGTTCCATTACATGTACAGACAAAGTGAAATTAATCAGAAAGAGAAATATCCCTGTGGACAAGGGTGCTTGTAAGAGATTCTATAGTAACAAATTTCTTATCCCCATTTCACAGATGTGTAAAATGAGATTACACAACTTGTTCAAGGTCACATAGCCTGTAAGTAAGGATTCAAATCCAAGGACTTGATTTCAAATTTCAGGACTATCTCTCCTGAAAATGGTAGGATTTGAACTAACTTTTGAACAAGTAAAGAATTTATAAAAGTTAAGAAATTAGCGGGGAAAAGAAAATAAACAGCAAAGCCACAGAAGTAGACTGGAATGTCTTGGAAGGATAAAATAAGGGGGATGGAACAACTTAAATGGAGGATTTAGCAAGAAATCAATTAGAAAACATGAGAACCAGAAGAGGACCTCGAGAGAGAAAAACGAAGAAAGCAGTAGTTTAGGGAAACTGATCTGATAGCTATGTGTTTGAAAATAATGCCCTTTGTTGAATACCTCCTATGTTTCAGACAAATATTATTTTACCCAACCTTCACAACTGATTTGGAAATACAAGTACTCTTATTATTATATTATATTATATCATATTATTATTATTACTTTTCTTTTCCTGACAGCAAAGCTTCTCTGGGTGTGGAAATCCCATAATATTTCTCTAAATCTAAGCACAAAAGTATAATATAACCAACACTCAGATAACAGGAAGCAGTAAAAGACCTTTTGTGTTCATATTTTTCAACCCAACAATGATCTTCAGAAGAAAATTCTAGACAAAAATTGCATTTTTAAAATATAGAGCTTAAAACATCAAATTATGTGCCATTTTAAAGAACTGTTGTTCACAAATCTACATGTATTTAGTATGCAATCACAAAACTGTGTGAACAAATTGATTTTATAAATAGAAGCTGATTAAATAGTGTAATTAGCTTGGAGTGGATAAGTACTTAATGAAGGATCTTATTCTAAGCATACTCTTTGAGGAGAAAAAACTAATTGTCGTAAGAATTGAACCAAATCTTGTTCATATTAGCGTTTTAGATCAATTCAATTCAATAAATATTTACAGAAGACCTACTATGCTAAGTATTTTTTAGTCTTCGGAACCGTCAGTCCCTCCAACAGTCCCTCCAACACTAATGTTTATGTTTTGTACCTTATCGGCTGCCACCCCCTTCCTGTCTTTGCAAAGTGTTTAGACTAGGGTATACCTGGCTTAAGCCGATCCTTAGCTTGCCCTGTAACCTATAACAAATTATGGCCTGGCTCAAAAATGGAAGCTTTATGAATCCCCTGCTGGCCTATTTGAACTAAGAGACTACAGAAAGTTGCTCAATAGTGATGAAAGCTGAAAGACCTAGATCATGTACAGTCCATCCTAGAACAGTGTGGGCATTTGTGTCACCAGATTTAGAGGAACTGCTCTGACAGAGAGAATATGAGATAGAAATGGGATAGGCCATGCATCCCCTGAGGGAGAAGCAGATGAAAACGCTGTGTTTCTAATGTCTTCTCAGTTCTAGTTCCCAGGAGTCTTATACATACTCTATGCCTGTATTTAGATATCACTGGTTGTCTTCACCATAACCTCTGTTGGGTGCTTTTCAGTGTTTCTCTGTTCCCTTTCTTAGGCAAAATATCCTTGATACCTGCTGTGATTCAGCCTCTGAACTGTCATTCCAAGAGTTCAAAGATGACTTGGAAAGTCCCTTTTTTTAAAAATCTTGCAACCAGTTGGATAATAAATACAGGTATATTTCAAATATAACACAAAACAGACCATATATAAGAGTACAAATACAATAAAAGAACAAACGAAAGAATGTCTGGTTCAAATTAGTTGTATTGAGAAGGCTTCTTGAAGAAGGTTAAATTTTCAATGGCTCTTAAATAATGTTAGAGTTTCCAAATTAAGGAAAGTGGAGAATTATATTCTAATGCAAGGAAACAGTGTTAGCAAACATGATCTGAAATGACTTTACTAGGCAATGCATGTAGAATGAGAGAATTTAAGAGGAGATAAACATGGCACATCCCATAGAATTTGGAAATTATTGTGTAGCCCATGGAGACTTTTATTTAGCGAAATTATGTTATTAACATAAGGCTGTAAAAAGCTTAAAATTTAGTATTTAGTATTCACTAGGAGTGGAGGAAGTCAAGACACCAGTTATTAGGCTAACTGATTATAGTAGGCCTGATTCTAGAAGTATTTAGAAGACCTAAAAGTTATTTTCTGGATTATATGTATAAGCAAAATTCAAGGAAATCTGTTTACTAGGACAAGGTTCCACAAGTCTCAGGAGAAAAGGTTGGAAAAGGAAGAGGATGTGCCAGGAGGAGAGGAAGGGCAAGGCAGTGCAATATTTAAAGTCTGTGAGAAAATAGAAACTGAGAATGGCAGCCAAGGACAACAGAGTTGAGAAGCAGAGTGAAATTAATTAGCCTTAAGGGTCCAAAGGAATTCAGTTGTAAAGTAATTGCAGTGGTTTACGTTTATAGCAGAGGAACAATTTTGGAACCCACAAAAATTATCAGTGTATCAGGGTGACTCAGTTTGGTCAGTGAGTAATCAGACCCATGAAAAGCAAATGACTGCATTGGCTATTTAGAACTCACCGGCCGGGTGCGGTGGCTCACGCCTGCAATCCCAGCACTTTGGGAGGCCGAGGCAGGCAGATCACGAGGTCTGCAGATCGAGACCATTCTAGCTAACACAGTGAAACCCGGTCTCTAGTAAAAATACAAAAAATTAGCCAAACGTGGTGGCAGGCGCCTGTAGTCCCAGCTACTCGGGAGACTGAGGCAGAAGAATGTCGTGAACCCAGGAGGCGGAGCATGCAGTGAGCCAAATCGCACCACTGCACTCCAGCCTAGCAACAGGCTGAGACTCTGTCCCAAAAATAAATAAATAAATAAATAAATAAAAACATAGAACTCACTTTAGCTATATTTCTTGATCCTGGGAAAATCCCTGCACAACCTAACTCCTTTGAAGGATATCAAAACCATACTATAATAAATATGAGACATTTATATTTCTGAAAAGGCACTAATGCCTTTAAAGTGAAAAGTGTTATTCTTTTTCCCCTTAGTAGACCATGATAAATTGTATTAAAAATTGCAAATACTCTAGCAATCTAAAATTTAAAATATCAATCTAGATATCATATTATTTATGAAGCAATCACTAGAAATCACTTGACCTCTTTCTGCCTTTTCCAAGTGGCTTGAACAATCACTTGGTACATGGTAGTGCTTAACTTACTTAGAAATTATTCAACTAAGTATATTTATATGCTCTAGGCTATGAGGAGTCGGGCATTGATAAGGGAGTTAGCCATTAAAAGATACATTCCTTTATTGTCTCCTCATTCATTATTTTGTTCTCAGATAAAACAGTAATCTCCTACAAAACAATCCTATGTATGAACTGAAGCATTGTTTTCTTTCAGGGGTGGAGGATGAGAGGAAGACTGTCAGCATGTTGTTCTTGATATTTTACATTATTTGGAAAACTATGTTCACTCATTGAAAAACATTTGAACTAACATATAATGTAGATTATTAAGAATTTGATGAACCAAGAGTATTGAATAGCCTGGGTATTTAAAATAAAAATAATGAATCAAAATAGGGAAAGAAACCCCAATCATAACAAAATAAAGGAATGGTAAAAGTCCCATACTATGAAAAATACCTGCCTACTAAATCAAATATCTTTAGCTGACTACAAATATCACAAAGTACCATATATCTTATATGAGAGTTATATGAACATTCTGCCTAACAGTATTACATTTAGAAAACTGGGATGAGAAAAAGAGACTGTGAGTATTGACCATGGGCAAAGTAGAAAGCACAGTGTCAATGGGCATGCAAGTAACTTGATACAGTTGAGGAGATACCAGTTTTCAAATCAGAGTTAAGCTATAAACTCCCCTTCTTGTTAGCTGCATAAAATTCAAGAAAGTACTTAATCTCTCAAGTTTCCATTTCTACTTATGTAAAGTCAAAACTAGGAGTACTAATATCTATCTCACAGTGTTATTTTAAAGATCATATGAAATAGATACTGCTGGAAATTCCTTGTATAGAGTGAGTACTCAAACATACTGGTTCCCAATTTCTTACATCTACAGCATCATCACTTGGCCTTCTAGGGTCAGGCCTACAATAATCACCCTATAGAGCTGGGTAATTTTAACTACGGAGAATCAACTCAAAACTTGTATATTTTCCACAAGCCCTCCTTAAAATCTATGATATGAAGTGGGCAGAGCAAGATCTATTCGGCATTGGTGGATGCTGAATGGAAGCATCCACCAACCATCCTCCCCACACAAACACCAAATTTAACAACTATCTACACCAAAAAAGCACCTTCATGAGAACCAAAAATCAGGTGAGCAATCATAGTACCTGGTTTTAACTTTATATCGCTGTAAGAGGCACTTTAAGAGCGTAAGAAAGACAGTCTTGAATTGCCAGTCTGCCAGCAGCAGTCATGTGGTGCAGAGAGAGAATCTGCATTTGGGGGAGGAAGAGCACAGCAATCGTGGGACTGCATTGGAAGGCAGTGCTGCCAACACTGGACAGAACTCAGCTGGTGTCCATGGAGCAAGCATTGAGACCGACCCAAGCCAGACGGAAATCACCCAGCCCAGCAGTTGGAACTTGAGTTTTAGCAAGCCTCACCACCATGGGCTAAAGGGCTCTGGAGATCTAAATAAACTTCAAAGGCTGTCTAGACCACAAGGACTACAACTCCTATGCAATTCATAGTGCTGTACTGGGTTTGGAGCCGATGGACTTGCGGGGGCAGATGACCTAGTGAGACATCAGCCAGGGAGGCTAAGGGAGTGCATATGCCACCCCTCCCCCAACTCCACGCAGTGCAGCTCACAGCTTCAAAAGAAGCTTCCTTCCACGCGAGGAGAGAAGAGGAAAAAGGAAAAAGGACTTTGTCTTGCAACTTGGATGCCAGCTCAGCCATGGTAAGATAGGGCACTGGGCAGAGTCCTGAGGACCCCATTTCAGGTCCTGCTCCCAGGGAACATTTCTAGACCCACCCTGGGCCAGAAGGGAACCTGCTGCATTGAAGGGAAGGACCCAGGCCTGGCAGGATTCATCACCTGCTAACTAAAGAGTTATTAGCCCTAAATAATCAGCAGCAGTAACCAGGTAGTATTACCAGGTATTAACACATGCAACGGGCCTTTAATGAGACTCTGAGATGTACTGGCTTCAGGTGTGACTCAGCACATTTACTGTTGTGATGCCTACAAGGAGAGACCCCTTGTGCCCAAGAAAAGCAGAGAGAAGAGTAAAGGGGACTTTGTCTTGAGCTTACATACCAGCTTAGCCACCGTGGAAAAGAGCACCAAGTGGGTTCTTGGGGTCCCCAACTCCAGGTCTTGACTCTTGGATGGCATCTCAGGACCTACCCTGGGCCAGAAGGGAGCCCACTGCCCTAAAGAGTGAATCCCAGGTTTGGCAGCACTCACCGCAAGCTGCTGAAAGAGCCTTTGGGCCTTAAGTGAAAACTGGTGGTACCCTGGCAGTACTCCCCATGGGCCTGCAGTGGTGGTGGACACAGGGAGAGACTCCTCTGCCTGGGGAAAGGGGAGGAAAGAGTAGGAAGGACTTTGTCTTCTGGTTTTGGCACCAGCTCAGCTGCAGTAGAATAGATCACAATATATGTTTCTAAGGTTTCCGACTCCAGACCTGGCTACCAGACAGCATCTCTGAACCCACCTAGGGCCCAGGGGAACATGCCACCCTTAACAGAAGGATACAAGCCTGGCTGGCCTCACCACCTGCTGATTGTAGAGCCCTAGAGCCTCGAGCTAAACTAAAAATAGAGCTACCATATGATCCAGCAATCTCACTGCTAGAAATGTACCCATATGAAAGGAAATCAGTATACTGAAGAGATATCTGCATTCGCATGTTTATTGCAGCACTATTCACAATAGCCAAAATTTGGAAGCAACCCAAGTGTCCATCAGCAGACAAATGGATAAAGAAAATGTGGTACATATACACATTTTTATGGTTATTTCAGCCATAAAAATTAATGAGATCCTGTCATTTGCAACAACATGAATGGAACTGAGGGGTATTATGCTGAATGAAGTAAGCCAGGCACAGAAAGACAAGCTTCACATGGTCTCACTTATTTGTGGAAGTTAAAAATTAAAACAATTGAACTCACGGAGATAGAAAGTAGAATGATGGTTACCACAGACTGGGAATGGTAACCATCATGGGGGGCAGTGGGGGGACAGCTAATGGGTATAAAAAAATTGAATGAATAAGATCTAGTATTTGATAGCACAACAAGGTGACTATAGTCAATAATAATTAAATTGTACATTTTTAAATAGCTAAAAGAGTATAATTATATTGTTTGTAACACAAAGTATAAATGCTTAAGGCAATGGTTACCTCATTTATCCTGAAGTGATTATTACAAATCCTATGCCTGTATCAAAATATCCCACATGCACTATAAATATATACATCTGCTATATACACACAAAAATTAAAGATAAATTTTTTAAATGATCTGTGATATGTAGATACTTTGGGGCTACTTTAGATAATCAATAATGAGTTGACATTTGCAGTAGTTCAAAAGTAAGGGAAAATTAGATAAGGAATTGTTTTTCATTGTTTCTAATTATTTAAAATCCAAGAGGTATGGGGGGAGGGGGGAGGGATAGCATTAGGAGATATACCTAATGTAAGTGACAAGTTAATGGGTGCAGCACACCAACATGGCACACGTATACATATGTAACAAACCTGCACGTTGTGCACACGTACCCTAGAACTTTAAGTATAATTTTAAAAAAATTCAAGAGGTAGCTATATTTTAGAGATGACTAAAATTAAATTGCTTTACAATATTCTTTTTTTGGTGGGGGGCGGATAGAGTCTCTCTCTGTCACCCAGGCTGGAGTACAGTGGTGCGATCTCATCTCACTGCAACCTCCGCCTCCCGGGTTCAAGTGATTCTCCTGCCTTAGCCTCCCAAGTAGCTGAGATTACAGGCATGTACCAGCACGCCCAGCTAATTTTTGTGTTTTTAATAGAAACAGGGTTTCACCATGTTGGCCAGGCTGGTCTCAAACTCTTCAGCTCAAGTGATCCACCCGCTTTGGCCTCCCAAAGTGCTAGGATTGCAGGCATGAGCCACCATGCCCTGCCTGCTTTACTATATTCTATAGAAGATAAAAATGTGTAGATTAAACTCCAACTACTTGGAGAAATCCCACTTATATTTGTCCAAAATAAGAGAAATGGGCCAGCCGCGGTGGCTCACACCTGTAATCCCAGCACTCTGGGAGGCCGAGGTGGGTGGATTACCCGAGGTCAGGAGTTCCAGACCAGCCTGGCCAGCATGGTGAAACCCCGTCTCTACTAAAAATACAAAAATTAGCCAGGCATGGTGGCGTGTGCCTGTAATCCCAGCTGCTCGGGAGGCTGAGGTAGGAGAATCACTTGACCCCAGGAGGCGGAGGTTGCAGTGAGCCAAGATCACACCAGTGCACTCCAGCCTGGGCAACAGAGGGAGACTCTGTCTCAAAAAAAAAAAAAAAAGAAAAAGAAAAATGGTCAGAAAGTTCTGTATATGCCTTTTTATACCTTACACTGAAAATAAACATTATTTAAAAGTGAGATACCACAATCTAACAGTTAGGCTATGAGAAGGGCACTTACCTATAAACTCCTCCAGGTCACCCTTAATATTTTTTTTTGATGTGGTTAATTTCAAATATATATCATTTTTTTACTATACTCTCAAAAACTGAAAGTAATTGAAAGGATGTTTTAACTATGAAACACCCTGGAGACACCTATCGGCTATGTAATTGGTCATCACATTTTGTTAACTATCACAAACATTCTTAGTTGCAACCCAACCAGGTGTTTGCAAAGCACATTTGTGATATTCACAATTAGAAATAAAATTGTCGTGCTTCAAATTCTTATTAATGTATTATCAAGCTTTATTCTGCAAAATTGTTACATTTTATGTCAACCAAACTGATAATATTTTTTAATAAGTTGGAGACACCATCCTCCCCCAGAACCTGGAAGTTGTTTCTTAAAACTTAATGATTTTGGAAGACTTGTAAAGTCTTACAACAAAATTGTCCCTTCCTCAATATAATATCTAATGGTTTTTAAATGTTTTCATTCATCCTTTGAGAATTCTTCAAGCTCTATAATTGGGTAATGGGAAAATTATATAATTTGGGGATTTCAAGTACATATGGACATTTGGCTTAGATTTGAGTAAGGATCAACCATAGTAAATCCAAAATGGCCTCTTTGAGTCCTATTATTTCCAATTAGTTTCATTCTTCCAGGGCAACAAGCTGTATGCATGGACATCAGCAGCAGTTTACATATGCAAAAGAGACAAGAATGGGATAATGGAGCACTTCAAATTACTACCAGAAAAAAATATTTCTCAAGTGTGTCCTGGCTAATAGAGAAATAATTTGCCCAAAATTATAAACAAGACATTGTTTATAATGATGGTGCCACTGCACTCTAGCCTGGGCGACAGAGAGACCTCATCTCAAAAAAGTAACTAAACAATTTTTTTAAATACTCAATTCATTTCCTTTTCTCATAGTTAATAAAATAATTGTGTAATAATAATTCCTCAATTGAAATATTTTAGTTTTTCAATTAAAAAAAGTTTTTGCTATGACATTAGGGTCAAAATAGACAATAGAAGATATTATATTGCTAAATGGCCTATTCCTTTTGGTCTAAAACAGATTTCTGATCTTTTTATACAGTATGCACATTGATAATGCTGAGTGTTACGTATCTTAACTTTTCATTATGGAAAATTTCAAACATTAAAAAAAGTAGGGAAATTGTCTTATTAACTCATGTATATATCAGCCAACCATTTCCAACAATTATTAACATTCTACTGTTCTAATTTATTCCTTTGCCTTTTATTGCTAAGATATTTTAAAGCAAATTCAAGAAAGCATATCATTTTACACATGAATACCTCAGTAGGTATCTCTATCTAAAAAGAATTTTCAGGGAGGGGCGTGGTGGCTCATACCTGTAATTTCACTTTGGGAGGCCAAAGCAGGAGGATCACTTGAGCCCAGGAGTTTGAGACCAGCTTGGGCAACATAGGGAGACCCTGTCTCTACAAAAACTTTAAAAATTAGTCAGACATGGTGACATATGCCTGTAGTCCCAACTCCTCAGGGGGTTGAGGTGGGAGGATCGCTTAAGCCTGGGTGGTCGAGGCTACAGTGAGCCGTGATGGCGCCCTGCACTCCAGCCTGGTCACACACACACACACACACACACACACACACACACACACACACACAATTTAAAATGTATCACAAGATCATTACCACATACATCAAAATTTATAATAATTTCTTATTATCAACAAATAACCAGCCCATGTTCAGTTACCAGAAAAATGCCTTTTTGAATTTTTTGGTACAAATCAGGAATCAGGATCCAATTGGTTGACGAATCTCTTAAGGTATTTTTTTAATCTATAAAATTCCTTCCTCCCTTTATTTTTTTAAAGCTCTTTGTTGAAGAAACTGGGTCATTCATCTATAGATGTTTTTCTATTCTGTATATAGCTAATTGAATCCTAATAATGGTGTTTAATATGTTCCTCTTTCTTCTCTATTTCCTACAAGTTGGAGTTAGAAATAAAAGCCATATTGATTGAGGTTTATTACACTAATTAATTTTTCTCTTTTGGCAAGAATACTTCATGGATGAAAGTGCTCATTTTTTTTTACTTCAGGAAGTCACATGCCTCAATTTCCACACTTATGATGAGATTAAGGGTGACCCATTATCAATTTCCCCATCACCCTTTTATGTAATGATTCTAGCAGCCATTTGTGATTGTTGCCTCAATTCATTATTTTATTAGCACTTGCAAAATGGTAATATTTAGCATTCTCTCTGCATTTGATAGCAATTTTTCTATAAACAAAAAATTATCTCACAAATTATTAGGTACCTTGAAATTCTATCCATACAGAAAAGACAGAATAAATGTCTGAATCTTTTCTTTTATGAGCTTTCAAATAAATGAGTTGATGTCCTAGCTACCTCCAAAGGTGTTCAATAGGTTTTGTGTTTTAACTTTTATATTTATTTGCTTTTGTTTTGGATGTCATGAAGTGTTTCACTGCATTCACTGCAGTCATTATTCTCTTGCCCTCCCTTCGGCCAGTGTGAGCCCTTCAGGCTGGCTCTTGTGTAAGTTTAAAATGATAGTCATATGCTTGGATAGCTTTCTCTTTATCTGTTCTGTCAAGATGTCCCAGGCTCATCTTGTCCAATCCCTGCCCCAACCTGCAATCAGCCATTTCTCTAAAGAGGCTTGTTCCTTTTGGTAGGAAATGGCATTTAAAAGCCTTTACGTGAGTTCTAGAGTAGCCATTTTGAGTGTGTGGTCATTGCTTCTAGCACTTTTCAGTAGACAAATCTAGAAAACATATTTTCAGATAGAGAAAAATATGTAAATTTATGCATCTCTAATTTGAATTAATAATTACAGGATTTTTTCTTAACTTCCTTGATTTTATATTTTTTCTTTTCTCTGAATATTACGGCTCCTGACATTTGCTTGTTCCCACTTATTTGTCTTATCTTTATCTAAAAAGTGTTACAATCAAAGGTGTTTTATCTTTATCACCTACTTATTTATGTATCTACTAATAATAGTTTTTATAAAGCAATGTCATCATTACTAACCTCAATATCATTGAATACCATTCAATATTTCTCTGTGCTTCCCTTTGTCTTGACAATAGATCTCACTAGTGATGTAAAGTCAAAATACTTCATTTTAAAAATCACTTGAAATTATTCTTCTTTGTATAGTTCTCTGTGATCTAGACTTAGGTTCATTAGTTTGTTTTGTATTTTACAGATTGCTTTGTTGTTTTTCTAATTAACATTATTTTTTAATTACTTAATATATAGTTCCTAAACCCAAACCATAAAACAAAGCACTTTAATAAAGGTCTAACCTCCATCATTATCCTGTCTCCTCTGTTCTCTCCCTATCCCTAAAGATCAACATTTTTATTACTTTTTGGCTTATCCTTGCCTTATTTCTTTTTGAACCTATTAGCAGCCAGGCACAGTGGCTCACGCCTGCTAATCCTAGTACTTTCGGAGTCTGAGATGGGCAGATCACCTGAGGTCAGGAGTTGGAGACCAGCCTGGCCAACATGGCGAAACCCAGTCTCTACTAAAAATACAAAAATTAGCCAGGCGTAGTGTCAGCCACCTGTAATCCCAGCTACTCGGGAGGCTGAGGCAGGAGAATCGCTTGAATCCAGGAGGCAGAGGTTGCAGTGAGCCGAGATGGTGCCATTGCACTCCAGCCTGGGTGACAAGAGCGAAACTGCATCTCAAAAAAAAGAAAAAAGAAAATATTAGCAATATACACACACACACATTGTTAACACACACATGCTAACACTTCTTGCATAAGAATAAACCTACAATACACATTTTCTGCATCTTGTATCTTGGAGATTACTCCAAAGGTTTTTAGAAACCTACCCTATTTTATGGATGTGCCTTTCTCCTATTCCAGGAAGCTATTTTTTAAAAATAAATTTAAAAATAATTTTCTAATCATTTCACAAATAGCTTATTTTTTTTTCTTTTGCTTTTCTTTTCTTTTTTTTTTTTTTTTTTTTGAGACTGTCTCGCTCTGTCACCCAGGCTGGAGTGGAGTGCAATGGCAGCTGATCTGGGCTCACTGCAACCTCTGCCTCCCCGGTTCAAGTGATTCACTTGCCTTAGCCTCCCGAGCAGCTAGCTGGGACTACAGGTACACACCACCACACCCAGCTAATTTTTGTTTTTTTAGTAGAGACAGGGTTTCACCATGCTGGCCAGGATGGTCTCCATCTCTTGACCTCGTGATCCACCTGCCTCGGCCTCCCAAAGTGCTGGGATTACAGGCATGAGCCACCAAGCCTGGCCAGTAGTTTATTATTTCTGAAGGGTTCTTTCATTTGTTTGTTTGTTGTTTTAGCTTATGATTCCAATTTCCCTTGAAGGTTTTAAAGTTAACTCTGTACTTTTCTGGAAACACACATCTCTCAAGCACAAAAATGGCTGACTCTCACATGAAAATGTATACGTCCACAGTGGAAAAAATGAAGTACTTTTTTTAAAATGAAGCAGAAATCTGTAGTTAATATTTCTCCTTTGATATTAAATTATTGGCAGTAAATTATTGGTTTAAGGTAGCACTAAACCTTCCTTATAAGCTTTGATGATGCTAAGAACTATATAACACAAATTTGAAAAATAAAACATTTTGAGTCAAACAATTTACTTCTTTCAATGCACATCTCCATTACCTCTGCCAATACAGAAACGGCATAAGTTTAAATTCACGTGTGCAAATTCCATGAAAATGTGTGTGTGTGCATTATATACCTACATACACACACAAATATATATACACATCACAAGAATATATCAAATAAACTTGTCACTGAGGTAGAATACATCAAGGATGTGCAATCAAACAATTCAACAAACGTATATTGGATACATTGGGCACCTCTTGTGGGTCAAGTACTCTGCTAGCCATTGGGAATACAAAGCTGAATTTGCTGCCCTGAATTTAACTTTTCTAAATTTATTTATTTAGTTTTAAAGAGTTGAAAAGAGACATAATTGGAAAATTCTGAAAGAGTGTGCTAAGGACAACAATAAATGTTTTCAAACTACAGTAGAGTCAACACACAGAAGTTCAAGTGATTAATTATTGAGAAAGCTTCCCAACTAAGTGGCAGCTGGGTTAGTCTGTGAAGGATAAATAACTCTGAGGGGGAAGGTGGGCAAAGGATTACCTAGCAAAGAGAAAGGCAAACAGTATTATATTATGCATTAGAAAACTCTACATATGGCCTTTCCAAGACTCAGTACCTCTTGGGGCTTTGAAAAATTACTCAAGCCTGGGTGCCAACCCATTCCTACAAATGCACAGTTGGATTAATTTGTCTGGGATGGAGTCTGAGCATGGAAACTTTTTAAACTCTCCAGGAATTCAATATGAAATTAAAGTTAAGAATCACTGTGAGGATTGATGTCTGAACTACCCAAAAAGATTTGAACCCATAAGAATAGGATTTTATTGCTCTAGGATGAAGAGATGTCCTCTTTGCTTATAAGAATCCTGTAAGTGGGGTCCAACACTATATCCTGGGTTTAATGTTCTCATTATTTCCCTCTACTACTGTCAAATCAGGAAATCATTGCCTTTTTCAAGGCATATCAAAATCCACATCATAAAATTATGTCAGTTGTTTTGCTTGCTTTTGTAAACATATAGAAGCAGAAACACTTTTAGCATTAATAACAAATTAGGCTTCACCTTAAACCAAAATCTAACCCAAGTGAAAGAAGATTTCCGTCTTTTGGCCATTAATGCTTAATTATGCATTTCATTAAGTAAAGTTTTTACTTTAAAAACTTCATTAGTAACAATTAGTCTTCTCTCCTTTCTAATTTATATGCACCTGTTTCTAATTACAGTGGCACTATGTCAGCCTTAGAAAATGCATTTTGAAAACTCTTTAAAATAACTTGGATATTTCTGCTTACCCAATGATATTTGTCTTCCTATTTAAGAGACAATTTCACTTTATTTTATTTCAGATGCATTACCTGTACTTTTCTGGTATACTAATTTTTGTACTCTTCTAATATTGAAAAGTTAAATATGAGCACTTCTATTTTCTTCTTGTTTTGATGAAGTCACATTTCTCACTGAAAGGGGTGATCATGTCTCCAAAAAGGAAACAAGAAACCGTGGAAACTGATTTATAATTATTAGATTTTTTTCTAATTCCCTGACCCTTAGAACTTAAACTAAAGTCACATTAACTGGTATTGGAAAGTCTTTTTAGAAATCGTGACTATGCCCTCAGCAGAGAAATGGCCATAATGAATTTTCTACTCTAAATAGCATCTTAAAAAGCTGAAAGCACTGAATTCTACATTATCTGTAGGGGCTAGTGGAGAGAAAAGTTTACTATAACAATCTATATTTATAATATTAATATGAAATTTTAAATATATTTTATAAATTATGGCTGACCAGTTAAATAAATTTATGTTTTAGAAACTTTCAGACTTTGAACAGAAATTAATTTTAATGAGTATTTTTAAACATATGGTGCTTAAACATGATCATTTGATTGTTTTAGATTATGGTTATATAATAAGTGGCATTTTAAGTTATAGATATCAGTGCTACTTTTGAAAAAATAATGAATTCCCTATAAGTATAGCAAAGAAATGTCTCTTACCAGAATAAGGTATGGGGAAAAATCTGCCTTCAACATTTTCACTCTTCTCTTGGAACATCTTCTTTTGCTTTGTAGCATCCTTCGTCATTCCTCCCAGACCAACTCTCGAATTCCACATTCTTCCTATGTGACTTTCTGTCCCAAGTTTCCCTAGACCCAAGCACTCCTGGACCTCCTCTCTTACATAAAAACTTACCTATTGTTTTTCTCCATCTCCTCTAATCTCAATTTTCTGAAGAAGACTTGACAAACAAATTATTTTACATATATTCATGGCTAAAACTAAGTTCCATTCCAAGTACATTTATGAATTTCCATAATTATCATCTACAGCTTCTATTTTAAAATAAGTAGGTTATCCTAATGCTCAGAATTAAAGTGATTTTGTTGGGGGGAAAAAAGTACCAGGCAAGGTACCAAAACACCTGGCTTCACAACTATGGGTAACTTGCTTAACCTTCTTGATCCTCAGTTTTAGCCACTGTAAAATTTAAATAATAACCACCCCATTTGTTGTGAGAATTATATGAATGGAGATAAGTACTTTTAAGCTTTTAATGTATACAAGTGTATTCCATGTATATGTATATCAGTATATACAGATGCACACATATATATAATAAGATAGCAGGTATTATTTACTTAATACGTTAAAGCATATGGACCTTTTATCCCTACTTTCTGGAATTGTCAAACAAATAAATGACCAGTAAGGATATTGGATGAAAAAAGGAAAAGAAATGACCTTTCAACAGAAAAGGATCGCTATATACCTTGGAGACTACGGCTGAGATGCTCAGAGAAATGGCTTTTAGAAAAATGGCCACCATTTCATACCTTTAGCCTTCCATGTCCAATACAGCTGAATTTGACACAGTGGGAGAATACAGAATAAAAATGACCCTACAGGTAATTTCATCCTATTATGTTTATATGAAAGGAAGACTGTGAACTCTATGCATTTTTTTTTTCAGTATCTTTTTTACAGTTTTAGTGCACTGATCAGAACCAACCTGAAGCTATGTGCCGAGGGCTGTAATTTCATAGGAAGTATTGCAGTAAAAAATGTGATGGATGTGTATCCATAAGGAGATAACTTCGGGAAAGCATCAGAAGCAAAATAAGATTGTCTTAAGTAAACTCATTTAGGACTAACCTATCATATAGATTTCAACACTATAAAATTATGGATTGGTCAAGAGAAGCCGAAAAGCTTGTAAAATATGCTGAGGAAACAAGTTCGGGCTGGTGGGTAATCTTAAAGCTGCTGAGGCAGAAAAATCATTAATTGCATTTCCTGAGTGACATTTTTGATCACCCTACCTTCTCACAAAAGAGGATTTTCTGGAAATTGAAAGGGTGTTAGGATGTCAAGAAATCAGCCAAGTGGAGGTGTGTTTGTCCAAAATATTATTTTCTGTCTCTATGGCGATTAGCAGTAAGAGGAGTAGTAATAGTAGTTATTGTTGTTGTTGTTGTTTTCAGAAATCATACTGTGTCTGAGCAGTTATTTAGGATTACCCTCGTACACAGTATTTCTTGACATGACTCTTAAAGTAGATAAAAATGCATGCCAACAAGCCATAAATGTCACTGGCTACCTTTCCTTGTAATTTTTCAGAAGAATCTTACTGATGAAAACAAGCAGTAATGGGATGCCTCAGTGAGAAAAAGAAAGAGCAGTATAATGAATGGTGGGCTTCAGGGCAAGAACAACATCAGCAGGAGATAAAGAGAAGTTGGGCAGTGTTCAGGCTGAAAAATTATTAGAGAACCAACAGACGAATCTCTGCTATTATGTTGTTGGCCGTATTAACACTACAGCTTTATCATTCCTGTTGTGATAACTACTCTCTTTTGTAGGAAGAAAGAATCTAAATACTCAGGCTCTGGTGCTGCTGAATATATGGAATTATAGCACTTTAATAGACTCATTTAGGAGATATCACTGGCCTTTCTGAAAGAGAGCTACTTCTCACCTCCTACAAGCCATGAGATCACCTGGAAAAGCTGTAGAGCTAACTGACCATCAAGTCACTGGACAGAACAACAAAAGAGTACTTCTACCTACTTATGAAAGAAAAGTGTATCTCTGACTCACTTTCCTCAAGGTCATCTTTTCTACCCACTGTCCCACAAATGCTTAACCTGGCTGTTCAAAACTCACTAGAACAGTTTTTTAAAAGACTATTTAAAGTTACTTAATGTATATCTCAATATCGCAATGCTGCTTAAAATTTGATAAATGTTAGGTTAGTTTCATACATTGAGTCAGCACTTTTACTTCTGTATGCTCCATTTTTATAATTTGTTGATTGCATGACAAGTTCTTAGTCCATAATTTTTAAATATGAAAAGGGACTTTGCCACCTATTCAAAATTTCTAAATCACACAAATTGCTATAAACTGCAGATTTCACACTTTTCCCCACATTCCATATTCCTTACTAGCTAGTCAATCTGGATAAGATAAACAATGTTGAAAGAATTCAGTGTTGAAGAAAAAGGAAAGATGTGGAATATTTGCTCACGATACCAAGTAGCACACTTTTGTCTACACGATTAATTCCAAAAAGGATTCATTGAGCATCTTCCTACATGCCGACCTGTCCTCAAAACTATGGGAGATACAAAGAAGAATAACAATATAATATTGAGGTTTACTTGGTTGAAGAAGAAATCTAGATTTTATATATATGTGTGTGTGTGTGTATATATATATATATATATATATATATACACACACATATATATATATACACACATATGTATATGTATATAAATAATCAGGGTATAATCTCTAGCTCCTACAAGTAAATAAATATATTTACATATATAAAAATAATAAATATATGTAAACATTTAAATAATAAATATATTTAAATATATAAATATATATTAATAATATATTTAAATATATAAATATATATTAATAATATATTTAAATATATAAGTATATATTTATTTGTAAATAATAAATATTTATTTATTTACAGGAAAGAGAAATTATACCGATTGTAAAAATTGCATTAAAGATTATAAATAAAGTTTCCAAAAATATTGATTAAATAGATATTAGATTAGTATCTTATTGTATGTACCATATTAGAATTAAAAAGCAATATGAAATTTTTGCAAGAATTATTTTATTATTCAGGTTGCTTTCTCCTTTGCATTATTAGAGAAAGAAAGTAAATGTGAAAGACCCTCTAGTTTTATTTTATGGTTAAGTAATGGACCCTAAAAGAGTTATCATTCTGATTCAAAATGGATGTGCATTATCACATTCTCAGACTACCAAAAGCTGTCAAGTATCTGTTTAGGACACAGTGTATAAAAATATCAGCATTGGGAAGCCTGAAGTCAGGACAGACCCATACATAGTGAAAAAGAAGCCATAGGGGAATTGAATAGAACTGAGAACCTAGGAGATTCTCTTAAGGCTCAGCTCCCTCAGAGGGCTAAAGCCAAAAATTACTCATGGTTTTATCTTTTTGTAAGCAGGTAGGAAATAGAGTGTGTGTTTTTGTGGGGATTTTTTGTTGTTTGTTTTGTTTTTGAGACAGAGTCTCGCTCTGTCACCAGGCTAGAGTGCAGTGGCATGATCTCAGCTCACTGCAACCCCCGCCTCCCAAGTTCAAGTGCTTCTCCTGCCTCAGCCTCCCGAGTAGCTGGGACTACAGGCGTGCCACCACGCCCAGCTAATTTTTGTATTTTTAGTAGAGACAGGGTTTCACCATGTTGGCCAGGATGGTCTCGATCTCCTGACCTCATGATTTGCCCCCTCGGCCTCCCAAAGTGCTGTGATTACAGATGTGAGCCACCACGCCTGGCCTAGTGTGTGTTTTTTAAATGGCTTTCTCCTCTGAACTACTGTTTATATTATTTGTTCCTGAGTTTATATTGGCATTTATCCTCTTGCAATATTTTCCCAATTATTCTATAAAACTATCTTGAATCTTACAGAACCTAGTGTGTAATTATTGTATAACAGGGAAAATGTATTTTTAAAGAGATTAGAGTGATGTTGTTGTTTTTGTTTTCTGCTAACTTCATTGTGTGTTATCTTTCTCTCTTTTAATCCATTGTTCAAAGAAGAATTGGAATTTTTATAGCATAAATACAGAGTCAACATATGCGGCTTTTGAATCACAAAGTAAAAAAGTAAAGCCCAATTTCCTCTTAGGCTTTGTTAAGAAAGGACTTTTCTACATTTCAAAACTATTCCTTTACATATTAAGAGCCAAGCCTGGCTGAATCAAATTAAAGAGTTATGGTGTAGAAATAACGAAAAACATAGCGTAGGCTGGGCACATTGGCTCACACCTATAATTTTAGCACTTTGGGAGGCTGAGGTGGGTGGATCATTTGAGTTCAGGAGTTTGAGACCATCCTGGGAAACATGACGAAACCTCCTCTTTACAATAAAATAAAATAGAAATAAAAAAATATTTGGGCCTGGTGGCCCGTGCTTGTAGCCCTGGCTCAGGAGGCTGAGGGGGAAGGATCACCTGAGCCTGGGGGGATTGCATTGAGCTATGATTGCACAACTGCACTGCAGCCTGGCTGACAGGGTGAAACCCTGTCTAACATATGTATGTATGGTAAAGGAAGTTTCTACCATGAAGAGAAAATAAATCTAAAATAGTAAGAATAAGAAGGATTCAGAGAGGACAAGATAATGCAAGGGTTATTCAGGTTCTAGAAGAAGAATCTATTTTCTCTGATTCCTAGAGTCTCATCCAAAAGGAACAAGTATACAAGTATAATAATTTTAATACAGCCATAGAGAGGTTTCAGAGAGAGTATGACAGCATCCAACATGTGTTATACTCACCCAAACCTGTCCAGCACAGCAAGGCAGCAGTAGGGTAGCAAAACCTGATGGATGTAAACTACTCTAGATATGATGGTTATTAGGTGTCAACTTGGCTAAGCTATGGTGGCCAGTTGTTTGCTACAACACCAGTGTAGATATTGCTGTGAAGTTATTTTGCGGGCATGATTAACATTTAAATCAGTAAACTGAGTAAAGCAGATTACCTTCAGTAATATGGATGGGCCTCACCAAATTAGTTGAAGGCCTTAAGAGACTGGGGGCCCCTAAAAAGGAAGGAATTCTGCTTTCAGACTGCCTTTGGACTTGTGACCTACAACATCAGCTCTTCCTTGGGTCTCCAGATTGCTGGCTTCCCTTAGAGATTTTACACTTGCCAATCCCTGTGTCATGTGAGCCAATTCCTTGAAAATAATATTTTTAAATATATACTCACATCCTATTGATTCTGTTTTTCTAAAGAGACCCTGACTAATACAGTAAATAAGTCTAAAATGTCCCCTTGAGCCCACACGGCATGAAAATGCCATGCAGGAGGCCCAGGAATTCCTAGATAGAGGACTAGGAGATATGGAGAGAACAGTGGACCATCTGAGACTAGAAGTCAGGAGGAGGCTTCACAATTCAGAATACAGAAACTTCATGACCAAAGTAAATGGCAGCCTTGATGGATTTCAGCAGCATCTACCCAAATGACTTTGAAAATAGCAAGTCACACCAAAGAGGACGCCTGTTCACAACACCCAACGACTAGCACAGATTAAGCATACCACAAAAATAGGGAAGACACTAACAACAGCTCATATGCCAGTCTCCCACTCCTAGCCCTTCACTGCGAGGTCACATCAGTTTCTCACTGAGCAACCCTTCATGGGAAGGGGGACCTGGAGACAGAAGAATAATAGCCCTCATATAAAATTTGTACTTTGAATTGACTATTACATAAAATACACTGGGTGAATCCTAAATGTACAATAGACCATATCAAATTCAAATCTACCTTTATTTGTCAAGATTAAGTTCATTCCTCTCCCCCATCATAAAGTTTGGGGTCTTTAGAAAATAAGGATAACTTTCGGATGGGTGCAGTGGCTCACGCCTGTAATCCCAGCACTTTGGGAGGCTGAGGCAGGTGGATCACGAGGTCAGGAGATCGAGACCATCCTGGCTAACACAGTGAAACCCCATCTCTACTAAAAATACAAAAAATTAGCCAGGCGTGGTGGCAGGCACCTGTAGTCCCAGGTACTCGGGAGGCTCAGGCAGGAGAATGGCATGAACCCGGGAAGCAGAGTTTGCAGTTAGCCGAGATTGCGCCACTGCACTCCAGCCTGGGTGACAGAGTGAGACTCTGTCTCAAAAAAAAAAAAAAAGAAAAGAAAAGAAGGAAAACTTTCATTGACCATGTACATTGCATGTAAATTTCAACTCCGCTACATAAACTTGCTTCTTATAGAATAACATTTTACTCATTTTAAACCAGAATTAACATCATATTTCCATAAATTAATACCCTGTTCCTCTGTGAAAGAGTATTAATATTTGTATGTATATGCAAACATGTCACTGTTATTCCAAGGTAACTTTATTGATTTGCCATTACTAACATGCTAAGGAGCTTTTTTTTCTAACAACAAAGTCAATTACATAACATCCTTTAATTCACCCTTAATATTAATTTGTTGGCTTTTTACTTGTATCTGCTTTTCTTATTTTTAACTATCTGAAAAAAGGGATGCATATACATAGCCAGTATTTCTAAGACTCCTATTGGTAGCAGACAGACCAAACCTATCAGGCCAACCCAGGAAAGATGTCCCAGGCACAGTCACAGTTTCACATTGGCCCTGGTCCCTGGAAGCTCCTTGAAAAATTTTTCTAATTCTCTCTTTAAAGGCTAGAGCCAGTTAAATGTGTATGAATTTGGTGTCTATTTATTAAATATGTATGTAATACATATCTATTTAACAAAGGAGGAGTTGGCTGCTCCTGGAGTAAGTGTAGGGTAACCTTCCTTGACTCATAACAGTCTATCAGATTGTGTTCAAACTGTCCCAAGATAGGGACAGTCTATGGGCAACCCAGTGCAGGGCTCTGTGTATGTTATAAGGCAAGGGAGGTCACATGGAGAGAAAGGGAATAAATAATTCCATATATGAGATATTTGAAGCAAATCTGTTTATGGACATTCGATCAGTCAAACCCACACACATTCTTTGTTAGTTACAGGACTATGCACCTCCATTTATTGATATACATCAAGAACCCCTTCAACATACAAAGAATGAAGACTTCTGGAGGGTTCCAAACCTCAATACTTCCCAGTCAGGCCAGCATTCAACTCTAGATCTTCAAATCACTTTTTTTTTAAATTGCTAAAATAATTCTGTGTGGTTCCTTTGTGTTTTTTAGCAGACTTTATTTTTGAAGTAATGTTAAGTTCACAGCAAAATAAAGCAGAATTTACAGAGATTTCCCATATATTTCCTGCCCCAATACATGCGTAGCCTCACCCACTATCAACAACTCATATTTTGTTACAATCAATAAACTTACACTGACACATCATTGTTACCCAGAGACCGTAGTTTACATTAAGTCTCACTCTTGGAGCTGTACATTCTATCAGTTTTGATGAATGTATAATGACATGTATCCACCACTGTATTTTCACACAGGATAGTTTTGCTATCTTAAAAATCTTCTGTGCTCTGCCACCTATTCATCCCTCTCTCACCACTAACTCCCAGCAACCACTGACATTTTTTTTTACTGACTCTATAGTTCTGCCTTTTCTAAAATGTCATATAGTCAAAATCATACAACATGTAGCCTTTCAGATTGACTTCTTTCACTTAGTAATATGCATTTAAGTTTCTTCCACGTCTTTTTATGATTTGATAGCTCATTTCTTTTTAACACTAAGTAATGTTCCCTTGACTGGATGTACTACAGTTTATTTATCCATCCACCTATTAAAAGACATCTTGGTTGCTTCCAATTTTTGGCAATTATGAATAATTCTGCTATAGACATCACATGCAGGTTGATATTGTTTGAATTTGTGTCCCCACCGGAATCTCATGTTGAATTGTAAACCCCAATGTTCGGGGAAAGGCCTAGTGGGAGGTTACTGGATAACTGGGGTAAACCTCCCCCTTGGTGTTCTTGTGATGGTGAGTGAGTTCTCATGAGACTTGGTTGTCTAATAAGTGTCTGGCAGTTTCCTTTGCATTCTCTGTCTCTTCTGCTGCCTTGGAAGAACATGCCTGCTTCCCCTTGCCTTCCATCATGACCGTAAGTTTCCTGATGCCTCCCCAGCCATGTTTCCTGTACAGCCTGCAGAACTGTGAGTCAATTAAACCTCTTTTCTTTATAAATGTCCCAGTCTCAGGTAGTTCCTTATAAGAATGTGAGACCAAACTAATACACAGGTTTTGGTGTAGAGATAAGTTTTTAAATAATTTGGGTAAATGCCAAAAAGGGCAATTGCTGGATCATATGATAAGAGTATGTTTAGATTAGTAACTGCCAAATAGTATTCAAAATCTGCTGCACCATTTTGCATTCCCACCAACGAATGAGAGTTTCTACTGCTCACATCCTCACCAGCATTTGCTGTTGTCAGAGTTTTGGATTTTAGTCATTCTAATAGGTGTGTAGTGGTATCTCATTTTAATTTGCAATTCTTTAATGACATTTGATACTGAGTATCTTTTCATATGCTTATTTGTCATCTGTTTATCTTCTTTGATGTGCTATCTGTTTAGCCTTTATGTTTTAAGAACAAGTCTTTCTACTCATTTTTTTTTTTTTTTTTTGAGACAGAGTCTTGCTCTGTCACACAGGCTGGAGTGCAGTGGCTCAATCTCAGCTCACTGCAACCTCCACTTCCTGGGTTCAAGTGATTCTTCTGGCCCAGCCTCCCCAGTAGCTGGGACTATAGGCGTGCACCACCACGTCCAGATACTTTTTTGTATTTTTTTAGTAGAGACGGGGTTTCCCCA
The DNA here is from genome assembly GCF_000001405.40 of Homo sapiens. Taxonomy (NCBI): domain Eukaryota; kingdom Metazoa; phylum Chordata; class Mammalia; order Primates; family Hominidae; genus Homo; species Homo sapiens. The sequence goes on from NC_000002.12 coordinate 195,432,105, forward strand.
TGTTGGTCAGGTTGGTCTCGAACTCCTGACCTCAGGTGATCTGCCTACCTCAGCCTCCCAAAGTGCAGGGATTACAGATGTGAGCCACTGCTCCCAGCTTTTCTATTCATTTTTTTTTAACTTAGTATATGGAGATACAAATTCACCTACCTTTACAGTAGCCTTGAAATAGATTTTCTTGCTATATTTCAACTATTTCTATCTTGAGATGAAACTGAAGAGTTAGGGTTACTTAGGGAAAAAAATCAAATCACTCATTTATAGTCTTTTCTTTAAACATGGAGGAAAAAATAGAACTAATATTTTTCCCAGGAAGGAACCTGAACAACAATGTACTTGAAAATGATAATGCACATTTTCCAGCTGATCCAGAACATTTGCCACCTGACTTTGACTGTCCCAGTTTCACCTCTAAAACGGTCATAGGACACAATGATTATCACCATCTCACTCTGCATGATTAATGTGGAGGACTGAGCTATTCTTTGAGTTGTCACTTTAGTTTTATGAGAGGAACCCTCACTTGTTTTGAATGCCCTTGTATTTAATCCTCATCAATTTTATGGCCAAGTAAAACAGATCAAATTTACTACACATGCTCTGATTCATGAAATTATTTAAACAACTATTAGCATTGAACCAAAAAGACTATTACTTTCTAATAACAAATTCATGTCCAAATAGGAAGTGAGTCAGGGATATTATTTTCTGAAAATTTGTTTTATCAAAAGACAATAATACACTACTGGGAAAAGTCATGAGTAGCTCATTAAACAATGTTTTCACAAAAGGATGGTTTAGAATATGAAATTGGTTGTTAATGGTTCCCAAGAAGTTAATAATCAATTTATAGGCAAGGATACTAAGTGCACTAAAAGTATCATAACATAAAAAAGTAAAGATATACATAGGCAGGATACGGTCAAAATATTCTTAAACATCAATAATTTAGATAAAAATTAGATTTTGCCTTCTAATGCATTTTTATTTGTTGAGCAAAATATGTATACTCATTCAGATAAAAAACCTATGTTCTTTTTACCTTTTAACATTAATAACCAATATATGTACCTTTTGCTTTAACAGAATTCGTAAGAGTGTTCTAAAATGTTTTTGAAAAGTAGATATTTATGATAGTTTTATAAAGTATATCATCAAGATAAAATAAATAAATTTAAGAGCAGATGAGATCCTGAAACAAAAACAAAACAACAAAAACAAAATCAACTATGAATGTAATCACTAGGAAATAACTAAAAATCAGAATTAGCCACTTATCATGAATTACTAAATAAATAGAAGTTTTATAATGTTTTTGGAACTGCAAGTAAATCAAAAGGTCATTTGGTCCATCTAGCATTTGTGGATAAGTGTATAATTAAAAGTCATCCTAGACAAATAGTTGTCAATCACTCTTCTAAAGATGCTTGGAACATTCCCTGACATCAATTCTAGGGCCCAGTGATTTATTAATTACCTTCTAGAATGTCTTTTTTCCTTTTTGCTTTTTCCTCTGGTTCACCTTCTGGAGAAATTACAAATAATCTTTCATAAACTAGACCAGTGTTTATCAAACTGCAGTCCAACCCGCATTTTTACTTTAATGAAATAGAAAATACCAGAGTGCATTGTATTAGTCCATTTTCACGCTGCTAATAAACACATACCCCAGACTGGGCAATTTACAAAAGAAAGAGGTTTAATTTACAAAAGAAAGAGGTTCCACGTGACTGGGGAAGCCTCACAATCATGGCAGAAGGCAAGGAGGACAAAGTCACATCTTACATGGATGGCAGAAGGCAAGGAGGACAAAGTCACATCTTACATGGATGGCAGCAGGCAAAGAGAGAGCTTATGCAGGGAAACTCTCATTTTTAAAGCCAGCAGGTATCATGAGACTTATTCACTATCACTAGAACAACACAGGAAAGACCTGACCCCATGATTCAATTATTTCCCACTGGGTCCCTCCCAAAACATGTGGGAATTCAAAATGAGATTTGTGTGGGGACACAGCCAAACCATATCATGTATTGTGCAAGGGGAAAAGCTTGATTCATGAAACTTGCTTCTGTTATTCATATATATGTATGTATGAGTTGGATATTTATTTATATACAAGTATGTATGTGTCAGGATAAAATATATTTTTTACTAAGTATAAATGCTTAAAGAAAAACATCTGAAAAACACAGATGTCTGTTAGAGTATCAAGAATTTTTCTTTGGTCACTTTTTATTCCTTCTATAGTTGGAGAGTATTTTCTGATCACATATTTCCCCTTTGGGGGAATGATATGGTTTGTCTCTGTATCCCCACCCAAATCTTACCTTAAATTGTAATTCCCCCATGTCACAGGAAGTACCTTTTGGGAGGTGACTGGACAATGTGGGTGGATTTCCTCCTTGCTGTTCTCAAGTTAGTGAGTGAGTTCCCACAAGACCTGTTTGTTTGATAATTGTCTGGGAGTTTCCCCTGCATTCTTTCTCTCTCCTGCTGCCCTGTGAAGAAGGTGCCTGCTTCCCCTTCCCCTTCCCCTTCCGCCCTGATCCTAAGTTTTCTGAGGCCTCCCCAGCCATGTGGAACTGTGAGTCAATTAAATCTCTTTCTTTTATAAGTTACCTAGTCCTGGGTAGTATCTTTATAGCAGTGTGAGAAGAGACTAATACAGGGACTCACAAAATTGTTATTGTTCACACAATTTACTCCTTCTTGATTGTTCAATTTTGCTTTGGAAAAATTCATAAAATATTTTCTTAGAGACTTTTTTTTTTTTACTAAATTATATAAACCTAGACATGTACCTCTTAGAAAATGAGACTAATTTAAAACCTTTGACATATAATTTTTGGCATAACTGCTATTTAGCCTTTACATCAATAAGAATAGCTCACGATGTCTGTGTGTATTAGCAAACTTTTAAATTGTTATTAGAATTGATGGTATAAGCAGGAATTGTTTTTTCTATATGTGGTACAATTGAAACCTCAATTATGGCACAATAAATATCATTGCTTTGACATGTAATACAAAAAGGCATTTAAGAAAGAATTTTTCCATATTAATTTGACACAATTTCTCATTACTAGAGGCAGAAATATCAGAACTAGGAATTAGTTTCCAGCATTGATAATATGAATCTTCCCTAAAATAAAAATTAAAGCGATAAATTGGCATGTGATAATGTTATAAAATTCAGAACTTTACCTAGATTTTTTTCTTTTTAAATCAACTTTATTCATTTATAATACACATAAAATAAAATTCCAAATATTTTAAGTGTACAGTCTGATGAATTTTGACAATGTATACTCTTATGTAACCAGCACACTTCCCAGTCAGTCCTTCTTCAACTATACTATATGCATAAGTAGCACTTCTGTGCCTGGCTTCTTGTGCAGTTTACTTCTTTTCATTACTGAGCAATATTCTATTATAGGGATATATCACAAATTTTTTTATCTATTCACCTATTGATAAAAATTGTGGTTGTTTCTAATTTGGGGCTATTATGAATAATGCAACTATGAATATTTGTGTACAAATCTTTTGGTGAATATATATTTTCATTTATCTTGGATAAATACTGAGGATTAGAATTGCTAGGTCATATGTTAAGGGTATGTTTAACTTCATAAATAACTGCCAAATTATTTTCCAAAGCAGTTGTGCTATTTTATGCTAACCAATGTATAAAAATTTATTTGCTATCTATCTTTGCCAACACTTAGTATTTTATCTATTGTATTAGCCAGGGTTCTCCAAAGAAACAGACCAATAGGAGATCAGATGATAGATAGATAGATAGATAGATAGATAGATAGATAGATAGATAGATAGATAGATTTTCAAACTATATATATTGTATGTACGTTGTATGTGTAAGTTATAAGTTATAAAAGGAATTGGCTCATGCAATTATGGAGGATGAGAAGTCCTGAGATCATGGACAGATTTTCCAGGCTGGGCATTATATGGGTTCAGTATTAAATAAAACTTTGAAAGTTTCAAATATCTGCATGATTTTCTTCATATTTGAAGGCTTTACAACTTTCAGGTGTATGCACTGAAACATTTCAGAGTAGTTTCATTCTTTTAGGCATTTAGGATGATAAATATGATCATTTAAATTTTTTCCCACAATTTTTTATTGATATATTTTCGGGGTATATTGAGTATTTAATTTTGTGAATAGGATTTTCCATACACTGGAATTTTTCCATAAATGGGCACCTGTATGCCAAGAACTGTTCAAAGTGCCTGATGATTTTTAAATTATTTAATCATTTAATCATCATAACTATAGGATGTAGTTACCAATACTACCCGTATTTTACAACTGTCTGTGGCACAGAGAGAAATGAATAACTTGTTCATGTTTGCAGAGCTTGTAAGTAAAAGAGCTGGGAATAGAACCCAAACAGAATATTGTTTCTTCTTGGGTTCTATTGTAATTCTAATCCAATTCTGGATTTTCAAAAATCATCTTTGATTAATATACCTGGGGCTTAATCTGTAATATATTTGGTCTTTGTCCTAGGTTCTACAGGGGTCTTTGTTCCCATCTACATTCTTGACCACTACGCTATATTGCCTCTCTAGAGAGTGATATGTTTTCTCTTCCTATGGGGTTTTAATTTCTGAAATTAAAAAATGGCTAATATAAGACATTGCACCTAGCTGGGTGTATGATAGGCCTTGGGGAGGGGCCAATAAGATCCTCACATATTTTTTATTATACCCTTACAGGAAAATATTCACTTTTCCCAAAGCAAAATACACTATCATTTAGACACTATAATTTCTAGATATTGTAGAAATAGAAGAAAAATCAAAAAGCTATTTTTCCTACTCTGTACTCACTACTCACACACTCAATACAACACTTCTGGCTCCAGATGTATGGGATTTCTTTCTCACACACACTGTGTGAGAAAACAATCAATCCTGCAGTAGACTCTCCAGCAGACACCATCTGGCTGTCCTTTAATTCCATTCTGACACTACCTACCTGGAGATGATGTCAAATCCTGAAGGTTGCGAGCTCAGTCCCACAAGATTATGCCCACTTCAGATGTCAGTTGAAAGCCCCAGGTTGTTACCTATGCTTCTGAATGACCACTGGGTTCTCACAACCCCCTCCTCAGGGCTTGATTAATTTGCAAGAGTGGCTCAGAACCCAGGGAAATACTTTATTTACATTTACTAGTCTATTATAAAGAATATTACAGGCCAGGTGTGGTAGCTCACGCCTGTAATCCCAGCACTTTGGGTGGCCGAGGCGGGCGGATCACCTGAGGTCGGGCATTCGAGACCAGCCTGACCAACATGGTGAAACCCTGTCTCTACTAAAAATACAAAAATTAGCCAGGCGTGATGGTGCACGCCTGTAGTCCCAGCTACTCAGGAGGCTACTCAATCGCTTGAACCCGGGAGGCTGAGGTTGCAGTGAACCGAGATCGTGCATTGCAATCCAGCCTGGGCGACGGAGCAAGATCCGTCCAAGGAAAAAAAAAAAAAAGAGGTAGCCGCCGCAGGTCACTTCAGCTGTGAAGCCCGGTAGGAGCCCTCTGGGTGTAGCCCTGCCTGCCGGGTGGAGCCCCGCGGGTTGCCGCTGCCGCTGCCATGAAGAAGCAGTTCAACCTCATGAAGCAGGTGGCCAACCTGACCATGGGCGGCCTTTCAACCCAGCTCCTGCACCCAGCGGAGGTGCAGATGCGGGAAAAGCCTCTGCAGCAGCATTTGACAGATGATGCCCCAACCCATCAGGTCCAAGTCCAACCAGGTTCCTAAGAAACACAGCAGAGGAGCAGGGATTGGCATCTGCTCACTCTTTGATCTATTTGATTTCAGGTGGTTTGGTTTATGCGGATCCTGGGTAAGAAGAATACTCCAAACTTGGTGTTATCTTCCTAACAGGCATTATAATAGTCTCCCTGGTATATGTATTCTCTCAAAGGTTTTAAGTGCTTCCATGCAGCCATCTCCAGAATGTCAAATGGTCTCTCTTCAACTGAATGACAAGAGATGAAAGAAAGGTGTGACCATGAGGACACCATAACCAATGAATGACGTGCTGAGACCAGAAATCCAAAATCATGGTAACTGAGAGTAGCACAAAGGCTCTAAGTTTTGGTCACACTCTTACCTAAATGAGAACCTGACCAAAAGGGAAGTTTTTTTAAACAAAATTATGGGAGGCCATTGTTTTGGACTGAGCTCATGAGCTGGGACCCAACAGACCAAACCAAACCAAAATGGAGTCCCTCGTGCTAAGACTTTAAGGAAACACATAGATCCTAGAACAGACCACAGACCAGGTTTTGTTTTTCTTCCTCAAATCTCTATAACAAACATTCCTCACAGCATAGGTATCCACCCTGTGAGGTTCCCATAAAATCTTTTAACCAAATTCATTTCCTCTCACCTAGAGATCATCAAGCTTCAGGACATGCTACAAGGGTTCCAGCCAGTACCAGGTGGAGACACCACCCCTGGCCATCAAGGAGCTACCCTTCCTCCACAAGACAGAGCAGGACAAATGTTCCATGATCCCCAGTATGTAGGGACTACACCCCAAGCCAGCATGAAGCAGTTACGGAAGAAAGACCATCAGTCTCTCCACCTGCCATAAAGATTTACTGGAATCCCGTCTTTCAGGGAGGAAATGAGGCAGGAGAACAGGACTTGGAGGCAGGGAGCCTGAGGACTTCCCAGAACCAAATCAAATGGAAACACTTCAGCTATGACAGGAAATACCCTCTCCTTTTACATAGGGCGTACACCGAATAAATGACTTTGTAACTTCACCCTTTTCATTTATGTAGGGCGTACACCAAGTAACCAGTGGAAACCTCTAGAGGGTATTTAAGCCCCAGGAAACTCTGTAACTTGGCCCTTGAGCCACTTGCTTGGACCCACTTCCACCCTGTGGCGTGCGCTTTCATTTTCAACAAATCTCTGCTTTTGTTGCTTTGCTCTTTCAAAAAAAAAGAATATTACAAAGGAAACAGGTGAACAGCAGATGGAAGAGATGCACTGGGCAAGGCATGTGGGAAGGGGTGTGCAGCTTCCATGCCTTCTCTGGGCATGCTACCTTCTAGGAACCTCCACATGTTCAATTATCCAGAAGCTCCTCAAATCTCATCCAAGAATTTTTATAGAGCTTTATCTTTGGCTCTCTCCCTCCTTTCCCCACCCTAAGTCACCTCATTAGGATAAACTCAGGTGTGACCAAAAGGTCTTGAAACAAAAGACACTTTTATTACTCAGGAAATTCTAAGAGTTTTAGGAACTTTGTACAAGAACCAAATATTATAACAAAAGATGCTCCTGTCACTCTTATCACTCAAAAAACAACAAGGGTTTAGAAGGTCTATATCAGGAAACGAGGACAAAAACCATACACATTTCACATTAAACCACAGGTAAATTAATCAAAGATTATTTTTTGAAAATCCAGAATTGGCATCAGACAAACAATAATTCAAAAAATTTGGAGGGGCTTCCAGATGGCTAACTGAAGGCATCTGGTACTCACCTCCTCCACAAAGAAGAACCGAAATAGCAAGCAGATAATCACACTTCAAATAGATCATCTAAGAGAGAACACTGAAATTCAACAGAAAAGTGACAGGAAACATCTAAGCAAGGAAGGAGAGGAAAGTGAGGCAGCCTTCTCCGCCAGGATCAGCTGGGAGCCTGGAGGGGCTCCCGAATGCAGAGAAAGGGTAAGCGAAATACACCCTGAAGTTCACATCCCCACCGTGAACTCCTGTAATCCTAGCCATAGGAGACCCCCTCAGCCCACACAGGCCCTGAGACTGTATAGAGAGCCGCCTGGAGACCGAGCAACTGCATTGCTCCAGAGAGGAGGCTCACACTGGGTCCCACCCCATGCCCAGTCCTAAGCAACTACAGAAAGGTGCCATATTGACAGCCCAGTCCCCACCAGACTGCTTCCTGCCCAGGGGCCCAACAGCCCCTGCCTGTTCACATCCTTGGAGCCACATTGACATATCCCACCCACTAGCACTGCTGTATTAGGGCTGAAACACAAGTCATTGACAAAGACCCCACTCCCGCCAGCAGCAAAGTTGCTGTGCATTTTCACAGACCTGAACACAAACTCTCACACCCTCAGCTGCCACCACTGTGGGCTGCTGCTACCAAGGCCAAAGTGCTAGCAAAGACGGCACTCCCCAGCTACCTGTATGGCTGCTGCCACTGAAAGCAACCCCATCCTCCCAAGTAGCAGGCTGAAGCACAGCCACTGCCACACCCAACCAAAGCACTCCACTGAGGGCTTAGGGATCACCCAACCCCGGCCTACCACAGCCAGAGCCTGCATGCACCACTATGGGATTTGAGGACAGGTCCATCCAGTCTGGCTCTATCCCCTGTGCCCCAGTGCATAGGATTGCTGTCTGGAGGCCTGGAGGCTGCCCAGCCCAGTCCACCACCATTGGCACCTGAGCATTTATCCCAGGGGCCTGAGGTCTGGCCTACCCAACTTGCCACTACAACCACAGTTGGCACCCACCCACATGTACCGCCTGTGAGCCTGGAAACTGGCCTGTCAAACCTATTGCAGCCACCACCAACACCAGCACAAACCACTTAGAAGCCAGAGTGTTGTCCTGCCAATGCTACTACCATCACCCACGCCATGCCAACTGCCCACAGGACTGAAAACATGCCCACCTGGCCAGCCCACTGCTGCCACTTCCAGCACCTGAGCAAGCTGCCTAGAGGCCTAAGAATTGGCCTGCCTGGACCTGCTAACACCAGTGCCATGTACACTGCCTTGGGGCCCAAGGACAAGTACACTTGGCCTACAGCTGCCACCATTAGGGCTCAAAGATAGGTCCACCTAGCATTTCCATTCCCAGCAAAACTTCACCACTGCCTCCACTAATAACCACGCCATAAGCCACTAGGGAAATCACAGACACCACTGACGTTGAAGAAATCATGCAGAGACTACACTACTGCACACACCCAGAATCAAGGCCAAAGTGCTGTACCCAACCAACACCATAGATACATCTTCAGAAAAAAGTTTTCTCCTAAGAAAGCAAATTCAACAGGTTAGAAGAAACAACTGTAATACCAGATATGCGGATACATGAAAAAGCAAGGAAATATGACACCTCCAAAAAAACACAGTAATTATCATAAAAGACATGTACAAAATCCTGGAAAAAGAATTCACAATAATGATACTAAAGAAGCTAAATGAAATATAAGAGAATACAGAAAAACCATACAAAAAAATCAGTAAAACAATTCATGATATGAATGAGAAATTTACCCAAGAAATAGATATCATTAAAAAAAAAACCAAACTAGAATGAAATACAAAATACATTTGAAAGCTTCAGTAATAGACTAGATCAAGCAGAAGAAAAAAAAAAGAAATTCTAGAACTGCATAATTTATTAAATGAAATACAAAATACATTTGAAAGCTTCAATAATAGATTAGATCAAGCAGAAGAAAAAAAAAACAGAATTTAAAGATGGTCTTTTGAAATAAGCCAGACAGAAATAAAGAACTTAAAAATAAAGAATTAAAAAGAATGAACAAAGCCTACATGAAAAACGGGAGACACCATAAAACAGGCAAATATTTGAATTTTCAATGTCTCACAAGGCAAAGAGAAAACAAAAGGGACAGAAAATCTATTTAACAAAATAATAGCTGAAAACTACCCAAGTTTAGCAAGAGATTTAGACATCCAGGTAGGGGAAGCTCAGAGATCTCCAATTAAATACAATTCAAAAAGATCTCCTCCATGGTACATTATAGTTAAATTGTCAAAAGTAAAAGACATATAGAGAATTCTAAAAACAACAAGAGAAAAGTGTGTCGTTACTTACGCGGGACCTCCCATCACACTAACAGGGCATTTCTCAGCAGAAATCTTACAGGACACAAGAGAATGGATTAATATATTCAAAGTGCTGGAAAAAAAAAACCAAACCAGACTGTCACAGATAGTATACCCAGCAACATTATCCTTCATAAATAAAGAAGAAATAAAGTCTTTCCAAGACAAGCAAAAGCTGAAGAAATTCATCACCCCATATCAGTCCTTCAAGAAATGCTTAGTGGAGCCCTATGTCTGAAAAAAAAAAAAAGGGTGATATCTACCATCATGCAAACACTTGAAAGTATAAAACCCACTGGTACAGCAGATACAGAAATAAGAAAAAGAAAGGACACAAACATCCCCAATACAGAAAATCACCAAGCCACTATGATAAATAATAAGAGAGAAAGACAGGAACAAAGGATATACAAAACAGCCAGAAATCACTTAGTAAAATGACAGGAATAAGCTCTCATATAACAATATCAACCTTGAATCTAAACAGATTAAACTTTCTACTTAAAAGATATAGACTGTCTAAATGAATTTTTAAAAATATGACTCAACTGTATGCTGCCTACAAGAAACATCTCACCTGTAAAGACACACATAGACTGAAAATACAGGGACAGAAAAAGATATTTCATACAAATGAAAACCAAAAGTAAGCAGGAGTAGCTATGTTTATATAAGATGTATTAGTCCGTTCTCACACTGCTATGAAGAAATACCCAAGACTGAGTAATTTATATAGGAAAGAGGTTTAATTGACTCATGGTTCCACATTGCTGGGGAGACCTCAGGAAACTTACAGTCATAGTAGAAGGCAAAGGAGAAGCAGATACCTTGTTCACAGGGCAGCAGAATGGAGTGAGTGCAAGCAAAGCAAATGCCAGATGCTTATAAAACCATCAGATCTCGTAAGAACTAACTCACTATCACAAGAACAGCATTAGGGAAACTGCCCCCATGATCCAATTACCTCCACCTGGTCCCACCCTTGACAAATGGGGATTATGGAGATTACAATTCAAGGTGAGAAGTGGGTGGGGACACAGAGCCAAATCATACAATCAGATAAAACAGACTTTATGTCAAAAACAGTAGAAAGAGACAAAGAAGAGATAACAGAAGGTTGGTTAATAAATAACGAGCATACAATTAGAAGGAATAAGTTCTAATGTTCAATAGCAGAGTAGGGTGACTATAGTTAACAACAATGTATTGTATTAGCTATTAGCTAGAAGAGGGGACTTGAAATGTTCCCAACACATAGAAATTATTAATACTCAAAGTGATGGATACCCCAAATACCCTGATTTGATCATTACACAATATGCATGTAACAAATTATGGCCAAGCATGGTGGTTCACACCTGTAATCCCAGCACTTTGGGAGGTCAAGGTGGGAGGATCACCAAGCCCAGGAGTTTGAGACCAACCTGGGCAACAGAGCAAGACCTTGTCTCTACAAAAAGATACAAGAACTAGCAGGCATGATGGTGTGTGCCTATAGTCCAAGCTACTCAGGAGGTTGAGGCAGGAGGATCTCTTGAGCCCAAGAAGGTCAAGGCTATAGTGAGCCAAGATCATGCCACTGCACTCCAGCCTGGGTGACAGAGTGAGATCCTGTCTCAGGGGAAAAAAAATCATCACATGTATTCTATAAATATGTACAAATATTTGTATCAATAAAAAATAAATAATCCAAAAAAAAGTAATGTCATTAATGATCTAATATCATCAATTTTAGGGTCTTTTTTTCTGTTCAACATTTTTAATAGAATTTTGTAACGCCAAAACAATCAACTTTCACATAACTAGACAGAAAACCACCTTATACTTAACTAGTAGGTGTCATAAATTGTTCTCTATTTCTGATTTTGATGAAGAGACTTGTCTGATTGCCATTCTCTATATGATAACTTCATATACCTGAAGTTGGTAATTAAGTTTCTCCTGAAGCCTTAATAATCATGATTCTTGAAACTTCCTTTATAAACTCCAATTCCCAAATCTTTAGTCAGTTACTTTGTTATGGGTTCTTGCCAAGTTATCCTCACTTTTTCATGTCTTTTAAAAATTGTTGAGATCCAAATTGGACACGTTCCACTGTTTATTATTAAAATGTCTTTATCATTTTATCACTCCCTCTTGTGAGTATTGGTTTTGGAGTCAGGAAATGTAGCATCTACTCCCCTCGTTCCAATTTATTAGCTGTTTTGTATTGTGTAAGTCATCTAATTTATCTTTATCCTGGTTTGCTTACATGTAGGTCATAGGAATTGGACTAGAATATATTTGTTGTCTCTAGATGGTATAATTTTCTGATTTCCTTCAGTGAAACACAAACATTTAACGGATATCTGTGTAGAACTAACTTTTTTGCATTCCCTTCTGAAAGCTTTTTTTTTCTTCACAAAGCAAATTCTTCTTCATTTATCCCCAGAGAGCTCAGCGTACTTATTTTTTTCAGCTTGTCAAAGTCATTCAGAATTATAGTTTTCCATTAGGTGAGAGATTCACTTAAAATATCTGTCCTTCAATTGCAACATGCAGTATCTGGGGTTGGGGAGGACTAAAATATTCCTATGTGTATTCAATCAGTTTCAAAATTTTTTATAAGATAAACTAGTATGTTAACACTTAGTCTCATAAATGAAAGGTTTATCAAGAGAAGAAATAGGTCAAAAGGTTAGATTAATCAATCTTTACTGTTCCTCTTCCATTTTCTCCCTTTCAATAATATTTATTTAACATCCTCATTTACTGGGCGAGGTGCTGTGCCAATAAAGCATAACAGATGTATTTCTTACCCTTGAAGAACTCAGATCCAAAAATAGGTATCATTGAAGTAAGGAAAAGGGTAAGAAATAGACTTAAAATATGCAGAGAATAGATGACTCTTTTAAAGTATATGTACTTTTACCAATATCTGTTGATTGGGCTCTAGCAGTAAAAGGGTCTTCATCTCCAAGGCTGACAGACCTCATGGACTTGGGCAATAATAGCTTCTGCCTCACTCAGCTCCATATGACTTTCAGGAAAGATCTTTTCTGGAAATAGACACTATTTTTATTCTTTTACCGCTACTGTTTTCTCACACCTATCTCCTCTCTATTTCCTTTTTTATCCTCCTCCCCCCGCACCCTCCCCAATATACTTACTACCCTACTTTGTATATGGATAATCCAGTTCAAGTACTTCATGTACAGTCAGCTCCATACTCTCCTTGCCAACTGGGTTTCCAAAATCAGTATCAACTTTTTTCTTAAAATTACTCTCAGGTTGGGGGCAGGGGGAGGGAGGGCATTAGGACAAATACCTAATGCATGCATGGCTTAAAACCTAGATGACAGGTTGACAGATGCAGCAAACCACCAGGGCACATGTATATCTATGTAACGAACCTGCATGCTCTGCACATGTATCCCAGAACTTAAAGAAAAATTTTTTTAAAAAAAGAAAAAAAATACTCTCAAATTCTTTCTTCCTATGATAAAGCCGTCCTGAGAAATAATAATATCAATCAAGTGTAACATCTTTCTGTAAGGAGGCTGAGAGTCGTTAGTTGCTGGAGTGAGGTATAGATATTCTTAACTTGCGGTCACATAGTGGAAGAAAGGTCATGGAAACTACAAAGGAAGAGTTGGAAAGTTCCTGGTAGGACTTAAATGGAAAGAGATAAATCTTAGAAATATTCCAGCAATATTTGAGAAAATGCAGTGTCCTAAGGGGTAGATGCAATGGAGGAAAGGAAGAATAGAATAAGCAGTCTGTGGATATCCTGATGTTCTCATTTGTAACACTAGATAAGGTACTGGACAGTTCAGAGAAACAGCAACAGTCGAACTTTCATGAGAGGGATTTGATGGTTAAATCATTAGTCACTAACTCACTCTTGATGCAAACATAAACATCCAGCCTTCATTCCTTTTTAAAATATGGCTAATGGTGTTCCCCTACTGAGGGAACATCAAAAATAACAATAAAAATCATTGAAAAGTTACTAGTAAAATGTCCCTTAAATAATATCTTTTCTTTCCTGAATTTTTTCCAAGCTTTATTCAATTTTTTATAGATTTAACATGTGTTGTTTAACTCAGGCAGAATACAGCTATCCTATTTAGATACCTAAAGAATTTTTTCCTTTGTCAATTGAAAAATATTATTCATGCCTATAAAGTTCTAATAGTGATCATCATAATATAAAATAAGATTTGTGCTTTTCTTCTTTTTCAAATAAAATGATATACAAGGGAAAACTAGTCATGAAAATGGCAGTGAACACAAACATGATAATGGGGAGATGCTGAATCAGGTAAACCACAATATTCGATATAAACCAAATCATTTAAGAATTCCTTTTCCAGAAACGGATGCATTTAAATTGCTATTTAGGTGCTCTTACACATTGCTGTTTATAGGGTATGGTTAAATCCACTATTCATTTAGTAACAGTTCAGTTGGTAACGGTGTTAATGAACAAGGTATAATTTGGGCCATTTATTTAAGCCCTACAAGTACTTCCAAGCAAGGAAAAAGGATCTTCCTCTCTGCAGGGGCCCATAGGTAGAAAAATACTGATTTTATATGGATTCTGGTGACAATGTTAGAGTCAATAAAAGTTTAAAGTTAAACATCTAATGGGATTTTTTTTTATTCAGTGGAAATAAAATTCAGTGCAGTCGTGTTCACAGGCTTTTCTTTTTTTGCTTGGTGTTTAAAAAAATGCTTCTGGAAGAGCTGAATGTTTTATTGATTAGCCAACCCAACAATTTTTTACTATGTATAAATAATTGCTAGGTGTTTCAGCAAATTCTAGTTGTAAAAGTGACTGGAGTCAACATTATTTGGTAAATCACTATAATTCCTTACTACACATTTTTCATATTTCAATTAACTTTTTTCCTCCACTAAGTACTAAACAATGAAATGAATGTACAGTTAGAAATAGTTTTGTCATGCCTGAACATTACTATTTTATAAAGCACAACCATTTTTGGATACATAAGCTGGCAGTAAAATAATTGCATTTTATTTTAATTGATGCTTAAGTCTCTTTAAGACCATTATTAGCATCCTTTAGAGATGTTAAGCTAGAAAATATATTCATATTCATATAAGCTAGAAAATATATTCATATATTTAGCACTTTTCTGACACCAAGCAGTCCACTATTGTCCTAGAGGGGTAGAGAGGTGACGAGGCCCACCAAAATGTAATTCTAGGACAGACAGTCCCAATGGTCATAGAGGATGAATATCTTAAACCATTTAATAAAACTTCTATGGAAGAAGAAATGCTACTGAGTATCGTCATCATTTTGTAACAGCGGAGGTGGGTTTCAGACATGCTCCTTTCCTGTGTGTAAATGTGGAACATCTGTGGGAGCAAATGCCTGTGCAGGCTGTGCAAACAAAAATAGAAGGATTTCCATTTTGAAATCTCCTTCCCGGATATTGTTGGAGATGAAAAGAAAAGCAGACCAGATCCTTTTTATGGCATTTTAAGTTGGTATTTACAGTTGCTACAAAGGATAATTCTGTTTGCCCATTGTTTCAAGACAATGATCCTATTGATGATTTTTTAATGTCCCCAAGCATGATTCACCTAAGTAGATAAAAGCAGTGATGCTTTTGGCAAAGGCATAGATTATATTACCTCTTGCTTAGTTCAAAGTCTCCATGATCACAGACCAGAAAGTAATTTGGAAAGGACGAATTCTACTCTCTTTCTGCTAACATAGTTAAGACTGCCATTCCAGCTGGGCGTGGTGCCTCATGCCCGTAATCCCAGCACTTTGGGAGGCTAAGGCAGAATTGCTTAAGCCCAGAAGATCGAGGCTGCAGTGAGCTATAATCATGCCACTGCAGTCCAGCCTGGGCAACAGAGCAAGACTCTGTCTCAAAAAAAAAAAAAAAGACTGTCATTCCAGATTACTTTAAAAAATTCACTTGACTTTATTCAAGTAATAATTAGAATATTTCAGTTAGATTTGGGTCATAACAACCTTGTCTGGTTATCACAATCTTAGACTAATTCCCTTAGTCACGCCAAGTTAATTTAGACTAAATGATTGAAAACAATGGAGGAAAGTACTAACTACAGCATTTAGAATAATTTGATTTTTTTTCTTCTCTCAAGTGTTTATGAACCAAAGAATATATCACATGTTGGGGTTAGAAAATTTGTACATTACATAGTAATTCCACATAAGAATCAGAAGTCAGCAAATGTTCTTTTGGTCATTCTGGTTGAAGACAGATATACTAAATTATTCTACAATTGCCAGTTGACTGTCTCATAAGTCCTGCTATGTTCTATTCACCATATCATGTAAAATAAACGTCCTTGTTTTTGGCATTTAGCAGATAATTATTGGGGGCTTCCTTTATCCCTGAGATGTAATCCCCACGTGTCAAGGAAGGGAGGTGATTGGATCATGAGGGCGGTTCCCCCAGGCTTTTCTCATGATAGTGAGTGAGTTCTCACGAGAACTGATGCTTTTATAAGCATGTAGTATTTCCCCTACTTGCCCTTCTCTCTTCTGCCACCATGTGAAGAAGGTCCTTGCTTCCTCTTCATCATCTATCATGATTGCAAGTTTAGGCCTCCTCAGCCACGTGCAACTGTGAGTCAATTAAACCTCTTTCCTTTATAAATTACCCAGTCTCGGGTATTTCTTTATTAGCAGTGTGAAAACAGACTAATACATGTCACATATTAAAAACTGCACATTGTGAGCCTTATTTAATATGTTTTATTTAGAAAGTGTCATGCCAATTACATTACTTTTTTAAATTATTTTGTCTCAAGGAAAGGGGCTATAGTGTGTTTCAGTTTAAGTGTTACTTATTATAAAGCAGCAACATTTTAATACACTGAAAAAACCATTATAGTTGTTGAAAAGAAACTAGACCTGATTCATAAAGAGTAAGACAAAATTTTTGAGATTAGACAGCAATATTTTAAGCAGTGTGATAAAAGAATGACAACTGCCATTTTTTTTCCTTTTTAAAAAAATACCACTATTGATATATTAGAGTGGTAAGGTGATTCTGTGCAGAAAAGCTTGCAGTTGTTTTTAAAATTTTACTGGGTTTGTTAAACTAGAAAGCTGCTGATAGCAAATTATATGAATTATTCTAGAATTTCCTAGCAAAAGAGATTACCATAGTCTAACCACAAACTGTCATGTCAATTCCACATTTAAAAAGTAATTTTCCATGTGATATATGTAAAATTCAAAATAGTATTCACATTTGTTGAAATTTACTAAATGTTTTTGCTGAATAGAGAACTTTTAAAACCTGGATTTTTTTCTTCACATTCTTATCCTTAAATTTACAACTTTTACCTTTTCCCTCTGTTCTCTGTAATTTAAGGATGTGGGGGAAATTTTTGCTATGAAGTTTAATGCACTTCATTGTGGTTTATGGGTGCAAAGTCTAAGTCATCAAAAGCATATTATGTAAGTCTGATTAGCCTTCTTGCAAAGATCTTTTGGAATTCATATCATATACTCTGCAATTAGAAGTAAAGATACGGATGAATATAGGGAAACCTGGCCGAGAGTGGCGGCTCAGGCCTGTAATCCCAGCACTTTGAGAGGCCAAGGTGGATGGATCACCTGAGGTCAGGAGTTCGAGACCAGCCTGGCCAACATGGTGAAACCCCGTCTCTACCAAAAATACAAAAATTAGCTGGGCATGTTGGTGCACACATGTAATCCCAGCTACTTGAGAGGCTGACTCAGGAGAATTGCTTGAACCCAGGAAGCAGAGGTTGCAGTGAGCCAAGATTGCACCACAGCACTCCAGCCTATGTGACAGAGCGAGACTCCACCTCAAAAAAAAAAAAAAATATATACACACACACACACACACACACACACACACACATATACATATAGGGAAAACTTGAGGTGGTATCCTTGATTGTACTTAACTGAATTCCAGAATTGAAGTGGAAACATGTTTTTATAATTACCATTTATTTTAGCTCTGTGTCAGTCTCTAATTGGATTTTTTTATAAACAACATTCATATAGGTAAAAACTTTAGAAATAAAATTAGATGTTATGGAGGATATAAAACAAGGATGCTCTGAATTTGGTCTTTGAGAAGCTCAGAGTTTAATATGGGAGATAAGATATGTAAATAACCATGAGAGAGGGATGATGGGTGATGAGAAATGAACAGCTGGGATAATTTAGTGAAGAGGAAAACAGCTTCAGATAAGACTTGCTGAGGAATACAGCAGAGTTTTGGGAATTAGTTGGGTAGAAATTATCAGAAGTTGAAAAAGGCAGGGAAATTCATATTACATAACATTATTAATAATGAAGGAGTGATCATAACGTAAAATTATTAAACTTGAGAAGCTGCAGTCGCTGTTATAACCGGTCAGGGGAGACCGGCAAGGCTATGATTCTGCCCTCAGCCTGTGTCTCAGGTCTGTTCATATTCTGCTCTTCCACATTTGTCTTTTCATATTTCAATAGCGAACCCCGTGAATATTGGAGGCAGTCAAGGGACTCCTTTTGACGAATTTCTGCATTTATTTTCTCTTTTTGCTATTCCATTTTTAATGAGCAGAATAACACATAAGAGAGGTTCATTTTCTAACAATGTTCATTCCACACTTACAACCAAATTCCAAGGCAACATCTGAGAGCGAGTCCTCAATTTGGAGCATTGGAGGCTGTGCAGATGATGAGAGGGGAAGTTGTTTTTCAGATGAGGTGCAGCTGAGCCAAGCTGACACCAGGAGAACTTCAGGTCATTAGGGATTCTCAAGCCATTTGCTGCTGCTGAAGGATTAATGTCGACCTAGGGTCCTGGGTGGATGCCAACTAGGATGATGGCTTGGGGAAAAATTAACTTGGATAAATTGAAAACTGCTCTTTGCCCATATATTAAACAATCTGGAAGCTCTCACTTTTCCATATGGTTTTTGTTTCTGGGCAGCCTGATTACAGATAGAAGCTGTATTTTTTATGTTATTCACGCAGAATACTGGGTAAGTAGAAAAGATTTAGACAACTGAATTAGATTTGGGGTAGGCTGCTTCAAATGTGTAGGTGATGGAGTGAACTGCATTCCTGAGGCTTCTAAGGTAGTCATTAGTAAGCGCATTGTGGCTACCGCAGGTGAAATTTATCTCATTAATTTTAATTGGGGAAAATCATCTTTACTTCCTTTTCCTAATGGCTACACTTCATTCCATGGTTTAATTATGTTATTAACGCATCTCACCAAAAAAAGCAGTTCGTCTCTTCTTGATCTCCTAACAAGCATCTTACAACAGTTCATCCAAAACTTCCCCACTGTTTCCAAGTCCTTAATGCTTCACACTCATTCTCAACAAATGAGCTCACTCCTATTTCATGAAGGAGCTAAGAGTCCTTTGGCATAAACTTCCTCTCTGATCTCTTCTCAGTTTTGGTTTCTAGACCTATCACGTCCCTTTCCCTAATTTAGTCTCAGGGACAGAGGTCTTTTCTTTTCTCTTTTTTTTTTTTTTTTTTTTTTGAGATGGAGTCTCACTCTTTCGCCAGGCTGGAGTGCAGTGGCTCCATCTCGGCTCACTGCAAGCTCCATCTCCCGGGTTCAAGAGATTCTCCAGCCTCAGCTTCCCAAGTAGCTGGGACTACAGGCACATGCCACCACTCCCGGCTAATGTTTTTGTATTTTTAGTAGAGACGGGGGTTTCACCATGTTGGCCAGGATAGTCTCAATCTCTTCACCTCGTGATCCGCCCACCTTGGCCTCCCAAAGTGCTGGGATTACAAGCGTGAGCCACCGTGCCTGGCCTCCTTTTCTTCTAAGGCTCAGTGCTGTCTGGCTCGTTGCCTCTCCAAGCATGGCCTGAAGAGCAGAAACATCAGGCTTATCTGGGAGCTAGTTCCCATTGCAGACTCTCAAAGCCCATGCTGGACCTAGGAGTTAAAATGTGGATATTAGAAAGATTCCCAGGTGATTTGTACACACATTTAACATTTCAATGTAGAGCCTAGTCGGTCCTACATTTCCCAGGACTATTTTTCTTATATTTAATTGCATTGTAATATACCAATTTCTTCCTTCCTGTTAGCTTTTTATTAATACATGCTCATAGCTTTTTTCTATCTTGTAAGTCCTTTTTTTTCTCACCAGTTCTCACATTACACTTTAAAAGATTCTTAGCATGTTCTTAGCCCATGTTCTTGTTTTTCACAGCATCCTTTCATGACAACTCCCAGCATTTTACATCCACATGTACCCTGGAAAGTGCCCAGTGATCTCCAGCTTCCCAATTCAACAATCTAGTTTTAGTCCTCATGCCTTTACATTTTGTAGAGTTTGGAATTGTTCAGCATTTTCTTAAAGTTTTCTCTTTTGGCATCTTTTACACTAGACTTTGCCCAAGGCTTTAGTACACAGTGTTGGTTTTTTCTTTCTTTCCTGTTCCCAAATGTGGTTGAAGGATTAACAGGAAGGAATGCTTAGCTATAAATGTGAGTTACCATAATCATAATAGATCCACTGCTTAATTCAGAATTGGGGCATCCCAGGGTAAAGTGAAGTGAAATCCAGAACTTGTATACATATATTTTTTTTCCTTTATTACTTCTCCCAGGAATGTATATATATTTGTTCAAAACAAAAGGAAAGGGGACTTAGGGAAAAGTCCCAGAGACTAAAAGAGCTATAGGTCCCTATTAGATTCTTTTGCATGCCATCTTCTAAGAGGAAAAAATGAGCTTAACAGCTTTTAGATTTTTTTTTTCATGATTGGGCATTTTGATATTATAACTATTCCTTTGATGGAAAGTCTCTCAGATGAGTTCTCTCTCCTTCCTCTATTTGATGGAAATAACTGCAGTTATCAGAAAAAATGACCCAAAATTCTACCTTCTCAAGGATAACCACAGTTAACACTTTCGGGTTCATCTTTCTAAATTTACATTCAGATAGATAGAAGATAGACATACAGATATATCTGTGTGAGTGTATAACACAAAACTTTTTCGTTACTACTTCATTTACAAAGAATGAAAGTAGATTGTTCCAAGTATTTACATAGTATCGGCTCAAGTTTCTATGTAAAAACATATATATCTACATCACTTTTAATTGTTCAATATCATTCTGGTGAATGGCTATGACAATTTATTTCAAAGATTGTTTTTCATTCTTTTCAATGTTTTTCTCTTTTAAACAGTGTTTAAATGAACATTTATATATACTCAAAAATGAAATTTTTACATCAAGGGCTATATATATCTCCATAGTAAATGTATATTGCCAAACTGCCAACTAATTAATAGGTCATTCACAGTGTATATGAGTGTTTATTTCTCCTGATACTAACCAGTATTTGCAGGGCCAGAATTAAGCTCATATAAGTGCAGGACTGATACTTTGTTCATTATGGATCTTTTGCATTAATTTGCATCAAAATCTTATTCATCCCGGTTACTGAGTTTTTTGGCCCCTTACTAAATTTTGTGCTGGAGGCAAGTAATTTGTGTTACTCTAGTTCCAGGCCTGAATATTGGGTCTCACACTTAAAAATAAAAAAAGCCAGCAGGGCACAGTGGCTTATGCCTGTAATCCTAGCACTTGGGAGGCTGAGGCAGGTGGATTGCTTGAGCTCAAGAGTTCGAGACCAGTCTGGGCAACATAGTGAGACATTGTCTCTCCAAGAAAATAACAAAACTTAGGCATGGGGGCACACACCTGTAGTCCCAGCACTTTGGGAGGCTGAGATGGGAGGATCACTGGAGCCCAGGAACTTGAGGCTGCAGTGAGCTATGATCATGCCATTGCTCTACAGCCTAGGAGACAGAGTGAGACCTCATCTCTAAACAAATAAATAAATAGTGACCCTAGTAAACACCTGAAACTGTATTTATCTGGCTCAATTAAAATAAAAAATTATTTAAAAAATAATATAAAAAGCCAATATGACTGATTTGATAAGTTATTTTGGTCTACATTTTTTAATTTCTAATGAGGATAAGAAACTTTTCCCATTTAATGATAATTTCTATTTCTTCCCCTAAATTGCTTGTCTATACTCTTTGTCAACTTTTCCATGAGACACTGTCTTTTGCTTTTTTATTTGTAGAAACTCTTCCTCTGTTTATCATACAGATTTATATAGCTTGTGGTAATTTCCCGTGGTATTTTTTTCACTTTCAATATTTTTTTGACACGATTGTTTTTACACAGAAGGTTGAAATTTTTCTGTAGTTATGATGTGAATACTAACATTATTTAGTATGGAATGCTAACGTTTTAGTTTTATTTCTTCAAATATTTTTTCCAAAGAGAGCTGGAAGACCAAGCCCTCCTTGCCCTTGAGGGAAATGTTAACAGTTTTTGCAATTTTAAATAATTTGGGTATTTTAAAATGCACCATCAAAGTTCATAATAACAGGAAAAGGGAAAGACAGGTGGGGGAGAAGAAGTGGAGTAGAGAAACAGGAGGTAGTGTGGGGGCTTTCCCATCCCTATAAGGAGCTTTTCAGAGGAGCTGGTTTCAGAGCTGCCTCTGGCAGCTCTCTGGTGAGGTGGCAGGATCCCAGAAGGGATATGTTAAGCACTCGGGCAAAGGAGGCTGGTTCCCTATGTCCCCATGTGACACAGAAGCCATAGAGAGAGCAACCTGACTTAAAGACCATCCGTGGACTTCGATATTGAGGATGGCAATGTGAGAAATTCCCTGGAAATTAAGAGCACTGATATTTGCCTCCCATCATGCCTCCCCACTCCACCTCCCAACCCATCTAATTTTCTAGCTACCACGTCTCTCTAATTTCAGTGCAATGTTAGGGAAGAGTATCAACTATAATAAGGTTAGAATTGGATTAATTTAAAGGAAATAAAGTTCTATTACCTGTATACTCAAGTTTGGGCACAGACTTATACTTGCTAAATGATTACATTTAAAAATCTTTTCTTATATTTTTTATTTTTATGTAATGCTAAAAATAGGTTTTTCCACCCAAAATTAAAAAAAAATTCTGTAATTTTTCTATTACTTTAATGGTTTTATTTTTATTCTTAAATCTTTAAATCATCTCGAGTTAATTTTCGTGTATTTTGTGTGTAGTAGGAATTTAACTTAAAAGTTGTTTCCCTCCTGGCTAACACGGTGAAACCCCATCTCTACTAAAAATACAAAAAATTAGCCGGGCGTGGTGGCAGGCGCCTATGGTCCCAGCTACTCGGGAGGCTGAGGCAGGAGAATGGCGTGAACCTGGGAGGCGGAGCTTGCAGTGAGCCGAGATGGCGCCACTGCACTCCAGCCTGGGTAACAGAGCAAGACTCCATCTCAAAAAAAAAAAATTAAAATTAAAAAAAGTTGTTTCCCAAATGGTTAGCCAATTTAATTACTATCTCAACTACACATAGAATTTATAAATGGAATAAAATTGACAGTTTGGAAATGTGAAGCCAGAAGTTGTTACTTTTTTCCCTTTCTTATATTTTGTCAGTCTAGTTCCTTTCCTAACTTCCTTGGTCTTTGTCTCTTTCAGTTTATTTCACCCTGAAGCCAAAGAGAACTTTCTGAAAGACAAATTTGCTCATGCTATAATAGTTACTGACAAATATTTAAAGGACTAAGTTGTGTAAGGAATCTACACTGTCAGGCAGAACCAGGATTCCTGGTAAGAAAATTTAGTACAAATTAAAATTGTCAAACAGTCAAGTGTCATGTCCTGTGTGGAATTAACTCCTTGTCCATCTTTGAAAATAATTTCAAGTGGGAAGACTATTTGTCGGGAATGCTTTGGAAGAAATGATTTCAAGATTTCATAATTGTGTTAAATATATGGAGTTCCACAGAACTTAAAATATAATAAAGAAAAAATCTATAATTATTAAGATATCTACTGTTTAAGCATATTCACTTTTCTTGTTACAACTGTGTAAAATATTATTTAGTCATTTTGAATGGTTGTAGAGTTTTTTTCACAGCAAGAAATTATTAGAATTTGTAATAAGATTGCAATTAAGTTCTACCTTTATTTAATGGTTTTATAATAATGGAATTGAATTTTCTGGGCATCTAATAAATTGATTGTTTGATTGATTGACTGAGACAGGGTCTCCCTCTGGCCCAGGCTGGAGTGTAGTAGCACAATTGCCACTCACTGCAACCTCTACCTCCTGGACTCAAGAGGTCCTCCCACCTCAGCTTCCCGAGTAGCTGGGACCACAGGTAACGCACCACCACTCCTAGCTAATTTTTGTATTTTTTGTAGAAATGGGGTTTCGCCATCTTGCCTAGGCTGGTCTTGAACTTGTGGGATCAAGCGATTGGCCCACCTAGGCCTCTCAAAGTGCTGGGGTTACAGGCCTGAGCCACTGTGCCCAGCAAATTTATTTATAATTGTTTCCTTTGCTATTGGCATAGTATTTTATTGCAAAACAATGTTCTTATTAAATGTTAACATGTATTCTCTCAGTTTTATATATCTAATTATGATCTATTAAATAGGTATATATTAACCAGAATTTGATCTTGACATAACTCATTAAAATGATTTTTTCTTTTAATATAGAGTGATGTTATTAGACCAAAATCTTGATTTTTAAAAAAAAAAATTTGAGACAAAAAGGTTTACTATACTTTCTAGCAATATCTATCAGCTTAACACTCATTATCAAAAGAAATGGGGCAAAGAGAGCCGCAGAACTTCATACTTTCCTGATTTAGTCTCTGAACCACAATCTAGTTAAGAGTAGAGCCGCAGGGTTACTAATGTATTAGGACTAAGGTCATGGAAGGGAATCAAGTGCCTTTTGCCTTGACTTGATTATTATTCAATGTTTCCCTTCAGGAACATTACATTAATTTTCAATTTCAGGAAGAAAATTACTTTTGTAATGCTTAGAACAGAACAGTAACTAGGTTCATCTAAAACCCGGACATTTGCCAACTGCCTTGAGATATTCTTGATAGATAATTTCCTCCCCCCTCCTCCCTGCATGCACTATGTTCTAATTGTCTAGTGAGTGGAAATATAATTTTGTGCTAAATGAGTTTCTGCAGATGTTATTTGGAGTACCTCTATTATCTAGCTAATTCACAGGGGGCCGTCTGCCTGGATAAAGGTTTTAAATGCATAGTGGTTATGGAGTTCTGCATATTTGCCAATAAACAAATGTTTTTAGTAACATTTCTCATTTTCTTAATGTAGAATTTTAAAATGAGGTGGAGCTTAGCAGACGAAGAAAGGCAACAGAGTAAAGGAACAGCTCATCCAATGAACAAACACTTGAGGGTCTACTGTGTACCTAACACTCTCAAAACTTTTTTCTCCCAAGGATAGCATATTCATTTATATTGTCTGCAAATTTACTCAATAAATTTTCTAGATTGCACAAAGAAACATTAACATTTATCAGAACATTCCAGGCTTTAAAATTTTTATTTATTTGGCATATGAGCACTTTTTGAGCTTTGAGAACATTTGTGACTGTTTCAAAGAATACTATGTTCTTTGTACCACTATATATATGGTGCAAACTGTTAATTTTTTCACTTTTTCCATGTACTAGAAGATTCCCTAAATGCTACTTTATGATGAGGTTAGAGCATAGATCCTGAGAATTAACTTTATGCTACCTGAAATCATAAAAATTGTATTATTTTTCTCCCTAGTTACATTTTGTGTTGTAAGTAGTGCAGACAACACTGGTCATAAGATACGGTTGTGCTTCCACTTGGTCTCTGTTTTTCAAAAGTATCAAATGCTTTAAACGTTAGTTTTGCCTAACCCCAATCCAATGAAATACACTCTTCAGTGTATTTCAATCCTAATGCATCTATTGCAACCTAATGCAACAGTTTGCACCATATATAGTGGTACAAAGAACATAGTATTCTTTGAAACAGTCACAAATGTCTTCAAGGCATAAAAAGTGCTCAAAAAGTCATCTATTGCTTTGTGACAAATCACCTAAAAACTCACCTAAACAAATCACCTAAAAGTGCCTTCAAACAACCACCATTTATTATCACAATTCTGTGAGTTGACTGGGTGGGTCTTCTGACATCTCAGCTAGGATGGCTGAGCCTATCTCTCTATCTTCCAGGAAGTAGAACTGGGCTGCTTCATAAGTCTGACTTCATATGACAGCTAGATTCAAAAGGATGAAATCAGTAGAGGTGAGACCTCTTGATGCCTTGGCTTGGAAGTCACATATTCTATTGGCCAAAGCAAATCACAAGGCCACCACAAATTCAAGGAGATGAAGAAATAGACTCTACCTCTCTTGATTGGGTGAGTAGCATTGTCACTTTCTAGGGTGGAAGAAATTTTGGGCCATATTTAACCATCTTCCACCTCTGGGAAATAAGAAAGTTAATAAACATGGGTGCCATATAATCAATTACCACAAATAAATCAAAATCCCAAGAAACCAGAAAAACACAAACAATCCATTCAACCAAATTAAACAATTTTTTTTTTTTTTTTTTTGGAAACGGAGTCTCGCTGTTGCCCAGGCTGGAATGCAGTGGCGCAATCTCAGCTCACTGCAACCTCCGCCTCCTGGGTTCAAGCAATTCTCCTGCCTCAGCCTCCAGAGTAGCTGGGATTACAGGCGTGCACCACCATGCCTGACTAATTTTTGTATTTTTAGTAGAGATGGGGTTTCACCATGTTGGCCAGGCTGGTCTCGAACTCCTGACCTCAGTTGATCTGCCCGCCTCGGCATCCCAAAGTGCCGGGATTACAGGCATGAGCCATAGTGCCTGGCTCAAACAAAAATGTTTAAATTGGCAAAATTTTAACAGACACTTAACCAAGAAACAGATCTATAAATAGGTATATATAAAGACATTCAATATTATGAGTCATCAGGGAAATGCAAATTAAAACTACATATATCAAAATATCACATTGTATCCCATAAATATATATAATTATTATTGCTTAGTGAAAATTTTTTTAAATGTTAAACCACAATGAAATACACACCTTATTTATTCTTCCATTCATTCACTCAACTTACATGTATTATTTTCCCCATACCAGACTTTGTGATAAGCAATTTTTATACAAATATGTCATGTTTCTTAAAACTCCCAATAGACTTGAAAAATAGATGGCAAAACAGAGTGATGACTATTATAATAGAGAATGCACAAAATGTATAAAGGTACAGAGGAAGCAGTGACTAAACTTTTGAGACACTGGAGAAGGAGAAGAAGACTGAGTCTCTAGATAGTCATGAAGGAAGGGTGGGAGTTGACAAGAAATATAAAGGACAACGGATATTTCAGGAAAAGAAAAGCCCGTGGCATAGCACAGAGGTGGCAGAGCACAGCAGATTGGGGGAAATACAAAGAAGATTGGCTTGCAAGGGAAAGGAGCAAGTTTCATTGTGATTGATGGGTAGGGGAGCAGTACATTAGGCAATGAGATATGATTTGCCTTTCCTACTCTACTGTTTGATTCTTGGTGGGTGAACACAAACGATAACTCCTCCATCAAGATCTTTAATCTTCCCTTTCTCTTCTCCCTCCATGTAAGAAAAAAATAATATCCCACCTTCCCTTGATCTTCAAAAATACTGTATTTGTATACCTATCACCTTTTTTTTTTTTTTTTTGAGACAGTCTTGCTCTGTTGCCCAGGCTGGAGTGCAGTGGCGCGCTCTCAGCTCACCACAAACTCCGCCTCGCGGGTTCAAGCGATTCTCCTGCCTCAGCCTCCCGAGTAGCTGGGACTACAGGTGCACACCACCATACCTGGCTAACTTTTGTATTTTTAGTAGAAACAGGGTTTCACTATGTTGAACAGACTGGTCTCAAACTCCTGACCTCGTGATCCACCCGCCTCAGCCTCCCAAAGTGCTGGGATTACAGGCGTGAGCCACCGTGCCCGGCCACTTATTACCTTTTACCTCATATTTAGATTATCCTCATGTCTAATCTCTATTATTAGACTGATGGCCTCTGTTAACATAGGACTTAGGTCATTGCCCTTTTTCCTCAATACGTAGCAAAACAGGGTTTCCCTATGTTATACAGACTGATCTTGAACTCCTGGGCTCAGATGATCTTCCTACCTTGGACTCCCAAAGTTCTGAGATTACAAACATAAGCCACTGCACTCAGCCAAGATTCTATTTTTTTTTTCTTTTTTTGAGACGGAGTCTCACTCTGTGGCCAGGCTGTGGCACAATCTCGGCTCACTGCAACCTCCCTCCACAGTTCAAGCAATTCTCCTGCCTCAGCCTCCCAAGTAGCTGGTACTGCAGGTGCATGCCACCACATCGAGCTCATTTTTTTTTTTTTTTTGTATTTTTAGTGGAGATAGGGTTTCACCATGTTGGCCAGGATGGTCTCGAACTCCAGACCTCGTGATCCGCCCACCCCAGCCTCCCAAAGTGCTAGGATTACAGGCGTGAGTCACCATGCCCGGCCAAGATTCTTTACTTCCACAGGTCACCAATAATTGCTTGTTAAATTTTTACTGTATTAATTACTTTTTGGTACATGATGTTGATATGTTAGAAAGAGAAGACCAAACACAGGATAGTTTGCTGCAATTGTTTCATAGATTTTTGATAGAAATGAAATTCAAATTGTCAATCTTATATATTATAGGTTTTCTTTAAAACAAGTACTTTTATGCATTTTTTAAATGTTTTGCTTTTTGGTATATATTTTTAAATTTTAGAATGTTTATAATTTAAAATATGGATTCCTTTCATGCCAGATTTTAAGTTGAACTCAGCTTTCTTGGACTTACACACTAGAATTTGCTCTCACTACTGGCTTTATGTCCTGGAATCACGTTCTAACCGTAATTCAGAAAAGATGTGTTAAATACATTAGCAATGTGAGATAAGAAATGCATTTATATATGGACCAATGATACATTCTTATACTCTGAAAACTCTCAGAGAATGGGCTTGGGGATAATGGGGAATAATTTGTTTCAGCATCTATTTGATCTACACATTATATATAAATTTTTTGGAATAAAATTACACAAAACAAGGCTTAGCTAAAGCTTCTTGGCTGGTAGAAACGTGGAGATAGAGTAAAAAAAACATGGCGGAGTTAACACTTAGTGTATATGAGACCTGTAGCTATTAAGAACAATCTGGATTACTCAAGAAAGGAAAAGTTTTTTAATTCACAAAATTAACAAAGTCCATTGAGCATCTATTATGTGTGGCATACACAAGGGCTTTCATTAT
Organism: Homo sapiens; assembly: GCF_000001405.40. Taxonomy (NCBI): domain Eukaryota; kingdom Metazoa; phylum Chordata; class Mammalia; order Primates; family Hominidae; genus Homo; species Homo sapiens. The sequence goes on from NC_000002.12 coordinate 195,461,196, forward strand.
TTAGCTATATTCAGATAAAAGCTTTCACTTCCTGCTTTACATTACATGTCTAGAGAGACTTAGTTTCTACCTAGAACTAAAGAACACTTAAATAATTTATTCCTAGGTACAGAGATTTATCTTCTAATCCTATCAATCTTTCTCCGTCAATCAGGCCAGTCCCTAACTAAACAGATGGGATTTTCAGCAAGCTCTGATGGCCAGCAGGCATAGTTGAGCCAAGAATGAAAATTAATTCCATAGACAATGACCTTCTTCTGAAAATGCTTACATAGTCAAGGTTTGCATTCAATCATTCAAGGAAGATGTATTCCACTTGATTTAAAAGAGGACTTTCGTTCTATTACTATATTGCTTGCTATTGAACAGGAACTCATAGGAAGGGTGTTTGTCAGAAAACAGCGTTCTCTGCCTCTTTCCAAAGGATGAGGTGTAGATCATTTAAAATACAATTTCTTCATTTGTAAAATAGGGTAGCAACACTCATCTCTTCTCTAACTGCAGTGATAGTATTTGTTACATCAAGAACCACAATAATTTGTCATGTATTTTGAGTGTAGCAGACTCAGATATCTGTAGCATGTTTCAAACTGTCTGCCGTCTTATATATTGCAGGTTTTCTTTAAAATCAAGTAATTTTATGCATTTTTAAATATTACAATTTATTAACTTTATTTTAGTAGATCCTGAAATAACTCTTTTAAAAAGTATAATAATTCCCTTTTTACTTGCAAAGAGACTAAAATTCAGCAATGTTAAGAGTTTACCCAAGGTAACATTTCAAGTAACTGCTAGAAAAAAGATTTAGAACTGTGTGTCCTGAGTTCAAATTCAGAGCTCTCTTAACTCTTCCATCTCTCCCTCTCCAGGAAATGCTATCTATTGTCATAGTATTCTCTCCAGATTGTTCACTGTGTCTTGTAACCTTCTTTATAAATTCTACACATTTCAAACTAGACTTTTCTACCTCCAATCAACAAAAGCCTCATAACCATATCACCTCCAAGGAAATTAGTCATCTACTCCAAAAGAAACTGACTTATAACCAAAAATAGCCCTTCATGGTTTTATCAGTGATTAAAGCAATTTTTACCTAGAAACATTTATAATCAGGCACCAAAGCATACTGCTCTACTTTTTAAACATATTTTTAATGAAATGAAAACATAAATGGTATCAATATCAATATAGCCTTCCAACTTCAGCTGAATGTAACAACTAAGTTGGGATATTTTCTCAACCTACAAAAGTAATTAATTCACCACCTGGCTTCGTGCCTTAAAAGGATTAAATATAAAACATGAAAATTGCTTTCAGTTAAAGGGCAGTGAGATGAGATCACATGAGAACTTAGTAAAAGACGCACAAGATCAAAGACGGCACATTGGCAGCAGGTCAGGGGTACCTGTTTAAGCACAGCTATTCTCATGGTTCAAACAATTGACATTTATGTGGATTTATAAATAAGCAGGTTCAGTCAAGAAAGTGTCCCCAGTTTCTACTTTTTAGAAACTACTGGGGAGAATTGTATTTATTCTGGATTTTTGTCCTTATTGGCCACCAACAGGTTTTTGGAACTAAGTGTCATTGATATAAAGGAAAGGACAACACTATTCCCCATCCCCCAAATTAAAAATAACTGTAGAAGATAGGTATATGATTCATGTAGTGTTCTCTAGAATCCTAAATTTCCTTTTTTAGCCCTTAAAAGGAGGATTCAGATCACATTCTTATTTGATTCCCTCTTCCCACTACATGTCTTGAAACATAACAGGCTTTCCAAAAAATATTTGATATCAGAATAATCAGGGTGGTAAGCCAGAGACATCCACAAATGAAATGCATCATTTGGTAAGCCAGTATAATAGAGTCAGGGATTAGACCCTGGAGTTAGACCATCCAGGACAAATACTCACTCTGTTGCTTACTAGCTTTATGACCTAACTCATTGTTAAAAAGGAATAAAAGTGTTATGAATTCATTAAATAAAGCATGGTACATAATAAACTTAGCACAGTGCCCAGCACATAGTAAGTGCTTAATAAACATTATCATTTATTGTTATTGTAATTGGTCTGGCATCCAGCAGGGTATTTACCAGCTTTAATCATTATGTCTTTATGGCTCACAGAGAGAAATATGGGATGAATGATGGTTCTATTAGGTGAATACCAACTGGATAAGTGATGGTATCAAAGACTGATGAGAAATGATTCAGGGAGTTTTCAGGAGCTATACCTCAGGGGTCTCTTTTTAGCCTCTTCTGATCAACATTTTTGTCAGTGTTTTGGTTAGTGATTTATCACATTTAAAGACTACCTAACATACCTGGTATAAAATGGCATCTAACATTACCCAATTCAACCATTCTCAGCTTCTCTCTAAAATATTTGTGAAAAAATGAACAAAATACCAAAAACTGAAGATCAATAAATTGTGGAAATTCAAGAGGCGTTTGTACTATCAATACAACTTAAGAAGCTTCTACATTAATGTATCACAGTCAATAACTAGCCTAAAATGTATTCATGTGATTCAATTTATTGATTGCCTACATGCACTCAGCACTGTGCTAGGATCTTGGGATTTATCAGTGAACAAAACAAATATCTCTATCCAGATAGAGCACGGGGATAGAGAGACATTAATCATAATAAATAAAATATAATATATGGTGTGTTAAATTGTGTTAAGTGCTGTGAAATAAAATGGGGAGCAGAAGGAAATATTGGCAGAAGATGAGGGATGCAGAAGCAAACAGGTGGTCAGGGAAGGCCACCTCATTGAGATGATTAAATTTGAACCAAGGGCCAAAGAAAGCTTCAAGGAAGTGAGCGAGCTGACTATGCAAACATCTGAGGTGAGGGGGGAACATTCCAGATAGAGAGCAGAACTGAAGTAAAGGCTCCAAGGTGGGAAGAATGAAGGAAACAAGATGTATCGTCTCCTTTCATGTTTGTCCCTAAGTGGAAACAGAAAAACTGAACAAAAGGAGTTTGTTTTGGAAAACAGGAATAATGTATATGTTGAATAAGACAGTCAAAATCAAAATCAAAACAGACCAAACGGATTTAGATAAAATTTAATGTGCATAAATGTAAAGTATCCCAATTGAGCTTTTTTTTTTAAACTATAACTATAATATAGCAAAGATATAGCTTAACAGGATGTATCAAAGACTCTTGGGTTTTTAGCTGATTTTTTTAAATACAATTTGAGTCAACACTGGGAGTGGCTGCCAAAATGGCTATAATATTAAAATGTAATATCCCACACCAGGAAGTTGATATTTTGGCCCATCTATGTAGTTGGTCAAATCCAGAGAGTATATTGATCAGTCTGTGTCCCACACTTAAAAGTATACTCAGAGCAATGCAAACACTATGTTAGGAGACTAGTGGCCTGGCATTGGAGAAAGAGTTTATAAGACTAAAACTAAGAAGGTGGAAAAGGAAAAGCATGGAGTATGAATAAGAAAATGTTTAAATAGTCATTAGTATATATATGAAACACTTTCAGCCAGTTTTTCTTGCATAATCTTCACGTTTTCCAGAGCAATTATTTGTTGTTGCCTTTGTTTTTCTGGGGTTTTTGTTTTGTTTTGTTCTGTTGTGTGTGTGTGTGTGTGTGTGTGTGTGTGTGTGTGTGTTTTATCATCTCACCTTTTTAAGCCAAAAATTGAGGCTTTAAAATTTTTGCACATGTGCACAAGGAGGCAAGGAGGAGGATATTTACAGTAGTATTATTTCTCATACTGAAAAATGAATAGAATCTAAAGATCCATCAGTAGAAACATAGATAAGCCGAAAGGTTAAATGAATGAACCAGATCTATACATAGCTATATAGGTCACAAAAGGAAAGCTGAGTGAAAAAACAAGTTGCAGAATGGTATATACAATATGATGTCACTTATGAACATTTGCAAAACACAGAAGAATATTATATACATATATAATACATATAATACATCTATACATATGTATTATATATGTGTTATATATGTATTGTACTTCAGTCTGCTCTCTATCTGGAATGTTCCCCCCTCACCTCAGATGTTTGCATAGTCAGCTCGCTCACTTCCTTGAATCTTTCTTTGGCCCTTGGTTCAAATTTAACCATCTATACATATACACAATATAGATGTATATACATATATGTTTGTGTATGTATACACATATATATATTTTTCTCTGTTTGTGTTCCTTCTTTCAAGAATTGCACTCCTCTTTGTCATTTCACTTTCTCCTCTGTTCAGTTCTACCTGTTTGCTCTTTTCTGGGAACTTGGTGAAGTCCTCACAAAGATGAGTCTTGTCCTGGGAGGAAAGTAAATAGGAAGGCTTATCTAGAAAAACTGTCAGCTGGATTTTCAACTTTATTTTTCTCGTGTACCTTACCTATATATCCTTGCTTAGAATGCCCATTGCCATTGCCTGATAGATCCTTACCCAATCTTTAAGATCCAATTTAAGCCAATCAGCTAAAACACTTTCCTAATCACCCCTAATTAGAATGTAATTCTCCTTTCTCTTATTCTCTTAGCATCTTACTTGACCACGATTTTAGCATGTCTTATAAAATGATTTATGTATGTCTGTCTTCCCACTAAAATGACTGCCCTTAGAGACCATGGCCTTTATCTTGCTTATGATTGAATTCCTCCTCAGCATCACAGGAAGTGCTCAACAAATATTGGTTTATCTCAACTTAATCCTTAGACTCTGTTGTCTGAAGGCTTTTTGATATCTTGACACCATGTTATGGAGCCAATGACTTTGTTTTCCATTGCCCTAAAACTAGCTTTGTGATCCATACACTAGATCTAACTAAACCCTGCATCAATTGCTTGTCCTATTCTCTACCTTGGTAGACTTCTCCTTACTTTATATACCCATCAGCTCTTTCCTGAAATAACTCTCACTTCCACTGTTCTACTGTGTGGGTGTGTGCTTGCTTCCATGTGTGTGACTATGTTTCTACTTTCAAACCAATTATAATTATTTCCAATATTGAGAACTATAAACTTGTCATCAACAGGATTGCAATATGCCTAATTTTTTCAGTTACTTCAATGCTAATTAAAAATTCACTATGTACAATCTTAGCAGATAATATCAGCAAGAATCAATAAACTGCTTTTAAATGGATTTTTCCAATTAATTGCAGGATTAAAAAGCTATTGGAGTTGAAAGAAGTATTACTGGAGGCTCGGAGTTTTCTGAAAGACATTCTGAATTAGCAGACAAAGTGGAGCTTTCTTAGATAGCTAATTTACAAATGAATCCAGCTGAATAATAACTAGCCCCAAAAGAAACTCAACTTGTGTAATATAATTCTGATTTTTAACAGATATTTTCTTAGTAACCAGAACAACCAGTTCACATTGTATTTTTCTCTCACTCTTCCTAGGTTAATTTTTGTCCTTATTGAAGCACATCCTTTAGTAGTCCTTTCAGAAAAATTTGTGGGTGGTAAACTAACATAGTGTTTTTAAAAATGATTTATTTTGCCCTCAATTTTGGATGATACTTTTGCTCTAGTACTTTAAGAATATTATTCTCCTTGTCTTCTGGCTTTTATTAGTAACAGAAGTCTATTGTCAGTTTAATCACCATTCCTTTGGCAGTAATCTGTCTTTTCTCTCCACTTATGTCAACATTTTCTATTTATAATTGTTACTCTCCATTTTTACTATATATCTCTAAGTTTAAATGTATTTTTATCACCTAGTCATTGCACATGTATTTTTATTCTAAGAACTCAGCTCTTTTCTGTCTAGCTAAATTAATAGCCCTTAGCTTCAGTGTTAGAACCTGTTAGAACAACCTGGATAGCTTTCTCTATTTCTAGAAAATTATCAGAGTCATCTCTTCAAATCTAATTTTTAAAATTATCCTAGATGACTACTAAACATAAATTAGAACAGATCAGTCTGATGATATGGTGCTCTTAACTGTTCTTTCTCTTGCTCTTACCTGTTCTTTCACATCTTTAATATTCACCTCTCTTTTCTCCATATAGTGTGCTGGGTAAATTCCTATCTATTTACCATGCATTATTCTCTATATAGTGTTCTGGATAAAGTCATCAATACTATCTTCCAATTTATTCTATCTTTTTTTTTTTCTTCGAGATGGAATCTCCCTCTGTCACCCAGGAAGGAATGCAGTGGCACAATCTCGGCTCACTGCAACCTCCGCCTCCTGGGTTCAAGCGATTCTTCTGCCTCAGTCTCCCAAGTAGCTGGGATTACAGGTGTCCGCCACCACGCCCAGCTAATTTTTGTGTTTTTAGTAGAGATGGGGTTTCAATATGTTGGCCAGGCTAGTCTCGAACTCCTGACCTTAAGTGATCTACCCACCTTGGTCTCCCAAAGTGCTGGGATTACAGGAGTGAGCCACCGGGCCCAGCCAATTTAGAGTCTTGATGTGTTTTATAATTTGGTTTGCAGATTCGTTTTTAGTGGGAAGTGTTCTCCCTGTCTCCAGTCCACCCATTCTTTCCAATTTAGCAGTTTTGTGAACCCATCTGCATAACCTACTATTCAATGGTGGGAAACCAGTTCAGAAACTTTTGTTAGGGGCATAGGGGTCCTGCCTTGTGGTAATAATGAATGCATAGTTTTTCTCAGATCTTGCCTTTAAGCTAATCCAGATCCTCCTGCCTCTGCCCCAATTTAATATAGCTCTAGGCAACTGTCATTAATAACTCTTTATAGCCTCCTTCATAGGAAAGAGCCATGTAGCCCTTAATTTCAAGTGATATCCCTGGCTCTAGTGCTCTATCTTCTGTAAAGTTTTGTTCTTCCTGTACCTGACACAAACTCCTAAGAGTTCCACAGCTTTAGCGTCTCTCAATATTTCACAATTATGTTCTCTTTGTAGTTCATGAAACATGTCTCTTAAGCATGATTATGTCCTTTTAGTTTCTTTTTTTATGTTTCCTGTCACATATAAGTATTTGTAGCTGGAGTCAGGGGAATGGTGCCTGATGTCTACCCTGCCCTCTTATCATTTACATTCTAGCTCTCCTTGAAGGAATTGTGCTCATCTCACTGGACACTTTCCCTCTTTCTCTACCAGTCTAATTTGGGAATGTCACCTTATGAGATTTGAGTTCCTTCAAATGAGCCCAAGATGATGATCATTGTTCCTCAGATGGAAGGAATTGGTCTGGTCCATGTTCATACGCTTTTTAATCCCAGTTAAATACCTGAAAAGTATGTGTACCCTATTCTCTATTGACAATGGTGCACTAGCATCATTTCATACAATCAATTGGAACTTCCTGTCTATTTAAATCCACTGAGTTAATAATAGATGGGTACATCCTCTCTGCCTTAAAAAACCTGACACTTCACAAGGTCTGGAAAACTGATTTTCTTGAACCTTGATTGAGTGGATTAGAGTGAGCACCTGGAGGGTTAGGTTCTCCTTTGTTTTCACCTGGTGAACTGACCATTACACAAGCAGTCTATTCCCTTAGTGGAAACTGCAGAATATATATATATATATGAGGCTCCTTGAAAGGGCAGAATGGACACTTATCTTCAAGCTGTATCTGTGTTACAAAAATGTTGTTTTTACTTAGGTTATATGTTTACGCTGGTAGAGTTTTGAGTAGGCTAATGGAATGTGGCTGCGAGATACAGAATGTATTATAGAAAGAGTCAGTAATTGGCTGATAACACAGCAAGCTGGTAACCCATAGCAACAATCACCACTCTCAAACAGCAGTTTCAAAAATATTTAAGAATTTAACCACCACTTTTTCAATACCATTTCTCCAGAATACTTACATGGATTTATTTGTATAGCAAAGATGAAAAGGAGAAGAAGGTACTAATGGAGAACAGAGAAACAGATATAAATAGAGAACAGAAACAGATAATAAAAGCTCTAGTCAAGAATCTCCCACTTTTGACTTTCAGTAGCACTTCCAGTGCATCACATAATTTCTCTGTCTACAAAGTAGAAATGCTAATATTTGCCGTATCTTCAACTGATAAATACTCTTTGAACAACTAAAATTAAGACTCAACATCAATAGAGTGTAGTGCTATTTTTACTAACATTTTTCAAAGCTTTCTACAATTTTTATTCCATTTGAAAATAATTGCTTAATTACATGAAAAGACATGAACACCTGACCAAAATAAGATTTCACACCCTGTGAAATTCACATAGAGCTGCCCCATGAATTTACAGAGGGAATAAATTGGACCTATAAACTTGGAGCCTGAGGTCAGGTTTATTCCAATCTAAAGCTTTTTCCAACTGTAAGGAAAAATTTAGCCTTGTTTTATGAGATGAAAAAGTCATCAAACATACTGCTCTTATACAACCGAGTGACTCAAAGTGCTCTTTCTCTCAGCAATTATCATGAGCTACAGGAATCAAATGAATTCAGGGGATGCTATGGGCCACTGTAAAAGGCCAGTGCTGGTGTTTTAAATGAAATCACTGAGTATTGTCAAATGAAGACTTGCATTATCAACAGTGCTAGCATTTGAAAAGGCACCATGTCTCTGGCTACCTATTTATCACCCACGTGGGTTGGGAGTGGAGGAGGATGGGTTTAGACTGGTTGCTGTCTCCATTTTTTTTACCATGCTTATTTTTAAAACATCTTCAAGGGTCATTAATGATGGGTGACTGCAAATTTGCCAAATTCAGTGGTCTTTCCTCAAACCTAATCTACTGTAATGTCTCTGAAGCATAAATGACACTTGTTTCAAAACACCTAATACATCTGGCCAGTAAGGACACAACACTTGCCAGATACTTACCTCTGATAATATTAGATCTACTCATATGTTCCTACTATCATCTCTATGTTGAAGACTCCCAAAACTAAATGTCTAGCCCCAACCTCTCTGCAATCTTTACATTCACATTTCTAAAAACCCCAATCTTTAAATTTACATTTCCGAAAGCTTTCACTGAAACAACGTGTCAACTCAGCATGTCTCTGAACACTCTACATGGGAACCACCCATTAACTCTCCATTTAGTAACAGTGTCAAGTCTTCATGTAGTGCCTCTTATAATCAAATCTTCTCTTCTGGTTCTTGTTGTTATTTTTCTTTCTGTTGTTCATTACCTTCATTCAGGTCTCTGTTATTTTCACTGACACTACTACAGTCACCTCCTAACTGTTCTCAATAGCTCCTCTTTGCCAGCCTGATGAATTCAAAATCCCAGGAATATGGCTAGGATTGCCGTGTGCACACACACTTTCCCTGACTAGACTTGTCTACCTCAGCTCCTCCACACACTCTCAACATTCCTATGAAACCAAGCCACTTGTTAGTCCCTAAATCACTGATTGTCCCCTCTGACATTGCTGATGTCTATTCTTCGAGAGTTTCCATAATTGCCTCCTGTTATGGACTGAATCGTGTCCCCCTGAAATTCATCTGCTGAAGCCCTAATCTCCAGTGTGACTATATTTGGAAACAGAGCCTTTAAAGAAGTAATTAAGGTTAAATAATGTCATAAGTGTTGGTCCCTTATCCAATATAGCTAATGTCTGTGTAAGAGGAAGAGACACTAGAAGTGTGCATGCACAGAGGACTGGCCATATGAGGACACAGTGAGGAGGCAGCCACAGCACAAGCCACAGAAAGAGGCTCACAAAGAAACCAAATCTGCTGGCACCCTGATCTTGGGCTTCCAGGCTCCAGAACTGTAAGAAATAAGTTTCTGTTTTTTAAGCCACCCAGTCTGTGGTATTTTGTTTTGGAAGACCAAACAGACTCATACACCACCTCTGCCATGAAATCCTTCTGAATGAACTGTCCACTCTGTGGAGCCCTTTAACACTTTCTTCTGCACTGCTTTCATGGTACTCCTTTTTTTTTAACTTTTTGTCTTACAGTAATTTTAGAAATAACAGAAAAGTTACAGAAATAGAACAGAGAGTTCTTGAACATCCTTCATGCAGCTTCCTCTGTTAACATCTTACAAAACCAGGAAAGGAACATTCGTACAATACTATCAACTACAGACCTCATACTAACTTCACCACCTTTTTCTCTGATGTCCCTTTCCTGGTCCAGAGCAATACAGAAGCCCACATTGCATTTGGTTGCCCAGCCTCCTTAGACTCCTTCACTCTGTGATACTTCCTGAGTCTTTTCTTGTTTTTCATGACCTTTACATCTCTGAAAAGTACTGGACAGCTACTTTGTAGGCTGGCTCTCAGTTTGAGTGATGTTTTCTCGTGATTCAATTGACATTAGGCACTCCTGACAGGAACACCATAGAAGTGAGGTTGTACCCTTCTCAGGACATCATGGTGATGGTGGCCAGGAACATGGTACCAATAGGTCTTATTTGGGTTGATGGTAACCAGAATTCTTCACTGAACAGTCACTATTTTCCTTTTATAACTAATAAATAGCTGGAGGGAGATAGTTTTAAATTATGCAAATATTCCATTTCTCATCAAACTTTTGCCCATGAATTTTAGTTTCCAACAATGAATCTTGCCTATAACAATTACTACTGCAGTGTATACCCAATGGTTATTATTTTATTTTTCTCACACTTTTACTTCATTAATTTGATTTCTTCTATAAGGAAGTGTTTTTCCTTTCTCCTTCATTAATTTATTCAATTATTTAAATCAGTATGGACTCATGAATATTTATTTTATGTGTTATAATCCATCACTATAATTATTTACTTTGTTCCCCAAATTGTTTCAGCTCTGGCCTTTGGTTCGGAGCTTCTTAAATTTGGCTGCTTGTCCCTCTCTATCTTTAAAGCCAGCAATGGCTGATTAAGTCTTTCTCACATTGCGTCACTCTGACACTGACTCTCCTACGTCCCTCTTTCACTTATAATGAGTTTTATGATTATATTGGACCCACACAGCTCATTGAAAAGAATCTCGATTTTAAAGTGAGCTGATCAGCAATCTCAATTCCACCTGCAACTTTAATTCCCCCTTGCCATGTAACATAACACACTCATGGGTTCTGGAAATTAGGACATGTATATTTTGAGTGGGGTGAGCATTCATCTGTCTCCCACAATACTTATGCTTCCATTCTAATCCAACACTTCAAGGTTCACTCTAGCCTTCCCCTTTCTTTATTTGAAACTTCTTTCTCTGACAATGAGAAACCTGGCTCTCATTATCTACGACATATTTACTTATTTGCTCAATCCTTATACACACATCAGTTTCAAAATTGCTGCCCCATACCCTGTGAGAAAAAAAACTCAGTAACTATAATACAGTATTTATGCACAGTTCTATTTGTTTAATCTCCGATATACAGCCAAAATGCTGTTTCCCATAATTACTTGGGTTAGTTTTTCTCTTCCCCACCGCCTTCACTGGGGTTATATCACTCAATTGCAGCACAATTAGGTCACTTGTTACTTCTCGTATTCCACTGGGAGGTCTCCCCACATGAAGGTTGATTCTAATTTATTTGTTAGGGGGAGTTATATGAGGAACAAAAGGATTTTCATCCAAATATACTCTTACTAGAAAATCAGCAATGTCATATGTGCAAGCCAGGATTTCCTGCTGATAAATAAGAAACCAGCTGCTCAACAACAGCTCAATAAATATGTCCTGAAGAGTTTTCAAACCAGTGGACAACAGGCCAAATACAGACAATAGACCATTTATTTGAAGTGCTATCTTCCAATAATAAGCCACCCTTTTTTACCTCAATAAAACTGCTCATAAAGTTACCAATTTTCACTTATTTCCTGAAAAATTAACATTTATTAATTGGCCCATGTTAAGAAGTGGCTGCCACCTTCCAACAAATAATAAACTCTTTGATTTACCACCATCTTTGTATTTCCCAGCCTAGACCACTTCCTTCCTGTTCTGCCTAGGCCCTATATGCATTTGAGTTTGCATCCACTGATAAAGAGTTTAGCATGGATGCTAATACAGGAGGAGAGCCCTCAAATCCAAGAAAATCAGAAATCTGAAACACTTTCCATCCTAAGTATTTTTGAATAAGAGACACTCAACCTGTAGGTAACCAATTCGGTTTGGATTAACAATTTTTTTTTTTTTTTTTTTGAGACAGTCTCACTCTGTCGCCCAGGCTGAAGTGTAGTGGCGTGATCTCAACTCCTCACTGCAAGCTCCGCCTTCCAGGTTCACGCCATTCTCCTGCCTCAGCCTCCCGAGTAGCTGGGACTACAGGCGCCTGCCACCATGCCTGGCTAATTTTTTTTGTATTTTTAGTAGAGACGGGGTTTCACTGTGTTAGCCAGGATTGGATTAACATTTTTAAAACAGTAGGTAATGTTTTTTATTTTAGATGTCAGGAATTTTACTAAGTACTTTATATACATTATATCATTTAAATCTACAAAAAGCACTATGAAGGAGATAAAATCTTCCCATTTTACAAAAGAGAAAACTGAGGCCCCAAGAAGTTAACTTGATTAAGAGCACACTGCTACGAAGTGACACTTTGGACAGGGCTTCAAAGTACTTAAAGGTAACAGATCATGAAAACAGGTAGAGCAATAACATAGAGATTAGAGAAGTCTATGCACGAAAAGGTCAAAGAAAATCTAGAAAACAGAAAACTCGCAGAAAAATTAAATAGTACAGCAAAGAAAAAAACAGAAGGACAGGAAAATAAAGTCATAAGAACACTCAACAACAAGAGCAAAAAGGCAAGACTAGATATAAAGCACAAAGCAAAAAAGGCAAGACTAGAAAGGAAGCTAAGGAAGCAAGACCCAAGGCAGCAGCGGCAGAGTGGGGACAGAACCACAGGCACCCTCAGCCCACACACTCACTGGACATAAAGTAATTCTCTAGCTTCCGTCACATTGCATTAAATCATTCTTGTTCAACTGATCTGCTTATCTGTTTCTAACTTCATCCACAGCAGTTGTGGATTGTCTGAAATAAATTCTTTAGAATGCGGGTGAATGTCAGTTGGTCCTGTTTAGCTACCCTATATGCCTCAGTAAAATCCCGTCAGTACCATATACAGTCGCAGTGCTAAATCGTACTCCTCAGTCATTCCCTTGAACCTATTCCCTTTTTGTTTCTAACCCTCCTACTTCCAGTTTGTACTTAGCTTTTTGTTTCATTATTGTTATTCTTTGTACTCATTAGTATGCTGCTAAAACCTTTATCAGAAGTCTTCCAAAGGGAAAGAGGGAGGAGAGTGGGAGGGAAGGAAGAAGGGAGAAAGGGAGGATAAGGAAAGAGAGAAGGAAGGGGGAAAGTAGAGAAGGAAAGAAAGAAGAAAAGAAAGAAAGAAAATTTCTCATTTGTAGCATTTGCCAATTCCCAGGTGTAAACACTCCAGCCATGCTGATTTCAGGCTACCTTTGTGATGTCACCGAAAAAAGACTTGGGAAGAGATGTGCAGTAAAACATCACTTTATAGGATTTCCATCATGCCTCACATATACAAAAGATGTATTAATAGTATAGATAATAGTAAAATGTAGAGAAACAGACATCAGTTTGAAGTGTTTATTATTTTGTTTTTAACATAATGTATTTAATCATACTTGATATTATTTGATTTTTCATAATGGCTGTGTTTTATAGTCAGCTAACAAAATACCTGAAAATTTAACGATGGGTTCTCATGAGCCAGTGTCAGCCAGCTCAAGCACATTGCTGCTTATAACTTCAAACTTTGAGAGGACATGAAACACTTAGGTGGACTAAAGACCTTCTTTTCTGTTTTTTATAATTAAGTTTAATTTTTTTTTTTTTTTTTTTTGAGACTGAGTCTTACTCTGTCACCCAGACTGGAGTGCAGTGGTGCAATCTCAGCTCACTCAACCTCTCCTTCCTGGGTTCAAGCAATTCTCCTGCCTCAGCCTCCTGAGTAGCTGGGACTACAGGCACGCACCACCATGCCTGGCTAATTTTTGTATTTTTAGTAGAGACAGGGTTTCACCACGTTAGCCAGGCTGGTCTCAAACTCCTGACCTCAAGTGATCTACCCGCCTCGGCCTGCCAAAGTGCTAGGATTACAGGCGTGAGCCACTGCGCCCAGCCCTTATAATTAATTTTTGACACTGAAGATCTCTATTCCCTGAGACTGCCATGGGGAAGGAGAATTTTAATTTCAGTCTTTTCTTTGTACTACCTCTTCCATAGGTTGTGTCACCCAGTTCTGAGATCTTTCAAAGCACTGGAAGAGAACCGCCAAGTTCTCAGCTGTCAGTGCAAACTGGTGTCACTGAGATATCCATTGTCCTAGCTCATATAATGTCCAGGTCAGTGTCTTTCTGTTCCTCTGAGCCCTGTTTTGACACTAGAATCTTTGCCGTAGCTGCCTGCGGCTCCATCTGCCAAGGAGACGCCCCTAACCCCTCTAAGGTGACGTTTTCCAGCAGCACTGCCAGAGAACAGGGTGAAGGGCCCTGCATTCCAGGACCCACAATAGCTCTGTTTTTCTTTCCTGTCTCTCCATTTCCAGGAGAATTGTTCTCCACTCTGGGAAGGATATTTCTTGAAGAAAATTTCAGACTTCATGAAAATTTGCTTATTCTGAGACTCCCTTCCCCACTGTGAAGCTGAGGTTTTTTTGAAACAACATCAGAGAAGACTCCCATTATTGCTGTGAATTGCCCTGTCATATCCCTCCCCTGAGATAACACGTACCCAGCAACTACCAGCTTAATTGGAGGAAAAGAAAAATGAGGGGAAATATAGTAATAAAATACAGGTTAATATTTTTTAAAGGTATTACAGATTGAGCATCCCTAATCTGAATATCTGAAATCTGAAATCCTCCAAAATCCAAAACTTATAGAACACTCACATGAGATAGTAACACTTTTGCTTTCTGATGGTTTAGTGTACACAAACTTTGTTTCATGCATAAAATAATTAAAAAGTCTGCATAATATTACCTTCAGGCTATGTGTGTAAGGTATATATAAAACATACATAAATTTTAAGTTTAAACTTGGGTCCCATCCTCATAATATCCCATTATATATATGCAAATGTTCTAAAATTTGAAAAAATCTGAAATTTGAAGCGCTTCTCATCCCAAGCATTTCAGATATGGTGTACTCAATCTGTCCTCTAGACATGAACTTGCCCCTTGGCATCTTTTGCCTGGCCATGCCTTTAGTAAATACTCCTGTTGGAAGAGGCATAATAGTCAAAATGGCGCCCATGCACATTCTAACATCTCTCTCTACTCCCCCTCCACCAGAACAACGAAAAGAGAATCCTCCTTCTCTCTTCTGGAAGCAGGAGAAATAGGTTTGGCTAAAAAAAAAATATGAAGTTTAGGGGAGCAGTTAAAAGAAGTATAAAGAACAAAAAGCCATACTGCTTTTCTCTCATAGTAGAAGTTTACCAATGCATACATATGGCTCTGAAACACATACACAAAGTGACTGCTGTCATTCTTAGAGCTGGAGTGCTCTCTTTGGTGTACTAGTCCCACAAAACCCACTCCTCTTCACTGCTCTTCACCCTGTGGGTTCCCCCTCCATTCTCTTCCCTGATTCTTCTCTTCAAAACCTTTCCAGCAGTTTCTGGAGGGTCAATGCAGCCTCATTGAAAACCCCTGCTAAGCTTCTCTTTTTTTCTTATTTATTTATTTATTTTGGGTGGGGGACAGGGTCTCGCTCTTTTGCACAGGCTGAGTGCCGTGGCAAAATCACAGCTAACTGCAACCTCCCCATCCCAAGCTCAGGCAATCCTCCCACCTCAGCCTGCAGAACAGCTGGGACTACAGGTATGAGCCACCACACCAAGCTAATTCTTTTTTTAATTTTTTTTTATTTTTTTTGGTAGAAACAGGGTTTCACCATCTTGCCCAAGCTCATCTCTATTTCCTGGGCTCAAGTGATCCACTGGCCTCAGGCTCCCAAAGCACTGAGATTACAGGCATGAGTCTCAGGCGGTGGCACCTTGCTTTCTTTCTCTTTTTTAAAATTTCAACTTTTATTTTAGATTCAGGAGTACATGTGCAGGTTTGTTACATGAGTAGATTGCACGATGCTGAGGTTTCGGGTACAAATGATCTTGTCACCCAGGCAGTGAGCATAGTACACAATAGGTAGTTTTTCAGCTCTTGCCCTCCTCTCCCTCTCATCACTCTAGTAGTCTCCAGTTGTTCCCATCCTTATGTCTATGTATACCCAATGTTTAGCTCCCACTTGTAAGTAAGAACATGCGGTATTTAGTTTTCTGTTTTTACATTAATTTGCTTGGGATAATGATCTTTAACTGCTTTGATCTTGCTGCAAAAGACATGATTTTTTTCTTTTTTATGGCTGTGTAGTATTCCATAGTGTATATGTACCACATTTTCTTTATCCAATCCACTGTTGATGGGCACCTAGGTTGACTTCATGTCTTTGCTATTGTGAATAATGCTGTGATGAACATACATACAATTTATTTTCCTTTGGGTAAATACCCAGTAATGGGATTGCTGGCTTGAATGGTAATTCTGTTTTAAGTTCTTTGAGAAATCTCCAAATTACTTTCCAGAGTGGCTGAACTAAGTTATTACATTCCTACCAACAGTGTGTAAGTGTTCTCTTTTCTCTACAGCCTAGACAGCATCTGTTCTTTTTTGACTTTTCAATAATAACCATTCTGACTGGTGTAAGATAGTATCTCATTGTGGTTTTGATTTGCATTTTTCTGATGATTAGTCATGTTGAGCATTTTTTCGTGTTTGTTGGCTATGTGCATGTCTTCTTTTAAGAAGTGCCTGTTTATGTCTTTTGCTCACTTTTTAATGGGCTCATTTGGTTTTTGTTCATTGAATTATGTTCCTTATAGATTCTGGATATTAGACCTTCAAATTCATAGCTTGCAAATATTTTATCCCATTCTGTAGGTTGTTTGCTTACTCTGTTGATGGTTTCTTTTGCTGTCCTGATGAGGTTCTTATTCCAGCTATAGAAGAGCTGGGCTTGGAAGCTCCTCAGGCCAGACCCAGCAACATAGGTCTCTTATGTTGCAAGATTACAGTGCAGTGCATCTCTTGGTGTTCCTTCAGCCTCCCATGCTTCCCCCTGGCCTCTCAGGTCAGTTCACTTCAACATTTATTTCCTGAATGCCTTCTGTGAATAAGGCATTTATGTAGTCACTGAGAATACAAAGATGAATACAACATAACTGTGCTCTCTTGCTACTCACAGCTTATAATATGGTCAGTTCTTCAGAGGAAGAGGAAAATTTCATCTGGCCTCAAATCTCAGTGATCGCATTTGTGGGAACATAATGTCTGAAGTAAAGACTAAGTAGAAGTCTGACAAGCAAAAAAAGAAAAAAAGACAAAGACACTCCAAGCAAGAGAAACAACCTGAGCAGAAGCACCCAGGTATGACAGAAAACGTAGAGAGGAAAGGCTTCCAAAAGCAACAGAGATTCACAGGAAGCTCCACAGAAAAACGGGTGGTGCAAAAAATTAGGCAAGAGGGAAAATGGGGTTAGGCCATGTACCAACATGTTCATCATTATACAGTGATTGGACTTGGAAAGGCAGAAGAGAAGCAAGAGCCAGCATCCTCATCTTATAAACAGAAAAGCTGTCTGGGCGTGGTGGCTCATGCCTGTAATCCTAGCACTTTGGGAGGCCAAAGCGGGCGGATCACGAGATCAGGAGATCGAGACCATCCTGGCTAACACAGTGAAACCCCGTCTCTACTAAAAATACAAAAAATATTAGCCGGGCATAGTGGCGGGCGCCCGTAGTCCCAGCTACTCGGGAGGCTGAGGCAGGAGAATGGCGTGAACCCGGGAGGCAGAGCTTGCAGTGAGCCGAGATCATGCCACTGCACTCCAGCCTGGGCGACAGAACGAGACTCTGTCTCAAAAAAGAAAAGCTAAGGACCAGGTGTTTTTCAGTGACTTACCCAAGGTCACATCCTTACTCAGGAGCAGAGTTTAGGCAGTGTTCCAGGTCTTCTACTTCTAAATCCAACAATGTTCAGGGAGCTCTTCATTATCTGATCCCTGTCTACCTACCACTTTCTATGGTGATACCCAGTTCCCAGCCTTGCTGTCCTTTTTCTCCTCTGGCACGTTTGTCTTCATATTTTGGGGCCTTTGCCTACACTTATCCCACTTAAAAGCCTTTCCCTCACTTAACCTTCTCAAATTCTGACCAAGAACTGATAACTTGCAACTCATGATTCAAGACCTTACTGAGGAGTCTGCTCCTTTAGAGTCCAGTGTGTGTCCTTCTAATACTCCTTGATATGGTTTGGCTCTGTGTCCCCATCCAAATCTCATCTCGAATTGTAATCCCCACATGTCTAGGGAGAGATCCAGTGGGAGGTGATTGGATCATGGGGGCAGTTTCCCCCATGCTGTTCTCATGATAGTGAGTGAATTCTCATGAGATCTGGTGGTTTTATAAGGTGCTCTTCCCCCTTCACCACTCATTCTTCTCTCTCCTGCCACCTTGTGAAAAAGGACGTCTTTGCTTCCCCTTGTGCCATGAGTGTAAGTTTCCTGAGGCTTTCCCAGACACATGGAACTGAGTCAATTAAATTCTTTTATAAATTACTGAGTCTTGAGTATTTCTTTATGGCAGTGTGAGAGCGGGCTAATACAGTCCTTATCACATTTTGCTACTATTGTGTTTGGATTTGTCTCACCTTGTGAACCTGAGTGAGCTTCTTGAGGGACAGGTTCGGTGTTTTGCTCATCGTTAGCACAATACCTAGCATGCATGCAGCAGATACTCAGTAAATAATCGTTTACATTTAAATGACCATGAAAATGGGTGAATCTCATTTAGTAACTTTAAAAAGGGACTATTTGTTGTACAAATAACCTGTTGGCTACAAACTAAACCAATAATATAGCCAAGAAAGATGTTGGCTAGAATTGCAGCAAGTCATACGTATCGCTAAAATAAAATCCAAAGCAGCAACCTCGGAGAAGAAAGACATCATCTTGGAACTACTGGGCATGCAGCAGGTAAGTGGAACATCCTCTGTACCCTCCTTCCCTGCAGCTGTCACAGTGAGTCCATGTTTCCTTGACTTTTAATCAGAGCCACTATCCAATGTTAACAACACACATACAAAAGCAGCAGCTATTAATATAAGCAGAAGACAAGAGGGTTTTCTACTTTTCTCACTAAGGAAACCACATTTTGATAATTCTCCAGGTGGTTACAAAGAACAAACTCAAGCAAGAATGCTGGACTAAACTTAGTCCAAAAGGCTAATTGTGGAATGAGATGGAAAAAAAGAACAAAGGTCAATGGAAGAGAATTCTCAGTAGATATAGATTATTCAAATGTATAGTGCTTTTCATATTTCTCACTGAAGACTTAACACAAAAGAAATTAACAGGATCTATTTCTATTCTATGATTATGGAATTAGTACAGAAATAGTGACAAACTTCCATAGTGCATAAATCAAGAAAGATAAAAAGTATTTCTAATTCTTAATAGGAGCAAAGTCAAAAGGCCACAAGAAAAAAACTCAGCAGCAAGCCCCTTATTGCCTAGATTCACCAAAAAAAAAAAAGTACATACAGAAATTACCCTTTCTCCCTCTCCTGCCCTATGTGAAAACTGACTTGTGCTCTTCCCCTTAAGCATCTCTTTGCCTCTCGTTATAGGTTGAAGTCCTAACCCCCAACATCTCAGAATGTGGCTTTATTTGAAGAGAGGATTACCTTTGCAGAGGTAATCAAGTTAAAATGAGGTCAATATAGTGAGTCCTAATCCAGTATGGTTGATGTCCTCATGAAAAGGAGAAATTTGAAGACAGACACACCAAAGGAGAATGCCATGTGGAGACACAGGGAGAAGTTGGCAATCTACAAGCCAACGAGAATAGCCTGGAACAAATTCTTCCATCACACCCCTCAGAAGGAATCAACCCTGACTGCACCTCCATTGCAGAGTTGTAGCCTCCAGAACTGTGAGACAATACATTTCTGTTGTTTAAGACGCTAAGTTTACGGAGTAAATTTCTGCTTGTTACAGCAGCCCCAGGAAACTATTACACTCCACCTCAGCATTTTCCTCCAGGCATCCCTCAACCCTGTTCTTCCAACATTTCCCAAGAAAGAAAGAAAAAAATATTACTTCACATATGTATATTATAAATCTTGCCATTTCATTTGCCTTCTTTTAACATCAGTGGGTAATCTTACCTCACAAAGTTAGATGTAATATGGAAAAACCTCTACAATTTTCAAACCCATAATAATCAAGTTCTATAATCACCAAAAAAGAAAAGTACAAAAGAAAACCAATGGTGAGAACTCTTATAAAGCAAGTACAAAGACAAAATTGGCTATGCACTATCATTAACAGAAGCTATCACGGCTCCTTTGTAATCTTAAGCAGCTATTCCATGATCTTTTCTCTCGCAATGATGAACCGAACTTTTGATAAAATATTTGATCTCCTTTTAGCCAAAACTCTTCTTTATAAGCCCATTTAATATTCCAGAAGGATTTTCTTTCGTTTGAAGAAATATAAGTTTGACATTCTAAAGGCATTTGTATTTTAAAGCCTACAAAAAGATTTTTGGAGAGTACCTGGTGAAGTACCGACTTGCCCCTGTGGCTCAAAAGTTCAATTATTATAGACATTTCACTCAGAACAGCATTTCTGTCTTTTAACCTTCATCTAAATAAATGTTCATTTTTATAAAAATGTTCATTTTTCTTTCACTATGATAGAGCTCAAGCCCTTGCAATATGTTTTAAAAGTTGTAGGAGATATACAATTATACTTTTTTCCTTTATTCATGGTTCTAAACAGTTGTCTACATCCCAAAATAAGATAAAACTTTGTTTCCTGCAGATCCAAGTTTCCCAAAAAGATATCAGTAAGAATAGATTGCAATTCTCTCAGAATGAGCATGTATCAGGCAAACATATCTCTTTTATTGTGTTTTTCTGCTGAAACACAAGAAATAGATACCCTAATTTTGGAAAGCTCACTCCTATAAAGACATTTCTAAACTGTGAGAAAATTAGCTCAACAATGAGGAATGAAACTCTCTTCCAAAAACATTTACACAATTTGCAAAGAGATGGCTAAAGCACATCTTAACGGGCAGATTGTGTTTGTTGTAGGTGGAAAGAGCTACAGAAAAGTGATTGAACATGACAAGACTCAGCTTTTAAAACCTGACTTCATTTGGCATCTAATAAAAAGAATCATGCTTACTTAATTCATGGCATTTTTCCCATATGAGAAACAGTAAAATTCAAATGAAGCAAAAAGAATAAAGTTGACAAAGATACAGTTTGAAAATGTGGCTGAAAACAAACCAAAGGTAAAATGACCTTGACTACCGTAATAGTCAGGGTTCTTTGTACCTAACAGAAACTGACTCTACCTAACTTAAGCAGAAAGAGAATTTACAGGAAGAATATGGTGGAGCTCAAAGAATAAAATAGCCAGAAAGGACAGGAGCAGAATATCTCTAGCAATCTAGGTAGCAAGAACTAATGGGCATTCTGCCTGGACACTATCATTGGGTAAATCCACTTTAACTGCTTTTCCATCTAAATTAAGTCTAGGAAAAATCTGATTAGCCTACCTTGGTTACTCACCTAGAAGAGTTGAGAACCCTTTGACCAAGGTTGCTTGTAATGTGAGAAAGAGAAATTGAGAAGTGTTTAAGAGGAGAAGGAGAAATGGATGTTGGGTTGCATAAGTAAGTAAATAAATAAATAAATAAATAAATAAATAAACATCCTCTTTAAGTAAGCTCATATCACAGTATAATACATACTCTACGTATTTTTGGAGAGAAAGTTTTTAAAACTTGCATTTCACTTAGCAATGACTTTATATAAAAGGCCTGGTGAACTTTTTAAAATGTTTATTAAAACTACAATTAACCTAAGTAAAAGTTTTTGACACACTAAAAAACAGTTACTGACCGGGCGCAGTGGCTCATGCCTGGCCTGTAATCCTAGCACTTTGGGAGGCAGAGGCAAAAGGAACACTTGAGCTCAGGAGTTCAAGACCAACCTGGGCAACATGGTGAGACCTCATCTCTATTTAAAATTAAATAAAAAACTAAAAACAAGAAAAAAAAACAGTGACCTGCAGATTCTCCTATATTTGCAAGTTAGCATGAATATTTTAAGTAGCTCCTGAATGTACTTTTGAACTTTTATAATCTAAAGAAACAGATATTTGTGCACTTTAAGAATAAAAGTTCAAAACTTACATTTTGAAATCATGCCTTGACATTGTCTCACCTTACACTGTATTACAATACAGGCTCTAGGACCGTGGACTGTTTTCTATGAAAATATGTTCAGGACTCTTGGATGTGTGATCCCAAGAAGGATTTAAAGCTGTAATCTGGGCTGAGCACAGTGAATTATGCCTGTAATCCCAGCTCTTTTTGAGGCCAAGGCGGGAGGATCACTTGAGCCCAGGAGTCCAAAATCAGCCTGGGCAAAATAGTGGGACCCCTATCCTACCAAAATAATAATAATAATGATACTTCAACTGTGCAGACATTTCTTATAAAAATTCATTCTCAATTTTGCCTATTTTAGCTAAACTTTTGCAAATACTACCTGATCAGAAAGTCTACATCTAATTTATGATTTTGAGCTTGGAAATTAGGCAGCATGAATTAGGCAGAAAAAATAAATTTGAAAAATTGTACAGCTCAGATTCTGAGGTTGATTTAGGAACTACTATTCAAGCCACAAGATAAAGATTTTGCAGTTAATTACTAAAACATTTAATACTTCTGGGCATGAATAAAAGTATAAAAATGTAGTACTGATCTAATATTTTCAAAAACATACTAAAGGCACCATTCAATGGAGCAGACATTTAACAATAATCTTCTGCCAAATTCTGGGGCTGGAAAGATGAATAAGACATAGGTGCTCCCCCCCTTCCAGTCACTCAAAATTTAGAAGCCTTGTAATATATAATTGTAATTTTATATGGGAAGCAATAAAAGAATTACGTACATGATGCTGAAATAGTATATAGAAGGAACGGCTTCTTAGGAGATGGATGTTTGATTGACTTTGAAAGATGAAAAGGTAATCAGAGTGGAAAAGACTTGCCAACCAAGAAAACAAATAATAAAGGCCTTGAAATAGTAGGAAACATGGAGAGATATAGGAAAGGCAATAAATGTGCTATTGCTAGAGCATGACTTTGAAGTGACTACAGAACTAGTAGCTAGACTCAGGGCCATATCAAAAATGCTTTTTATGCTATAATAAGGAATTTTAACTTAATCTTACAGGTCAGCATTTCCTAAGCTATCTACCCTAAGAACAAAAAGCTCCTTTGAAGAATTTCTATAAATGTTCATGCTCAACCCAATAAGCCTGAGAAATACTGCATACTAAAATTCTACGTAGTAGACATTACAGGTGAGGGCCAACATCTATTTCACCACCTTTTCAATAAAGTTTCATTGCAGCTTGAGGAACTGATTCCATCTGCAGAGAAGGGCCCTGATGAGTCTAAGCAAATACAATATGTCTCCCTTGCCCAAGATTGATTAAGGAACTGTGACCTAGGCCAATCAGCACAGGACATTCTCCTGGTGACAGTTACTGGTCCAGAGTTGGACCTAAACTATTACAGTTGACCCTGAAACAACATGGAAGTTAGAAGCATCAACCCTACACACAGACAGAAATCTGCATAGTACTTTTGTCTTCCCAAAAACATAACTGCTAACAGTCTACTGCTGACCAGAAGCCTTGCCAATAATACTAAGAAACTGTTATTTTTAAAAATCATAGAGAAGAAAAAATACATCTACTACACATTAAGTGTAAGTGGATCATCATAAAGCTCTTCGTCCTCATCATCTTCATGTTGAGTAGGCTGATGGGAAAATAGAAAGGGAAGGGATCTGTCTTGCTGTCTCAGAGGTGGCAGACTGGGGAGGAAATTCAAGTATAAATGAATTCAAGCAGTTCGAACCTGTGTTGTTCAAGGGTCAATTGTACATCAGACTGAACAGAAGTACTATTGTTCCATGATTGTAGAAAAACACTCTCTTTCTCTCCCAGAAGGCTTAAGTGAGAATAAATACAGCTTAAATGCTATAGGAAATGGGCAATGATCCTATGACTACAAGAACCAACCTCAGGATGATATAAGGGTGGATGGCAGAGCAAAAGGTGAAAGAACCAGTCTTTGATGCCATCATTGAATTGCTGGATCTAAAGAGAAGAATAAGACCTCATTTATGATGTCAACAGGGTCATTCATTCTTACAGGGAAGAAGGCACATATACAGTAATTTCAAAACACTTTAAAAAGTACTATAGTAGGCCAGGCAAAGTGTCCCACACATGTAATCCCAGCACTTTAGGGGCCAAGGTAAGAGGATCACTTGAGCCCAGGAGTTCAAGATCAGCCTGGGCAACATAGTAAGATCCCATCTCTACAAAAATAAAAATTAATTAGCAGGGTGTGGTGGCATGCCTGTAGTCCTAGCTACTTGGGAGGCTAAGGTGGGAGGATCACGTGGCTGGGAGGTCAAGGCTGCAGTGAGCCGTGATCACAACACTATACTCTAACCTGGGCGACAGACCAAAATTGTGTCTCAAAAAGAAATTAAAAAATAAAAATAAAATAAATGAAAAGTACTATAGTAAATTTTAGTACAGAAATGAAAAAACAAAGAAGAAGAGACTGACTCTCCTCTTTGTTTTTTGGCTCTCCTCTTCTTTCTAGTCAAGGCCAGAAAAAGCTTTACATGCGTTTCACCTAAATCTTGAGTAATGTACAGGAGTCCACAGTCTACAAGTTCAATTTGTTTTCATACACTGATATATTTAGCATTTTATATTATAGCCAAGTGGTCATAAAATTATGAAAAGTAAAATCATTTTTAAATGGAGGTGCTGACAAGTTGCATATGAATTTAAAATGCATTAAACATAGTTTATGATTTAGTCTCATTATACATAGTAGGATTGAAAAGGGAGTTTTTTAGATCTAACAGTCTAAGAAGACATAAAACACCTAGAATAAAATAAAGATTTGGAACTACTCATGCATATTTTTTTCTGCATTTTAAACAACATACTGTCATTGTAAAAATCATGTGATTTTATCTCCTATTTTTTCAGTTTTGCATTTATATTTTATTTTACAGATACCATTCTATACAGTGGAATTTCACTATTTGCCTGAGTTTAATGCCATTTCTCAAATACCAATAGCCAATCATGATACAATTTAAATTGCTTGAAAAGGATTTTGTGATGGGCAATATAAAAGGCCATGGGGATCCTTTGAATATGTAGTCGAACTTTTTAGTTCTCATTAATACAATAAGCCTTGTAATCACTGTTCAGCGAACTATACCTTTAATGTTGAGTTATCTTCCCATAAGTAAAATGTCAATTGTGCCATAAATGCCATTTGACTTGGGTTTTGTTTCTGCTTAAAAAAAGGGTATACAAATTATAATTGATGATATCATTTATTGCCTGAAAACACCAAACCTAGCAAGCTTTGTTTCCCCACCTAATGATTTAAGTGTGCTCTTACCCAGAAACATTCTGAAGAGTTTCTCACCACATAATAAAACAAAGTGTTATATTATCCTTATGACTTGTCAAAACCGAGGAATCGGAAAGAGACAGCCTGAAAAGGAAAACCACATCAAAGTTGTTTTACTTCCAGGAAAATGATTTGATCATTTAAAAATTTTAAAACTATTTTTCATATTTAATTGAATTTTTTAACCTAAGTTGTTGGAGATTGAAACATTCTCATCTATTTTATCTTAGCAAAATGAAGATAAATGTAAAAATGCCATGTGCATTCTTTATTTAAAATGACTCTTCTTTGTGGAATAGAGGCTTTAGACATAAAGTTCTTCATCTGTAGCAATATTTTGACTATCTTTATGCTGGAATCTTTATCCTGACAGTTGTGCAGCTGTACAGGTTTGCAGCTTTCTGAGCTAAACTCAAGAGGCTCTGAGTCCATGCCAGCTGTCTTTCAATTTCACATCAACTCTCTTGGTGCTTTGTCAGTTTAAAGCTTTTGCAAAGTTTGCAGGGCCTGAATTCATTAGATAAGGGAAATGAGTCATCTAAATCTTACCCAACCTCAACTGCCATAGACACTCACTATTGTAAATTTCCTTCAAGATTGAATTGGAAAATAGACCCCATGGGTTTTTGTCAGTGTTGGTATTTGATGATACCCTTGTAACAGCAGCTGCTGAAGCTGTGTGTACCTCAATAAATTCTATTTTAAATTCCCTTTCCTTCATATTTTATATATAAAATTGGAAGGCAACGGCTGCAATAATAAGGGCAAAAAGGTCATTTAAAGTTCAGTTCACCAGGCACATGATAGGCAACTCATCACAAAGGCACTTTTTAAAAATAATTATGGTTATTAGAAACAAAATCCATCTTGTTTTTAAAGAATTCTGCAGCATCTTAAAACAGGTAAGAAACAGATTGTCAGGGATAGTTAAGTTGGAACACAAAGCTTCAACAAACACAAGGATTTGACAATTCCTCTGGGAGTGAGGAGCAGCCTTATTATCACAAGCCATCACATTGATCTGTATTTTGGTACAGGAGGATCTTAGATCTGCAGAGACCCAGCCCTTACCACATGTTATTAGAAATATTTAAGTGCATGCCTGTATTTTAAACTGAAAGGGGGAAAAAAAACAATACTACATGGAACAGAAAAAAAGTATCGATAACATTCTGTAAGACTATAAATAAATGAGTGCTTCATCCCACAAAGATTAAAATCTGTATAAATTTTGCCTTCTGGAAGTACTTTCCAAGACATTGAGGAAAGAAAACATGAAGTATCAAAACAGGAGAAATGACAGAGAAATAGAAATCGCCTGCAGTAGAATTTCAGGTTATGTTAACCAAATGACATTTATTGCCCATTGCTTTTCTACAACTAAGTCATTACAGCACAGTGTGACCTAAAGCATGGTCTTCAGAATTAGAAAGAGCCACTTAGAATGTATATGATCTTGGGGAGTCTATTCTTACTTTCTGAGCCTTAGTTGCCTTGTTTGCAAAATGGGGATACTATCCAATTCATGATGCCATGAAAAATACTGCATGTCAAGTATCTGGCATATAGTTTATGAGCAAAAAAATGCTAACTATTAATTTTTAATGGCCCTGTAATCCCAGCACTTTGGGAGGCAGAGGCAGGTGGATTACAAGAGGTCAGGAATTCGAGACCAGCCTGGCCAACATGGTGAAACTCAGTCTCTACTAAAAATACAAATATTAGCCTGGCGTGGTGGCAGCACCTGTAGTCCCAGCTACTCGGTAGACTGAGGTAGAAGAATCACTTGAACCCGGAAGGCGGAGGTTGCTATGAGCCAAGATCGCACCACTGCAGTCCAGCCTGGGTGACAGAGTGAGACTCCATATCAAAAAAAAAAAAAAAAAAAAAAAATTAATGGATGCCATAGTGTAAAAACTTTGTAACTGTATTGTTGCTGTCTCAATTTATAACCCAGAGTAATTATTAAACCTATTCCTGGGAAATTTGGGGAAACTAGAGTGTCTATTGAAGTTCTCTTTGTGTATACCACTCATTGCCCTCTTGTGATGGGGAAGGAAAATACATGTAATGAAGAATTTAAGACATCTAACCAGTCAACTAGATACTTACTAGAGAGGCCCACAAGCTCTAATAATGCTGTCCAATAGTGCTTTCTCCAATGATGGAAATGTTCCATATCTGCACCATCAAATATGATAATGACTACATACTTGTGACTACTGAGCATGTGAAATGTGACTAGTGCCAACTGAGTAAACAAATTTTTATTTTATTTCAAATAATTCAAACATAAATAGCCATATGTGGCTAACACTGTCATATTGTGTAGCACATCTCTGATTGACACTTTCATTAGAACTTCTTAGGGAACATAAGAGAAAAGTAGATCTGAGTGAATAAAAATTCAGTAAAGATATCAAAAGGCCTGTTCCCTTAATGCAATCCCTGGATCTTTAGAAACATGTTACTTACTGAGCTGTGATGCATCAAAACTTCTAATGGAATCAGCAGGGGCTTTGCCAAGTAATATGAGAGAAGTGATGAGCTACTCAGATAGTTCTGCCAAAGTGCGGTGGAGAGCTCTGCCCAAGTGTGGTGGAGAGCTCTGCCCAAATATGGCAGAGACAACTGTCAGCTGCTTGATAAGATGAAAAATAGCAGGACTCTTTAGAACTGCCATTGTCATAAGCTTTCCAAAGAGGTATCCCTGAAAGAACCCAATGCCGACAGGAGCCACCTCCAGCAGAATCAATGCTTGACAATAAACAAGGAGTCATTGTTAGGGTTGGTTTGCAAAGACACAGTCACATCTTGGAAATCCTCGTCTCCTCTACTTTCAGTTGGACGTTATCCTTGTAGAAAAAGGATATGTGACCTAACATATGTTAGGATGTAAACTAACATATTCATAGGTTCTAGACACTAGGACAGCTTTAAGGGGCCATTATTCTGCCTAACCCTCACATACACACACAGTCCTACTGTAACAAGCAGACAGGATGATGTTTTGAGTCCCCAGGGAACAATGTCAGCTTAGACCCTATTTCCAACAATTAACAAAATATTTGAGTACTCCCCTTTCCAAAATATATGATTATCCAAGTAAATGGTCATAGGTCCCTTTGAGTAAGGAATGATGAAAGTGTTACTCCTTATATGTGCTATATTGCAGGATACTTCTTCCTAAGAATTTGACCTCCTTTCAGTCAATGGGTTCTGGATCTAAGAACTGGCTCAGGTCTGTCAACTGAACAAAAGATTATGACATTAAATTGCAGTGGCTGCTCTTAGCTTCCTAATCATTAATACTTGATTTCTTTTGGTTGTATAGATTGTAAAATACCATTGTTGACTACCCATCTGTTTTGCCCTTGGGAACATCATACTCTATCTCCACAGCTCACTCTGGGTCAGACATGCTTGGCTTCCACTCTGACCTTTGATTGTTACAACAATTGTATTCACCTTGCTTCTGATAGTTAAGTGCACGACCTGACTTCCGTTATTTCAGGATTATTTCATGCTCTTTACTCTTCATGATCCCACTTCTATAATATCTTCTACTGTCAGCCCTGGCCTACAGAGGAGTGCCACCACTGAACTCAAAACAAAGCTAGCCATTCTGATTACTGCAGTTCACATCACTATGGCTAATAGTTTCTTTTTTTTTTTCTTCCAGCAAGTTAAAGATGTCACCCCATTGGGTTTTTTTTGTTTTGCATATTTTCTAGATAAGAATTGTGATTTATTGTATTTGTTCTTCCCTATGTAATTTGTCTTTTTTTCTTTGACTGTTTTCAAGACTTCCTCTTTGTCAGACTACTTCCAGCAGATTGAATATGATATGCCTAGAGATGCGTGTGTGTGTGTGTGTGTGCGTGCATGTGTGATTTTAATCATGCTTGGTATTCTTTGGTTTTGGTGTTTAATTGAATCTTTGCTTTAGTGTCTGTCATTAATTTTAGAAAATTATCAACTGTTGTGTGGTTGTTGTGGTGGTGGTTGTTGTTATAAGGGTGGAAGCATGCTCTTTTCAAGTTTTTGTTTTGTTATGTTTTGTTTTCGACAGGGTCTCACCCTGTCGCCCAGGCTGAGTACGGTGGCATGATCACAGCTCACTGCAGTCTCAACCTCTGGGGCTCAGATGATCCTCCCACCTCAGCCTTCTGGGTATCTGGGACTACAGTCACGTGCCACCACACCAGGCTAATTTTTGTGTTTTTAGTAGGGACGAGGTCTCACTATGCTGCCCAGGCTGGTCTTGAAGTCCTGGGCTCAAGCAATCCGCCCACCTCAACATCCCAAAGTGCTAGGATTACAGGTGTGAGCCACCACACCTGGCCCTTTTCAGCTTTTTATATGCTAAGCAGAATCCAAAATCCCCTTAGTACTTTGACAAGTAAATTCTGTCCACTCCACAGAACATAGTCAGCTGGTGGGTGGTCTAGCCTTACATAGTATATCCATTCTAAAATTCTCTGAGCTTTCTGATTGTTTTTTCTGTGGAAGTTATGGCATTTTTACTTTTTTGCAATGTGGACCATAACATTTTCCAAGTTTCTAAGCTCCAACGCAGAATGCTATTTCACCATCTCTTAAGGTCTTTTCAGTGTTAAACCCTGTATCATGATACAGTGATCTCCTATCAGTAAACTCTCCCTTATTCAACTTTCTCTTTTGAATCAGCACCCTTAGAATCCAGTCCCGTATAGACTCTTCAGTCCCTGCTAGTGTATGTTTGCTAGGTCCTGCAACTCCTTCCATCCCTTTGCTTGCTTACCAGGCTCAGCACTTCCCCAGACATTTCATGTTGTAATTTGACCCCTTGCTATTTGTCAGGAAATATAGGAAGGAAGGTAAGGGTATATTCTGGAGGGGATGGGGGGGTTGGTGTAGACACTTTTTTTGCAAGGAAGAAACCTCTCTCTACATTGTCTATAAGCAACCACACCTCTCTACAATGTCTAAAAGAAGGAGAAAGTCAAAGGTTTAGGAAAACATAAGAATTTTAGATTTTCAAGTGTATTGACCCAGATGTTCCTGTCAGTAATCGCACTCCTTTACAAACAGGGCTGTGGATTCTGTAAATGGACCTACCATGATTGAAAATTCAACTTTCTTTGGAGCTCTGACACAACTATAATTAAGCCCTGAGTTTAATCTTCAGCCTCTTCTGACCTCTGGCAGTAAATTAGAGTTTATGCTTCCAAAGAGGCCCTCTGGTTTTACCCTTCACCTTATAATGGTAAAAAATCATCCTTCCCTTTTTATTCTTTTCCTGTAATGCATTGATCCACCCCAGGGAGAGCCATCTCATTCAATAGTCTATAAATTATGATTTCACCTGAACCTCTCAAACACCTGACCTGTCATACCTGCCAGTGTTTTTCTTTTCAGCAGTATTCGATTACTTTTTATCACTCATGAAAGTTTTAAAAATTACAATGAAAATTCATGCCAGGCTCTATTAGTGCTCCAACTACCAACAGTGATGGTAAACCAATTCTTAAGTCTCATTTTAGAATCTGCTTCCTAGGACCCATGTTATTACTATATTATGGGCAGAATTTGCTGAAGGTTGGTCATTATTGGATTATTCCAACTTGCATCGTTGCTAAAAATATATAATTTATTGAACGTCACTAAGTGCTAGAGATGATGGTAAATGCTTTGCATATATCAGCTCTTTAATTCTTTCAAGAATACAAGACAATTAATATTATTTTAGCTAAAGCTTAGAGAAATTAAGTCCTTTGTCCAAGTCCTCACTGTTTGTAAATAACAGCTTCTGGGGTGATCTGTCCTCAAAATTAACGCCCCCCAAATACTGTGCCAGAGGGCCTTGTTAGAATAAAATAAACTACATGATACTATTAAGTTTCTGTAATCTAAAATCTTTGTATTCTGAAAATATATTATTACTTTTACTGATGCTCAAGCCTTGATGTCTTTCTGCCCAGGCACATACCTGGGATAGATTCCAAGATGCACTAAAATATCATCCAGATATAAGATAAGTTCTGTTTAAAAAAAAAAATACTTAATGTATTTAATAGTACTAGGAAAAGAGGATGGATGGATTAAGAACATCAAAAAAGTTTTTAGAATCCACTCATTAAAAACCATAATTGAGGAGGGAAAGAAAGAAGGGACCACACAAACACTCAGCCCAGGTGGTTAACTTTATCTCTGTCTCCGCAGCCCAGGAAAAAGTAGTCAAACCAAGTCAACAAGAATGCATTTCTCATGATGAAATATGTTGTTACAGACTCTGTAACATTTGGCTCTATTTTTCAGGAGAGCTAGCAAAAATTTTAGCCAACCACTATACAGGTAAAAAATAAGCAAAAGAAGATAAAAATACATGCTGCAAGTACTTCCAAACAACAAAACAGCTGAAAAAGTCAAGTAAAATTGATTTTTATTCAAATTGGGTTTACCCCTGTAAGGAGACTGTTGTCTCCTCTATTACAGACTGCATAGACATGCAAGCCAATGGTTTTAATTAGATTGGTGTGGTACACAGGCTGACTTCCGTATCAGATCAGTCAGCTGATACCTGGTCCAGCCCAGTTATTACAAAATAGGTAGGCAGATATTATAGATTTCCTGAACAGGTCAAAAATTTCTTCTGCCCCTATAAATGCTCCTCTGGGAAATTAAGTAAAGCAGTTACTTTCATGTGGGAACAACATGTGTGTTCTCTTTCAGTATCAGAAGCCTTTATGAGAGGTGAAGCCAGCTGGACTTCCTGGGTTGAGTGGGAACTTGGAGAACTTTTCTGTCTGGCTAGATGATTGTAAATACACCCATCAGCACTCTGTAAAAACGCACTAATCACCGCTCTGTGTCTAGCTAAAGGATTGTAAATGCACCTATCAACACTCTGTAAAAACGCTCCAATCAGCGCTCTGTGTCTAGCTAAAGGATTGTAAACACACCAATCAGCACTCTGTAAAACTGACGAATCAGCTCTCTGTAAAATGGATCAATCAGCAGGATGTGGGCAGGGGCAAATAAGGGAATAAAAGCTGGTCACTCCAGCCAGCAGTGGCAACCCGCTGGGGTCCCCTTCCATGCTGTGGAAGCTTTGTTATTTCGCACTTCACAATAAATCTTGCTGCTGCTCACTCTTTGGGCCCGCACTACCTTTATGAGCTGTAACACTCACCACGAGGGTCTGCGTCTTCATTCCTGAAGTCAGCAAGACCATGAACCCACCGAGAAGAATAAAGAACTCCGGGTGTGCCACCTTTAAGAGCTGTAACACTCACTGCGAAGGTCTGTGGCTTCACTCCTGAAGTCAGCAAGACCATGAACCCACCGGAAGGAAGAAACTCCAGACACATCTGAACATCTGAAGGAACAAACTCCGGACACACCATCTTTAAGAACTGTAACACTCACTGTGAGGGTCTGCAGCTTCATTCTTGAAGTCAGTGAGACCAAGAACCCGTCGGAAGGAATAAATTCCGGACACATTTAGACTGAATATCAGTATTTCTCCACTACCTTTAGGCTACTTCAATCCAACTTCATGGGATTTTTTTTTTTAATTAATGAAATTTGACAGTCAAGAGTCACTTTTTACTGACAGAAAAAGAGAAGTTAGAGAGGGAAGAGTGATTTCTGTGCTTGTGGATACAGACATTCTACAGTCTGGCTGAAGCTTATTTTCTTCACTTATTTTTCCTTCACTAGTCATTTTCTCCTTTCAAATAATTACAAAAACAAACAAGTCATTCAGTTCCAGCTCAACTCAAATTTTTATGTAATAAAAAAGATGGAATTATATGTTGAAGTCTCCTCACTGGTCTTGAAAAAGCAAACAGGATCTCTCTAGGAAATTTAGCCGTCAGCTTTACATTTTTATAGCTGCAAAGATACTGGTATAATCTCTTTGGTATTATCCAAGTAAGAACCATCGAGCTGAGTAATCTACAAGATTTAATTAAAAACATATTATGTCCCACTGGGACTTTTTTCCACATCACAGAGGTAAGCCTTGTAGAATGCAGAGCATTTAGTAAAATTTTGGTTCAATGTTAACATCACAGTCTGTGAACCATTTTGCAAGATTTGGTCCAGACAACAATGATAATAAAGAAGACCTTCCATTTGTAATTTAACAAAGTACAAGAAATAATTACCACTAAATTGTTGTCTCAAATAAAGTACATATAAATACTGTTCAATATATTTATTATTACATGCATAGTGCTTCAGGAACAACACTTACACGAACTTAACATCTTAACATCTGAGACACTATATAAAATTGCTAAAAATCATTGAACACTGGCGAATGTATGTCCACCCACACACACCCCCAACAGAATGATGTTCAATATTGAACAAGTGTCATATTATACAATACCATTTACCCATACTAGTTGAGAGAAGCAGAGATCATTCAAAAGAGACTAGCCAAAGCCTTTATACTTAATTGTAAGGTTACTGTAAGAATTTTCCCCATAGAACTACTTTTCTTGAAATATTCTATTTAGTTTCGAAGAGGAAAATTTTTCAGACATTAATTTGATTTCACCTGTATTTCTAGTCATTCATATAACTTTCTCTCTCAAAAAAAAAACCCTTAATTTTTTTATGTCAATGTTGTTCAGTAGGTGTTATTAATCCTTAATGTGTTAATGATCTTCCTTAGGATAATGTTCCCAACTCTTCATAAGAAGAAGAGTCAGTTCTCCAATTACCAAAATTAATTCTTAGTATGCAACACATTCTTAAGTCAGTTGATTTGAACTTGGAAATAATGTCCCCAGAGGAACAATCTTGTAAGTGGTGGTTTTGATCCCAGCCCAGATTATACAACCAACAGAACGAAATTCACCACAGCATCCTTCCACCATGTGTGTGGTGCTTTTTAGTAGTTAAGCACATCCATTCCTCCAGGTAGGGGATAGAAACGCAGTTGTCCCAGCTCCACAGTGAGAGCAGATAATTTCTGCTCTGGTCACAGTAGCTCAGAGTGGGGATCCAAGGATGTCCAGGGGCAGGCTGCTCTCCTGGGAGCTGTCCCCATGAAGGAGCTCCTTGCTGGGAGCAGAGGGAGCCTCAACCAAAGGCTTCCCAGCTGCTTCTGCTCTGCTCCCCTTAAAGAAGGCTCTCCAAGCAGCAGCCCAGGAGAGTCTTTACAATGAAAACTAGATCTTGTGGCTTTTCATATCAAAACTCTCCAAGGTTTCCCATCACACTTTGAAAAAAAATTCTAAGTCCTTACCCAGACCTGCATGATCTGGCCCCTGGCTGCTTCTCTGGTCCATTCCCAGCCAGTCTACCCCACCTCCCCACCCCACTCACTCTGCTCCAGCCACTTTGGCCTCCCTGTAATTTTTCAAACATTTCAAGCATGTGCCTACTTCAAATCCTCTGCCCCTGCTGATTTCTCTATCTGGAAAGCCCTCCTCTAAGAGGAGACATGGCTGGCTTCCTCACTTAATCTCCATCTCTGCTCTAATGCAACCTTCTTAGAGGAAGAGGTCTTCTCTGGTGGCTACAAAATAGCACTCCAGACACAATCAATTGCCCCACTTCATTTTTTATCACAGCACTTAATAGTCTCAGACTCATATTATATATTTGCTTATCTTCCTTAGGATAGTGTAAGCCCCATTAGGGCAAAAAAATTTTTTTACCACTTTATTTTCTTAAACAGTGCATTCCTCATAGTACACGTTTCACTATATGTGTCAAATAGATGAATGAGCAGTTTGGCTTTAAAAAAAATAAGAAAAAGAAAATGTTCACAAATCACAAGGCTAAAGTTAAAATTGGCTTCTATCACCTCAAAATTTACCAGCCAATCCCAGAGAATGGCGGTTGGCAATACAATAATTAAATATTTCTCTGAACAAAGAAAAGTCTGGAAAAATAACCAGTGATTTTTTAAATGAGTGTATGGTAACTTTCGTCTTATCACTTTGTGCCCTGATTGTAACCAGAAATGCAAAATGCTGTCTAAAACCGTACTCTCCCTACTCCTATATATTTTCCAAATTGTGCATATCTATATAGTCTTCCAAAGCTCTTGGCTCAAATGGCAATTACTTAAAGCTACTGGAATTCCCAGATGCAGCATCTTCACCTTCATCACACTGCAGCCTTTAAGGCTTAGAGAGACACATTATACTCAACAGGAGTGAGGACTGCTAATGGTGGAATGACAGAATGTTAAACCTGAGACACCTAAGAAACTATTTAATCAGCCGCCTAAATTTATATGTAAACAGATCAAGACCCAAAAACAAGAAGCCACTGATGAACATTTACTATTTTATTAAACACTTTCATAAAAAGGTTTTGTTTATAAGGGATTATTTACCATTTTCCCTGTTTTTGTTGATTTACAAGGGTCTTAGTTTCATGCTGCTATAACAGAGTATCACAGACTGAGTAATTTATAAGGAAGAGAAATTTATTTCTCACAGTTCTGGAGGTAGGGAAGTCTAAGATCAGGGCACCAGCATCTGATGAGGTATTTCTTACTGTGTCACCCGGGCTGAAGGGCAAAGAGAAGGCAAGAGAGAGCAAGAGGGGCTGAACTCATCCTTTTATAAGGAATCCACTCATGTGAGAATGGCATTAATCCATTCATGAGTGCAGAGACCCCATGATCCTAACACCATCCATTACGTCCCACCTCCTAACACCATTGAATTTGTGATCAAGTTTCTTACTCATCAACTTGCAGACACATTCAAACCATAGTAACAAACATAAACTTGTTTTGTTTATTTTCCAGTTGTTTCTTTAATGAACAGCTCTTTAGAACCTGTTGTAGCTGGGCGCGGTGGCCCACGCCTGTAATCCCAGCACTTTGGGAGGCCAAGGCAGGTGGATCACGAGGTCAGGAGATCAAGACCATCCGGGCTAACACGGTGAAACCCCGTCTCTACTAAAAATACAAAAAATTAGCCAGGCATGGTGGTGGGCACCTGTAGTCCCAGCTACTCGGGAGGCTGAGGCAAGAGAATGGCGTGAACCTGGGAGGCAGAGCATGCAGTGAGCCGAGATCGCGCCACTGAACTCCAGCCTGGGCGAAAGCAAGACTGTCTCAAAAAAAAAAAAAAAAAAAAAAACCTGTCGTAGTGAACGGCTGTTGATTTTTGCCTGCTTAGTAACCCTCAGTTCCTCTCCAGACATACACAACTCTAAATCACTAACTTTTTCCACATCTTGAGGCTAAGTCCTTGGATGGAGCTGAAACTGTCCTCAGATACAGAATGACTTCGTAGCTCTTAGTTAGTTTCATGCTGCTATAACAGAATAACAGAGTAATTTATAATGAAGAGAAATTTCTGAACAAAGAAAAGTGCCCTGATTATAACCAGAAATGCAAAAATGCTGTCTACAACTGCATTCTCTCTACCCCTACATATTTTCCAAACTGTGCATATCTATGTAGTCTTCCAAAGCTCTTGGCTCAAATGGCAAGGTTCAGATTGGAAAATTGCCTCTGACCCTAGACTTGTTAACTGGGGAATAGACAGGAAAATAACCTCTGACCCTAGCCTGGTTAACAGGGGAATAGACTAGCCCTCTCCACAGTAAATGGTTTGTGGATAAATACATGACCCAATTAACACTAATTGCAGGACTCAGAAGTCCAACTCACAAGAGTCAACAGGAGAGGAAAATTCAGTGGGCCACCAGGGGGAAGCCTACTTAAAAAGTTAGCCAACACAATTAAAAGCAGAGACAAGAGATGGAATGAACTATCCAGCTATGTCTACACCTTGATTTTTATGTTACTTGGGTCAATACACTGAGTTGAGTTTTCTGTCACATGGCACCAAAAGTATATGAACTAAGAAATAACTGCAAAGTGTTGTATGAATTTACAGAAGAAAAACAAATACAGGGTTATAATATAGTATTTGAACACACAACAATAGAGCTTTCCACATTGACTTGCCTTCAATAAAGACGACCAGCCTTCTAAAACTGGAAGCAGTATAAATATATAGTTAGAAAGTTTCTTGGCTCTGGTTTAAAGCAAGGGATCTACTGCCTGAGTTTTAATCATCTGCATTTCTTCTTCTATCCCAGTCTCTAAGAGAAATAAATGCCAGTAAATTGTTCTAGAAAGAAAAAACTTTGTGAATCAAATTTCTATTTTTACTGGCTTATAAAAAAGTTCTTAATATAAAAAGATACTATAATTCTTTAAAACTGCAGCTGCAAAAAAATTAAGGTCAATTGGAAGATTTGTTTTTATTCTTAAGACAAATAAATAGATGACTGTAACAACTGAATACATAACTATCCACAGTTCCTGTGGCCTACAAATGTAGCTACAGAAAAGATGCTGTCCAGCATAGCAGCTTTCAGCTGGGCAGAGTAATAGTGCCCAGCCAGAAAAGCTCAATTTTCCCTTCTCTGTGTGAGATCACTCACCTAATAGAGCTGGAAATAATAATAACTAGCAAAACAAAATGGTACACTGAGATAAGCGCTTTCCAATTTGAACCCTGTTTAAAAGGGAGGATATAGTAAAAATCCTTTTTTAGCAACACTTTTTCCCATCCCAAAGAGCTTTAGAAGGTTTAATGTGCTCTCAGTTTTCTCTGGAGGGCCACAATCCATGAGTCATTTGGCTAAGTAATCTGCGTTCCAGACTTTTCTTTACTCAGAAGAATGTTTAGTTATTGTATGGCCAACTACTCCTATTTAGCTAACTTAGCCTTTACTACCAGGCATTGGCGGGGAAATTGAATTCAAGCATTTATTTGAAGGAGGTAGAGTCACAGTTGTTATGATTATCCATGGCTGTGTCTATATAGAAACAAAAGTTCTGCTTGTAAACATTAATGTAGAAAATTAAATCAACCCAAAGATTTCGGGAGAAAAAAAATACTCTTACTTTTTTAAGTAAGTAAATTGATACCAATGTATTTTTACTATGAATTAGATGGAAAGCTTCTTTACTTTATTTGTATTCTTTACTTATATTCGTAAAAACAGCAAAAATGAATGGAATGTTCCATTAATTCAAAAGTGGATTGACATAGTAAAGATGTCCATTCTCCCCAAATTGATCTATAGCTTTAATGTAATTCCTAACAAAATCCCAACAAGGTGTTTCATAGATACAGACAGGCTTATGGGCACAAGAAGCCGAAATAATTTTGCAAAAGAAGAGTAAAATGACAGGAATCGCTCCACCCAATATTACAGCTTCCTGTATAGCTACAGTAATCAAAATAATGTGGTGTTAGTGGAGGGATAAGTGCGTAGATCCACAGAACAGAAAACCTAGAAATAGGCCCACACAAATATGTCTGACTGTTTTTTTTTTTAAGATGCAAAAGCCATCAATGGAGAAAGAATAGCCCTTTCAACAAATAGTGCTGGAGCAATTAGACATTTATAGGCAAAAAAAATAAAAAAAAAAATCCTCAACCTAATCTTCATAACTTACACAAAAATCAACTCAAAATGATCATACATTTAAATGTAAAAGTAAAACTATCAAAATTTTAAGAAAAATACAGGAGAAAATATTCAGGACCATAAGCTAAATGAAGAGTTCTTAGATTTGATACTAACAACACAATCTATTAAATAAATAAATAAATAAATTGAGCCGGTTCAAAATTAAAATTTTTTGCTTGGTGAAAGTCTCTGTTAAGAATATGAAAAGACAAGCAGCAGACTAGGAAAAAATATTTGTAAATCACATCTCACATCTCTGACAAAGGACTTGTAATATCAAATATATTTAAAATTCTCCAACTCAACAGTACTAGGTTCCACTTTCAGAAATGAAGGGCTTGAAGGCCTCTGCAGACCTACTCCACAAAGAAAAACCATAACTAGTAAAATTACCAAAAAAAAAAAAAACTACCTCTTTGAGTCTGTGACATGTGAACTACAGCCCACTCTCACCCTCCCCCTCCTACCTCAGTGAAAAAAAATTTCACTTTGGATGGGTACAGCCAAGAACACGGGAATCCTTCTCCCTTTATCTCCCCAGGAGGGGCAGTCCACCATCATTTCTCATCCTTTCTCCAGATCCATGTTGCAGAGGCTAAATTCCAGATGAGTGCAGCTGAGCAGTCAGCGGCTCCCTTCCTTACCCAGTTTGTAGACTAGAGGGTCTTCCCTAGACAAGGCCCTAGATTCCGGCAAAAATACTGAGAAACTGGACCACTCGTGCATTGCTGATGGGACTGTAAAATGATACAATCATCCTGGAAAAGAGTATGGCAGTCTCTTACAAAACTAAAGATGCACTTACCATATGAACCACAAATTGCACTCTTGGACATTTATCCCAGAGAAATGAACATTTACGTTCACACAAACCCTGTACATGAATATTCATAGCAGCTTTGTTCATAATAGACAAAAACTGGAAGCCATCCAAATGTCTTTCCATGCATGAGCAGTTAAACAGATTGTGGTTCATCAAGCCATAGACTACTACGCAGTAATGGAAAGGAATTGATACACTAATCAACTTAGATAGATCTCAAGAAAATTATGCTGAGTGAAGAAAAAGCCCATCTAAAAGTCCATCTTAAAAGGTTACATACTATATAATCCCATTTGTATTACATTCTTGACATGACAAAATAATGGAAAGCAAATTAGTGGCTGCCAAGAATTGAAGTTAGGTGGCTATGCAAGGATAGCATGAGGGTTCCTTGCAATGGAATTCTTCTGTATCTTGACTGTGGTGGTCGTCACATGAATGTACCCAGGTCATAAATTGCATAGGGCAAAATACATAGACAAAATACACACACACCCACAAGTAAGTGCATGGAAAGCTGGTAAAATCTGAATGTGAATGGGTCGTCTCCACATCAGTTTCTTGTTTGTGCTTTTGTATCACAGTAATGTAGGAATTACAATAGAGGAAACTGGATGAAGGGTACATGGAATTTCTGTGTATTATTTCTTACAACTGCCTGTACATCTACAATTATCTCAAAATTAAAAAAAAAGAGTTTAATAAAAGCAAACTGATGGCACACAAAGTTGAATGATCAAAGGATTTTTAGACAAGCTCGGCTGAGCTACTCACATCATTACTACCATTTGAAACAGAAAATTTGCCTTTATTTTGCCTTACTGTGGCCCTTTAAGAAATAAAAGACATGAAAAATAGTATTTGAGAGCTACTTTCTCCAGCTATGCTCTGTGACCGCTAACAGGTTGAGAAATTTGTTTTCGTTAATCATAGGTCTTGCCACACAGGTGATACACAGGTGATTCGGTGCTGAGAAAGCACACGGTCAGTGGTGTCGTGGGCGTGAACCAAGTCCTGGCTTTGTCTCCTGCACAAGCTGTGAAATAGAATATGTGACTTGCCCACTCTCAAAGTCAGACCTGTAAAATGGTGTAAGAATAATATCTAACAGAATTTTGTAAAAATTAACTATGATCTGAAAAATAAAGATAAGTAAATGGACTTCGTAAAGGATTAAACAGTTATTGCTGTGAAATTGGCATTTCAGAGCTTACCTAGCCAAATCCTGAATTTTATGGATGAGAAACCTGAGGTCAAGAAAAGTGAGTGTCTAACAGTAGACATAGAGCAGCTTGTTAGATAAAGAGCGAGGGCTTTGGAAGACCAGTCCCTTTTTCATAAGAGAAAGATTTTAAACATTTGAAGGAAATCACCTGCAATTCTACTTTATTTTAATGTCTTCACTGCACCCAGGAGATTATACATATATTATTATTGTTTCATAAATGAGGACAGTTTCAAAAACCAAAGCAAACTGCATAGGCAAATTCTAACAATGTACTTTAATTTCATATACCTTTTTTTGTCACAGTGTTAGTCCCAATTTGAAAACCAGCAGTTTTTCTTCCCTTCATCTCAACAAAAAGAGAGCAAAGTTCAGGATTTGTAGACATTTGTTTCTAAATTTTTTATGGGATAATATAATCAAGCACCTCGGTAAATTTTTATTCATTAAAATACAAATTCTGTCAGCTTAGTCATTGCCTTTACCTGTGGAAAATGAACTTTTTGTTCTTTTTCCCTTTATGGAAAGCTGAATAGAAATGTTAGGATTTTGTTTTATAGCAGTGTTTCATTCTCCAAGTCTACTTGTCTCAAGACTTTTTATAATGCATTATATACCTGGATTTTTCAAGTTCTCACCTGAGCCAGTAATAAGACGTATATTTAAGGAGGTGCCTTTTTCTGAGCCCCTAGGCCAGGAATATATTCATCTTTATGTACACATGTTCTGATAACCCCATATAACCTTATGTCTTATTCTTTAACAAGTTTCTTTTATAAGCCAGCCCTGCTGAAACAATAACCTTAAGCTCCCTAAGGGTTTCCACTACCATAATGTCAGCTTTCCTGGACTTCATTTTGTCACTACAATTCCCCATGGCTGTGTAATAATAAAAACTTCTACGTGTACAGCACTTTAAATATTTCAAAGCGTATTAACCCATATCAGTTTTAGCCTGTGAGTCCTTGCCCATGCTCTTTTTTTTCTGTTTAAAGGTGAGGTTGAAAACAGAGAGGACAGAGACTGCCTGTGTTCTTAGGGTTGGAACCTTGGACCAAAAAGCAGGGTTCCTTCGGACTCTGGCTCCGTTTCTTCCCTGACTGGCAGCCAGTACTCATGACTTCTTGCTCTGAGCTTTCAAGAAGACTGGATCCGTCACTTTAGAACAGACTCGACCTAGACAGTCTACCAAGGTAAAATCTTGTATCTCAGGAAACCATGGGCTCTCACCTCCTAGGGTGTTCAACCATAAACTGAATGACTAATTAAAGTGGATTCAGTCAAGTGGGTGGTTAGACACGAAGACACGGAAGGTCATTTCTACCACTGACATTCTGTAATTATAACAAAATATGTTTTAAAGTCTAAACTACAATATTTTTTAGTAAATTGCTTTCTCATTTTTTTTCTTCCTTACAAACTATGATTGTTAAAAAGGAAAAAAACAACATGCAAAAGGAATTGAGTAAAAAAAGGCTAACAGTGGCCGGGCGCAGTGGTTCACACCTGTAATCCCAGCACTTTGGGAGGCCAAGGCGGCTGGATCACTTGAGGCCAGGAGTTTAGACCAGCCTGGACAACATGGAGAAACTCCATCTCTACCAAAAAAATACAAAAAATAAGCTGGGCGTGGTGGCACATGCCTGTAATCCCCACTACTCAGGAGGCTGAAGCAAGAGAATCACTTGAACCCGGGAGGCAGAGGCTGCAGTGAGCGAAGATCACACCACTGCACTCCAACTTGGGTGACAG
This sequence comes from Homo sapiens, assembly GCF_000001405.40. NCBI lineage: Eukaryota > Metazoa > Chordata > Mammalia > Primates > Hominidae > Homo > Homo sapiens. The sequence goes on from NC_000002.12 coordinate 195,503,955, forward strand.
AGCAAGACTCTGTCTCAAAAATAAAAAGCAGGCCAGGCACGGTGGCTCACGCCTGTAATCCCAGCACTTTGGGAGGCCGAGGCAGGCAGATCACGAGGTCAGGAGATCAAGACCATCCTGGCCAACATGGTGAAAATCCGTCTCTATTAAAAATACAAAAATTAGCTGGGCGTGGTGGCACACACCTGTAATTCCAGCTACTCGGGAGGCTGAGGCAGGAGAATCGCTTGAACCCGGGAGTTGGAGGCTGCAGTGAGCCAAGATCGCCACTGCACTCCAGCCTGGCGACAGAGCGAGACTCTGTCTCACAACAAAAACAAAAACAAAAACAAAACAAAAGAAAAAGAAAAAAAGCATAATGGCGTGTAAATGTTTGTCTCAAGAATACTCTCTGCCATTAATAAATTCACTTTTTTTTTTTTTTTTTTTTTTTGAGATGGAGTCTTGCTCTGTCACCCAGGCTGGAGTGCAGTGGCCAGATCTCAGCTCACCACAACCTCTGCCTCCCAGGTTCAAGCGATTCTCCCACATCAGCCTCCCGAGTAGCTGGGACTACAGGCATGCGGGAGCTACCACACCTGGCTAATTTTTGTATTTTTAGTAGAGACGGGTTTCGTCATATTGGCCAGGCTGGTCTCAAATTCTTGACCTCAAGTGATCTGCCCGTTTCGGCCTCCCAAAGTGCTGGGATTATTGGCATCAGCCACTGGGCCTGGCCTACATTAATAAATTCTTCATTGTTTTTCCTTCTACTAGTTACTAGTTTCTCCTCCCTCCAATTGACCCTCTATATTAGTGTTGTCCATTAGAACTTCCTGTGATGATGGAAATGCTATCCAATGCAGTCACCACATCTAGCTATGAAGCTATTTGTGTAATATGAAGCCATATTACACGAAATATGGCTATAGTAACCAAGTAACTCAATTTTTAATTTCATGTCGTTTTAATGAATTTTAATTTAAATAGCCATGTATGGCTAGTGGTTACCATATTTCACAGCACAACCTCATGACCATCAAATTAATAGTCCCCAAAACAACTCTGCTGCCCTGCTTAAAAATTTCTCCTAGATCCCATTTGAGAATGAGAGGTGGCAGAATATGCCACCACAAAATATACCACCTTGGCATAAGGATTCTTTTGAGCTCGAGGCACTTGAAAAGAAGCAGATACAAGAAGAACTCTGACCTTCTTCTTTCTCTAAAGAGCAGAAGATGAAATTGCTATGTGAAAGATGGCCTCCCTATACCAGAAGGAAAGTAACATTCTTATCAAGGATGAGTTGAGGCCAAGAGAATTCTGTACAGCCAGACCTCGTTCAAGATTTCATCTTCCTTTAGCCTTCCCACACAGTTTAGTCTTTGTTCAACCTACTATATAAGCATTTAGGTTTTGCCACTTCTTTGGGTATTCATTTCCTTATGAGGGCTCCCATGTCATGTAAAACACATAATTATGTATGTTTTTCTCCTGCTTATGTCTTACGTCAATTTAATTCTCAGGCCCAGACAAAAACTCTTAGGAGATAAAGATGAAATTTTGTCTCCCATGCAACCACATCGCTGTTTCTCAAACTTCCCTGTCAAAATACAACTAACAGTTGAGACTGGAGAGCATACTACTAAGTCCAGAAGTTTAACTTAAAAACTGGACAAGTTGGAAATTAATTTAATGTTCTTTTTATCTTTAAAATATGTGTAAATTTTGCCATCCTCTACCTGACATAACCAAATTTCTCTTAAGATATAAAGGTTTAAAATATCTTGCCATCAGATAAAAGAACAAAAATTTCCTATGTCCTTCACTGATCAACAGGTGAGAAGCTATTGCACTAATGATACCACTAATGAAACTAACCACTAACAATTTGAGAAAGTTCAGTAAAATGAATGATTGCTGCGGCTGCTGAAACATACATCAGGTTTTATACTTAATCAATTTCCCTTCTGGGTATGAGTGTCATATTTTGAGAACTGAGATTCACCTAAGTATGGGGTTATAATGGCAATGGTTTCGGGTTTGTTTTTTTTTTTAACTTTAACAACTGTGTCAGAATAATAATTGTCAGAATGTTGCCAAAAGTGTTGATGAGTGAAAAATAGTTTTAGGTATTTGCTGGTGGATAAATTTAACCTGTACCAGTTTATAGAGGAGTAAAATCTCTGGTTTCTTATGATCAATGATACAATGTGTTTTACTTTCAAAGGAAAGATTTATTAAATCATTTTTCCAGTGTATAAAGATGGCTGATGTTCTTTATTTTATTGTAAATACAATTTTCATCACATAAAAAATATATGCTAAACTCATTTAAGAATCATTCTTTTTCGGACAGGTGCAGTGGCTCACTCCTGTAATCCCAGCACTTTGGAAGGCCGAGGCAGGCAGATCACCTGAGGTCGGGAGTTCAAGACCAGCCTGACCAACATGGAGAAACCCCGTCTCTACTAAAAATAAAAAATTAGCCGGGCGTGGTGGTGCATGCCTGTAATCCCAGCTACTGGGGAGGCTGAGGCAGGAGAATTGCTTGAACCCAGGAGGCGGAGGTTGCGGTGAACTGAGATCGCACCATTGCACTCAGGCCTGGGCCACAAGAACGAAACTCCATCTCAAAAAAAAAAAAAAAAAGAATCATTCTTTTTCAATAAGATAAATAATACATTTGTAACATGAAAAAATTAATATGGTCTTCACAGAAGAGTTCAATAAGGCCATGTTCTTTATTTTCTATAATTAAATTAAACCACTTTATGAGACCCAATTTCACTGATGGAGGAAGAGCAACGTGCATTTAAATTTGCTGATTAAACCTAATTCACATTTTCTTGCTTAAAACACTCTCTCACAGAAATATTCAGTCAATTCAAAATATACCTTCCTATGAGGGCATTTTTCTTTCCCTCCTCCTTTTTCCTAAGATAGAGTCTGCATTCAAAGTAAGCTTTTCAAAGCTTCATAGCAAGAAGCAAGACCTCTAGTTTATTTAACCTTGAAAAGACCAACAAGCAATTTTTCCTTTGCGTAGGAACTGTGCTTTTGATAGCATTGTCTCTATCTACAATGTTCTTCTATTTTGCTGCAAGATTTCTTGTGATTTTTCTCCTTTGAAATGTGTCTGGTTTTTTTTAATATCATTGCAAAGATAATGGCTACAAGAGGCATCATGTTGTAGATTCATTTACATCTCCTCAATCGCAAGCTCCATATTTTAAACAAACATCTCCTATATATCTCTCTTAATCTAATCTCTTTTAATTTGGTTTTTCTGTGCATTTTCTAGCTGTGTTTGTCGTGGTGCTCCCACCTTCTTTGTTGCCAGTGCCAATGCCAGGGTCAGATTGCTCTAAACTTTCCTTATTACCATGAATATTTACATTGGCTTTAAGCATCCTATTTTTGTCCACTGCTCTATGTTCCTGAAACCGCCCAATGGGTTCTCCTTGCCTACTGCCTAGACAGGGCCAATTTATCAAGACAAGGGACTTGCAATAGAGAAAGAGTTTAATTCATGAAGAGCTGGCTGTGTGAGAGACTGGAGTTTTATTATTACTCAAATCAGTCTCCCAGAGAATTCGGGAACTGGAGTTTTTAAGGATAATTTGGTGGGTAGCAGGCCAGTGACTCAAGAGCACAGATTGGTTGGCTTAGAGATGAACTGATAGGGAGTTGAAGCTGTCCTTTTATGCTGACTCAGCTCCTGGGTGGGGGCCACAGGACTGGTTGTCAGGTCCCAGTGGGGACATCCCATTGTCAGAAATGCAAAAACCTGAAAAGACATCTCAAAGGCCAATTTTAGGTTCTACAATAGTCACGTTATCTTCAAGAGTAATTGGGGAAGTTGCAAATCTTATGACTTCCAGAATAATGGCTGGTAATTATTTAGAATTCAAGCTCCTCTCATCCTAACTTGGTAGCCTTTCAATAGTTTTACAAGAACAGTTTAATTTGGGGGAAGGGCTATTGTTTAAACTATAAACTTAATTTCTTCCAAAGTTAGCTCTGCCCACGCCCAGGAATGAGCAAAGATAGCCAACATGTGAGCTACAGACAAGATGGAGTCAGCCATGTCAAATTTCTCTGTTTGACAGTTTCCTGCTGTAATTTCCTCAGTTATAATTTTTGCAAAGGTGGTTTCATTCCCAATTGTCTTTATAATTTTCTGTTATTATATGATTAAAATGTAAACTGACAGGAAAATTATCTAAAACTTCCATACAGTATCACTACTTCTGTATTATCAGAGAATACACTGCAGGAAGTCGAGCCAAGCATACCAGTGATCACATGTTTACAGACTAATCTTCCTTTGGCTGTAGTTCTAGAAGAAAGTTGATCAGATATGTGGACTGTTTGTGTATTTGTGTAGCAAACATTTTCAAAAAATAGTAGTACTGACTCATAAACTGGTAAACATGTGTTTCTCAAAAAAATAAAATAAAATAACTCTTGGTGAGCCTTCCAGGACTCATGGAGGAGGTTCATTTTTCAGCTAACCTGCCTCATAGACTAGAATCTGCTATGTGGACCTGCAACATTAACCAATGTAGTAGACACTGTCAGGCTGGAGCCAAGGAAGGCCTTTTTGCCCCAGCTTTTTCAGCTGTCAGGTCCTTCAGGGTCAGGCACAGCTGCGAAGAGCCTCCTTGTCTAGGTCAATGCCCTTCTCAAGAAGGTCTACATCCAATGACTGATACATGGAGGCTGGGTCATTTCAACCCCATGCAGAGCCACACTGACAGAGCATCTTTAGTTCCAAGTTTCTCCATGGAGTCTGCAGAGGCTATCACAGGGCCTGCTTTGCCACTTGACTTCTCTTCCAGCTCAATCCTGCATCCTTTCCCTTCTTGCCACAGTAAACTTCCTACATGCTAATCTCAGTCTTGGTGACTGATTTCTGGAGAACTCAATCTGCTGCCACATAAGCTCACTTTCCTGAAATATTAGTCCTGTTTCTTACAGTACTGATACCGTCATAACAAACAATTATCTGATTTTCTAGTCATTCACTAAACATAAAATATTACATAAACCATCTAACTTAGTGGTTCTAAATGAACCACTGGAGAGATTTTTTTTTTTTTTTAGTATTAGTATCCAGACCAATTAACTATGGGAACAGGCCCCAGGAATCAGTATTTTTTAAGAGCTTTCCACGGGGTTCTAAAGTGTAACCAGGATTGAGAACACTCAATGCTTTCAGGAAAAAATATACAACTCACCAAGGAGGGAGAAAAGGATTCTGCTGCATTTGCCTATGCTTACGTATGCTAAAACATGTTCCCACCACCTAATATGCTAGCCAGTTTGCACACACACCATCACCTCTGCTTTTGCTCATGTTCCAGTGGGTGAACTATTCGTGCTTCAAGGCCAGCTTCTCCATCTGTGCAATGGATCCCATCTTCTCAAGGACCTCTCTCTAGACAATGCCCCCTTCTGTTCTGCACCATTACTTTTTCTTTCTCCACTGTATTGTTTCCGTTAGCATGCAAACAGCCAGAGATGTCTCCATTCTTTACAAAAAGAAAAATCTCAACCCCAAATTCTTCTCCAGCTACTTCCAGTCTTCCAGCTACTGCCTCATGCCTCTCTCCTTTTTCAGGCAAATGTCTTCAAAAAGTTAATTGTATATGCTTTCACCATTTCCTCACCTTCCATTCTCTCTTGAGCCTACTTTAATCAGGCTTTTATCCCAACCCTCCAACCAAAGATGCTTTTATCAAGGGTGCAGTGACATCGACATTGCCAGACTTAGTCCACATATTGCTAAATCTGTCACAAGCCTTTGACACAGTCCATCACTTCCTCCTTGGACACTGTCTCAAGTGTCTGGTGTCCTGAATAGCACACCCTCTTGAGATTCTCCTCCTGCCCTAATGGTCTCAGCCCTCCTTGCTGGCTCCTCATCTTCCCAGTCTCTACACATCACTTTGCTGAATGAGGGGATTATCCCAGTTTTATGGCTTTAAATATCATCTCAATGCTTGGGATACTCAAATGTATATTCCCAATTCAGACTGTCCCCCGAATTCCAAGCTTATTTACCCCAACTATCTCTTTCAATCTCCACTTGGATATCTAATTATCATGTCACACTTAGATCATGCCAATTCTTCTCAGTCTCGGTAAATAACACCACCAACCTAGTTGCTCTTGCCAATATCTTTTTTTTTTCTTTTTTCTTTTTGGAGTCAGGGTCTCACTCTGTCACTCAGGCTGGAGTGCAGTGGTGCGATCATGTCTCACTGCAGCCTCAACCTCCTCGGGCTCAGGTGATCCTCCCACCTCACACTCCCAAGTACCTGGGACTACAGGCACATGCCACCATGCCCAGCTAATTTTAGTATTTTTTGTAAAGACAGGGTTTTGTCAGGTTGCCCAGGCTGGTTTCGAACTCCTGAATTCAAGTCATCCACCTACCTTGGCCTCCCTGAGTTCTGGGATTACAGGCATGAGTCATTGTGCTTGGCTCCAAAATCTTTAAAGCCTATCTAAAATGTTCTCTTTGATTTCATGCCACAAAATTTGTTAGCTCCACCTTTAAAATATATTTAGATTAAGACCTCTCTTCATCACCACCCTGCTGTCACCCTAACAAAGCAACCATCATCTCTCAAAATAAATCCTAATGTCCTTAGGGCTTCCTAGGCCTACTCTTTATGCCCCAGGCTACCTATCCAGGTGAATCTCTTCCAGTTCTCCTCCATGAATTTCTGTCTCACAGAATGCATGTACCATTGCACTTTGTAACGTCAGTCTCTCCCACCAGACAATGATCAGATTCTTAGTTGTCTCTTTATACCCATTCACAGTGCACTGACTGAGCACAAATTTAAGGTTTCAATAAATGGTAAGTGAATGAATAATGAATGAATGAATGCTACAATATTGATTATAATGGATAAAGAGATATATTGACCGGCTTGACAGAAAACTCGAGGTTATTATTAGCTACATTCTCTGTGCATGCTAACTGGGAAGAATTTCACACTTGCTTTGATGTATTCATTTTTCTCCTGGATTCAGTTGGTAAAATTAAATTGTCTTTCTTCTTTGCAGAGGCTGATTAATTTAAACAAAAGGGCATGTGTAGTGACCCTCACAGCATACTAACCAACTTAGTTGACTCCAATAATTCAATATATACAAAGAAAGCCTGTTAAAACAAGGCAGGAGCTAATGAAGCCAACAAAATCAGTTCTAAAAGTTTAGAAGGTCCCTAATAATCTATATATCGTTAAATTATTTCAAAATTTTTTATAAAGAGATTACGTAGCTGTTACACATTCCTGGATAACTTTAGTTGCAGAATATAATCTCTCAAAAGTTCTGGCCATTTTTATTTTTTATGTAATTCTATTTGATATTAGTTCAGAGAGGCCCAAAATTAAAATTAATGCGTATTTCCCTAATGAGAGTGACTTCATGATTTGCATTCACATTAATTTTCAACAGCCTTACTTAAAATTGTTTTGAATTAGAGTTTTGTAATTAGGACTTAACATTTAAATCACATTCAGGAGACTGTGCATATGGGTAAACAGACTGCCAGAATAAAGTATGAGCTAACAAAATAGTAATCTATTACTTAAAGGCATTTGGTAAGTCATATTGTATTTATCCTTTTACATCTTCTTACAAAAATATTCTCTTAAGTTTCTTAGCCACAGTTCATCCCCCTCATTTGACCCACACTTGCTCACAGTGATGTCACCTTCACCATTCCATCCCAGACCTTCAAACCTTTGTGAAATCCTGTGAGCCAATGACACAAGGGGGAAATTCAGTAAAATACTAACACGTTTATGTTCCTGCTAACCTGAGGTCCGCTCTCTTTTCCCCAAATCATAGCGTAGCCTCCAATAATGCATTTCCCAACTTAAAATATCACCTTCCCACTATTCTATTTAGAAACTGGCAAAAACTATAAGATCAGGTGTTCACACATTTGCTTTTTAAATTTGAGCACCATTTTATCGGTTTTCTTGCCTGACAACCCTCCCATGTTCCACTCATGTCTAGTTTTTGATATCCTAGCATTGTCTGTTTACCTCTAGTGCAAGGTTTCACAACCTCAACACTACGGATATTTGGGGCCTGGTGATTGTTTGTTGTGGGGGGCTGTTGTGTGCATCATAGGATGGTTAGTATCCCTGAGTTGTGCCCACCAGAGATGACATTAACAACTCCTCCCACCCTCACCCTGGTTGTAACAACCAAAAATGTTTTCAGATGTTATCAAATGTCTTCTGGGGACATAGGCGGAAGGACAAATTGCCCCAGTTGAGAACTGCAGCTCTGTGATGACTGAAGTTAAAGGTTTTTCCAAATGACACAACTGAGATTCAAATTCCAAGATCACTGGGATTCAAATCTACATCATCTTAATCCACAATGCATTGTCTTTCCCATAAAATGAGAAATCTTGCACTAGATAGATGCCAATTTAGCCATGGTGTGCTCCTGGAGATCATGAGTGTAATGACGTGTGATGGTTAATTGTATGTGTCAATTTGGAGGGTATTTTTGGATGAGATTAACATTTAAATCAGTAAACTTTGAGTAAAGCAGATTGCCTTCTGTAATGTGAGTGGGCCTCATTCAATCAGTTGAAAGCCTAAGAAGAACGAAATGATTGGCCACCCCCTCAAGAAAGAAATTCTAGCAGACTGTCTTGGGATGGAAATGCACCATCAGCTCTTCTGGGTCTAAAGTCTTCTGGCCCACACTGAAGATTTTGGACTTGCCAGCCTCCATTAATTGTATGCACCAATTCTTATATAATGTATACACATGCTATTGATTCAATGTCTCTGGAGAATCCTAATACATGCCATAATTGAAATAACAATATGTATGTTTTCTTCCCCTTCACACACTGTTCCCCGAGTCAACAGAGTCACCCACACTGCCTTGAGAAGGAAAAGCAATGTTTACTTTTGACTCCTGAATGTTGTCAAATAATCAAAAGGGAAGGTTTAAGGGAATTAACACCCATAGTATCTATGATAACAGAAGAATTATAAAGAAAATAGAGAAGGTGAGAGGTGTGGGGCAAGAGAAAATGGTCTGGTCCTGGTGGGTCCCATGAGAAGTTGCAGAACTAATACTGAGAGCCCAAAGAATACTGGGGGGATGGCCAGTGCTTGGGAGCCAGGCCAAGGCCTGGAGAAGAACAAGTGAGGGAGCACCTCGCATCACCTGGATGATGGAGAACCACACTGACTGCCATCTTGTAACTACAGTGTGGCCATCAGCCGCCCATGTGTTGCCTGTCAATTGTGCTGCAAGACTTTTCAGAGGCCCATTCGAACTGCTCAATGTAGAAGCAACCCCTCTTTTTCAATGGCCAGGGCACTTATAAGCCTCTTCGCAAACAGAGTTTTGGGTTCCTGGGTACTCAGAGATAAGGAAGGGAAAGTCGCTGCTTTGGTGTAATCATGAATGCTCATGCTGTGCCTCCTCATGCTGAGAACGACATCCAGTGATAAAGAAAGGTCATGAAACGGGAAGTATGGTCTTTACTACGTTGAGTAGCTAAATATAACACAGGGAAACGCAGGATCACCTTTAGTATGGCTTTTTAAGTTCTGAGAAATCAAACTTTCCTATAGCTGCCTTGTTTTAAATCATAAATGGCTTTTCTGACTGGGTGCTCTTTTTCAAAAGAATAGAGCTCCACTTACATGCAGACAACATACCTATATTATGATATCTATAGGTTTATAGTTTCTTAGCTTATTTGTATAAATAAAATTATTTCAGCTGGGTGTGGTGGCTCACGCCCATAATCCCAGCACTTTCGGAGGCCAAGGCGGGAGGATCACCTGAGTCAGGAGGTTGAGACCAGCCTGGCCAACATGACGAAACCCCATCTCTACTAAAAATACAAAAAATTAGCACACCTGTGTAATCCCAGCTACTCGGGGGCTGAGACAAGAGAATCGCTTGAACCCACGGGGCGGAAGTTGTGGTGAGCCGAGATCACACCACTGAACTCCAGCCTGGGCAACAGAGTGAGACTCTGTCTCAAAAAAAATTTTTTTTAATTATTTCTATCAATAATATATCATATGAAGTGCTCCCTTTGGCAACATATATACTAAAATTGGAACAATACAGAGAAGATTAGCATGGCCCCTGAGCAAGGATGACACGCAAACTGATGAAGTGTTCCAAAAACTTTTTTTAACAATAATAATAATATATAACATAAAAATGGCTAAACATAATTCACCAATTTTGAATTACGTGTTTGGAATAATCTGACTTAAAATATAGATTAATCTACCCTATGAGCAGACCCAGAGATTCCACTCATAAGGATGTACCCATGAGAAATGTGTATACGTGTCCACCAAAAGACATGTACAAGAAAGCACACGGCAGCTGTACTCATTAAGGTTCAAGACTGGAAACAACCCAAATAACCATCAGTGAGAGACTGAATAAACAAATATAGGTTTAGGCATACAATAGAATGCTATACAGTGCTTTAAAAGGAATGAGCTGTTTATACACCATGAGTGAATTTCAAGAACAGTGTGTTGAGTGAAGGAAGCCAGACATAAAAGTGCACACTGCATGATTCCATTTACATGAATTTCAACAACAGACACGACTAATCAATGATGGTGTAAGTCAGAAGAGTGGATGACTCTGAATGCGGCAAGTATTGACTAGAAACAGGCATTAAGCTTGCAGGAGCATCCACTAAAGTGATGAAAATATTCTATATCTCAATCTGGGTGGTGGTTCTCAGGTATTTACACATGAAAACTTCATCAAGCTATATACTTAATAATAGCACATATACTGAACGTATGTAATATTTTGGGGTTTTTTTAAGTTATATATAGAGACAAAGAGCTGTGCACAAAATTCACCTTGAGGAGCATCAGGGGAATAAAAAATAAAGGCAGTCATGCCCTGGTCTAAAGTAAATGAAACTGAGGTCCCTGCTGATTTAAAGAGTCATGTTACTACATGTTCACATAATGTTATCAGAAAAAAATATTCAAATATAGAGGCTAAATGGAAAATTATAAAGGTGGTTCTTCGAAACAGCTATTTGCTGTCCAGCCGCCTCTCACATAGTGTGTTAATTTTCTTTTTTTTTTTTTTCTTTGAGATGGAGTTTCGCTCTTGTTGCCCAGGCGGGAGTGCAATGGCATGATCTCAGCTCATCGAAACCTCCGCCCCCTGGGTTTAAGCGACTCTCCTGCCTCAGCCTCCCCAGTAGCTGGGATCACAGGCATGTGCCACCACACCCAGCTAATTTTGTATTTTTAGTAGAGACGGGGTTTCTCCGTGTTGGTCAGGCTGGTTTCGAACTCCCGACCTCAGGTGATCTGCCCACCTTGGCCTCCCAAAGTGCTGGGATTACAGGCGTGAGCCACCACGCCCAGCCATATTTTCTACTGCCCATCATAACAGCTTACCACAAACTTAGTGGCATGAAACAACAAAAATGTCTTACCTCTCAGTTTCTATAGATCAGAATGCCAGGTTGGCTGAGCTGGCTTCTCTGCTCCTAATATTGAGAGGTGACAGCATGCTGGCAGCCCTGGCAGCCCTCGCTCGCTCTCCGTGCCTCCTGGGCCTTGGCGCCCACTCTGGCTGCGCTTGAGGAGCCCTTCAGCCCACCGCTGCACTATGGGAGCCCCTTTCAGGCTGGCCAAGGCCGGAGCCAGCTCCCTCAGCTTGCGGGGAGGTGTGGAAGGAGAGGCGGGGGCGGCAACTGGGGCTGCGCGGGGCGCTTGCAGGCCAGCGCGAGTTCCGGGTGGGCGTGGACTCGGCAGCCCAGCACTCGGAGCCGCCGGCCTGCCTACAAGCCCCGGTAGCGACGGGCTTAGCACCTGGGCCAGCAGCTGCTGTGCTCGACTTCTTGCTGGGCCTTAGCTGCCGCCCTGCAGGGCTCCAGACCTGCAGCCTGCCATGCCTGAGCCTCCCCTCCTCCTGTGGGCTCCTGTGCAGCCCGAGCCTCCCCAACCAGCGCCACTCCCTGCTCCAAGGCGCCCAGTCCCATCAACCGCCCAAGGGCTGAGGAGTGCAGGTGCAGGGCAGGGGACTGGCAGGCAGCTCCACCTGCGGCCTGGTGCGAGATCCACTGGGTGAAGCCAGCTGAGCTCCTGAGTCTAGTGGGGACTTGGAGACCTTTATATCTAGCTGAGGGATTGTAAATACACCAATCAGCACTCTGTGTCTAGCTCAGGGTTTGTGGATGCACCAATCAGCCCTCTGTGACTAGCTAATCTGCTGGGGACCTGGAGAATCTTTATGTCTAGCTAAGGGATTGTGAATGCACCAATCGGCACTCTGTATCTAGCTCAAGGTTTGTAAATGCACCAATCAGCACTCTGTGTCTAGCTCAGGGTTTGTAAATATACCAATGGACACTCTGTATCTAGCTAATCTAGTGGGGAGGTGGAGAACTTTCCTGTCTAACTCAAGGTTTGTAAATGCACCAATCAGCACCCTGTCAAAACGGACCAATCAGCTCTAAAACAGACCAATCGGCTCTCTGTAAAATGGACCAATCAGCAGGATGTGGGTGGGGCCAGATAAGAGAATAAAAACAGGCTGCCAGAGCCAGCAGTGACAACCGGCTGGGGTCCCCTTCCACTTCCACACTGTGGAAGCTTTGTTCATTGCAATAAATCTTGCTACTGCTCACTCTTTGGGTCCACACTGCCTTTATGAGCTGTAACACTTACCGCGAAGGTCTGCAGCTTCACTCCTGAAGCCAGCGAGACCACGACCCCCACCAGGAGGAACGAACAACTCCAGACGCGCTGCTTTAAGAGCTGCAACACTCACCGCGAAGGTCTGCAGCTTCACTCCTGAGCCAGCGAGACCACAAACCCACCAGAAGGAAGAAACTCCAAACACATCCGAACATCAGAAGGAACAAACTCCAGACACGCCACCTTTAAGAACTGTAAAACTCACGGCAAGGGTCCATGGCTTTGTTCTTGAAGTCAGTGAGACCAAGAACCCACCAATTCCGGACACAGTATCACAAAGCCAAAATCAAGGTGTCAGCCCTCTGGACTCTTATCAAGAGGCTGTGGAAAGACTCTTTCTAGGCCCACTCAGGTTACTGGCAGAATTCATTTCCTTGGGATTGTAGCTCCTTATTTCTGTGTTGGGTATCAGCTAGGGACCACCCTTCAGCTCTGAAAGGTCTGTATCTCTTCCTTGCTAATGGCCTCTTGTATCTCAGAGCCAGCAATGACATGTCAAATTCTTCTCCTACTTATAGTCTCTCTGACTTCTTTTTCTGCTGCATCTCTCTGCTGCCTCTGGCCACAGAAAATCTCTGCTTTTAACCACTCATGTGATTAGATTGGGCCCACATGGATAATCCAGTATAATTTCCCTATTCTAATTACATTTGCAAAGAATTTTCACAGGTTCCAAAAATTAAGGTATATACATCTTTGGGGTCCATTTTCCTGCCTATTACACATGTACAGCTCCATTTGGTTATCCTGGACATGTGATAGCAGGAATTTATTTATTTATTGGTGCTTAATGTCCTTCTTGAACAAAAGAAAGAACAACTAATACATGTAGAGTCTGGTCATATTTAAATGATGGCATCCTCATCTGAGCTATTAGGACATTCTCTGAAATATCTTTCCTTTTGCTACACTACTTTAACAATTCTGATCTTGAAGAAGCCTATTCCTAGAGAATAGCTGTTCCCCACAGAGCTACATAATTTTCTCCTGCTGAAGGGTATGTTTCAGGCTGGGTACAGTGGCTCAGGTTGATAATCCCAACACTGGGAGGCCAAGACAGGAGGATCACTTGAGCTCAAGAGTTGGAGCCCAACATACTGCTATCTCATCTCTACTAAAAGTAAAAAAATAAAATAGCCAGCCATCGTGGTGCACACCTGTAGTACCAGCTACTCAGGAGGCTAAGGTGGGAGAATCACTTGAGCCCAGGAGATCGTGGCTGCAGTGAACTGTAATCAAGGCACTGCACTCCAGCCTGAGCAACAGAGACCCTGTTCAAAAAAGAGAGAAGGTTTCAGACAAAGGTAAACCTTGAAGGCAAAGGATCAGCTGTACATAGGTAGCCATCCTCTCCTATCTTCCCTAGGAAGGGGCAGAGGCCCTGCCCCTACAGCTCCCTATGCTGCCACTCAGGGACAGCAGCTAGGCTGGCATGGATTCTCCTGGAGAAGAAAAGTAAAGAGAAAAGAAAAGTGGCTTCCTTTTTTGAGACATGGTCTCACTCTTTTGCCCAGGCTGGAGTGCAGTGGCGCAATCAGGATCAAGGCTCACTGTAGCCTCAACCTCCCCGGCTCAAGCAATCCTCCCATCTCAGCCTCCCAAGTAGCTGGGACCACAGGCAAGTGCCACTATGCCCAGTTAGGTTTTTCTTATTTTTTTGTAGAGATGCGATCTCACTGTGTTGGCCGGGCTGGAAGTGGCTTACTTTAATGCAACGATATATAGAAGGTGACATATGACTCCTGGTCATCTGAACTGTCATAATTCTGAGTATGATCATAGAGTGGCACCAGAATCCACCTTAGTTATAACGTAAGTAGACATTGCCTTGGCCACATTTCTTTTTCCCTTTCTTCAAGCCCTTTGGTATCTTTACTTTGCATAGCACATCAGAGTTTACAAACTTTTTGCTGCACATATATTCTCATTTGGGCCTTCAAATAATCCTGTTAGGTAAACCAGGCAAGCATGATTATCCCATATTTCATATGTGATACTTGAGGTTCAAGAGTGTTAAGTGACTCCAACAAGTTTACAGGTAGTGAGTAGCAGACCAGACTATGTATTTAGCAGTCTTTCCATAAATAGCCTGACAACAACACCTGTACCAGCTTCCAGAACTCTCTTGCTCTTATCCCTACCCCCTTATCAAATCCCACCCTCTGAGCCTCATTCACAATCAAGCGTGAGTAACTGATTGTTCGCAGGAGTGTCTGTATTTTAATATCAGAGGAAGCAAATTCAAAGGATAAAATTGCAAATATTAACAATCAAATCAGAGAGAAATGGGTTGGAATGAGAGGGTGCACAGGAAGAATAAGCTCTTCCCAACACTCCTAAAATGACATCCAAAAGGTTCCTCCAAATGTACTTGTTAAACTCAGTGCCAGACTCCCACAAAAGTTAAACAAGTTAAAGCAGCTTTAGACAAACTTTATTCCAAAAATGAAGTCAACACATACTAAGGGAAGGTGGGGAATTTTAAAAGAATTGGAACAAGGTTGTTATGAGGATAGAATGACAGGTGCCAAAAGAGAAAAAGGAAATAGATAATTAAAATTATCACATCGTTATGTTAAATCAGATGTATAATGTTCCATAAAGAAATGGAGAAATTAGGCCAGGCGCGGTGGCTCACGCCTGTAATCCCAGTACTTTGGGAGGCCAAGGTGGATGGATCACCTGAGGTCAGGAGTTCGAGACCAGCCTGCCCAACACGGTGAAACCCTGTCTCTACTAAAAATAAAAAAAATTAGCTGGGCATGGTGGCAGGCGCCTGTAATCCCAGCTGCTCAGGAGGCTGAGGCAGGAGAATCACTTGAAATCAAGAGGCAGAGGTTGCAGTGGGTCAAGATCACACCACTGCACTCCAGCCTGGGTGACAGAGTGAGACTCCGTCTCAAAAAAAAAAAGAAACTTTGACTCCGCAACTCCTTATCCTAACCCAGACACTCCCTTTTATTGACTTCAGGTCTTTAGATAAATTTTTTCAACCAATTGCCAATCAGAAAATCTTTGGATCCACCTGTGACCTGGAAGCCCCCAACTCAAGTTGTCTTGCCTTTCCACAAAACCCAATGTACATTTTACATACATTGATTGATGTCTTACGTCTCCTGAAAATGTATAAAAAACAAGGTATATCCTGACCACCTTGGGCACATGTTCTCAGGACCTCCAAAGGCTGTGTCACAGCCAGTCCTTAGCCCTGGCAAAATAAACCTTTAAAGTGAATGAAGGCCAGGCATGGTGTAATTCCATGCCTGTAATTCCAGCCCTTTGGAAGGCTGATGCAGGAGAACTGCATGAGCCCAGGAGTTTGAGACAAGCCTAGGCAATATAGGGAGACCTCTTCTCTACAAAAAATTGAAAAATTATCTGAGAACATGTGGTGGCGCACACCTGTAGTCCCAGCTACTCGGGAGGCTGAGGTGGGAGAATCACTTAAGCCCAGGAAGCAGAGGTTGCAGTAAACTGAGATTGTACCGCTGCACTCCAGACTGAGTGGCAGAGCAAGAACCTGTCTCAAAAACGTAAGTAAATTGATTAAGATCTGTCTCAGATACTTTTTGGTTTATAATACACTACCCATAAATTATGGTTATGTATTTCTCTGTTTCAGAGGCCAAGGCGGGAGGATCACTTGAGATCAGGAGTTCGAGACCAGCCTGGCCAACATCGTGAAACCCCGTCTCTACCAAAAATATAAAATAAAAAAAAATTAGCTGGGTGTGGTGATGCAAGCCTGTAATCCCAGCTACTCAGGAGGCTGAGGCAGGAGAATTGCTTGAACCCAGGAGGTGGAGGTTGCAGTGAGCTGAAATCGTGCCACTGCACTCCAGCCTGGGCGACACAGCAAGACTCTGACTCAAAAAAAAAAAAACAAAAAAAAAAGAGAACATAGTCAATCTAGGGAATTGAGAGTAGCCGCTTTCAAAAAAAAAAAAAAAAAACAGACAGCAAATATACAAATATACCAAGTATAGAAAGGGCATGAGACAGAGTAAGGTCAGGGCTTGGCTTCAGCTCCCCACCCCACCACCCCCGCTGGTGGAACATTCTTTCATACATTCCTGCTGATCACAAAATCCACATCACCACCTCGCTGACGTTACACATGCTAACCCTAAGGCTTTAGTCATATAAAGAAAATAGCCACTCTCCTGTGCTCTCATAATGTTTACCTATGCCTTTTACTTAAAGAATTCCAGGAACTGGCCTTAGGAAACCTAAATATCAAACCAAAGTGCAGAATGTCAAACCTTGGGAAAGAATGATTTGTAAGCAGCCTTTTTGCCGCTGGCCAGACCACCAGGTGGCCCATTACTCAAGATAACCATCGGGACCAGACATATGGACCTGCATACCCTAACCCCCACATGCTTCTCCCAGCCCAGCCTGCATACCTTACCCCTGTGTCAATTCCCCATGCTTTGTCTGATTAAAAAGTCTCTACTAGCTTTTTGGGGAGCCAGCTTGAGGATCCTCATACCTCACCTCCACTGTCTCCCTTGCCCTTGAGCACAAGCCCCAAAATAAAAGCCTTGTCTGGGAAATCTGCTTGGCCCTGTGTTAAGTTTCATTACATGGGGAGCTAAGAAGCATGTGACCAGCATCTATGGTCACATCCAACAACCCAACAGAAAGGTGGTTCAAGATGGTGAATGAATCAGAATTCCCAAGAGAACTGCCCGTGTACCCACTCCTTTCTGTAAAGAGATGAAGCTCCTGGATAAGTCAATGAATGAAGAGAGGATGAAAATAAGGCTGAGCGAAGTAAGATAGCACACTAAGATGAGAGACAACTTTCTACCAAACTTCATTGACATTGGGGAGAAATAAGAATGCGCTGGGGGACAGACAAGGTAGCGGTGAGGAAGGAGAGGAAAAAAGCAGCAATTTTATTCTCTTTATTTATAGAAGACAGACTCCCCATTCCGTCCTTGAGCCTTATCCAGACTCTCAAGCTGGGGCTCTCAAGTAGGAATAAAGTGAAAGCAGAGCACTGTCTCCTCCTTGTCACTGAGGATGACAGCTGATTACATGGGGAATACTTGCTAGAATTTGATTTGGAGCCAGTGATTTGACGCTTTCTAGAGGTGAATTTCCCGGCTTAAGATTGATGGCAATGCTTAAGAAGGAGTGCCACCTTATCACAAAACACATCTGAGAATTAGTATTCACCTCTCCACTCTAATAAGGAAACCTAAATATTTCACATTTTTAATGTATAATGGGTATATGCTAGTCTAGAAAAGAAAGTAGTTAAAAGTTATTGATACTGACACATATAACTCCATTTAAGTTATTCAGATATGTTTTTAAATGTCCTTAAATAATCATATGACAGACATCTTCAAACAATACGTGGGTAACTAATGACTGTGGTTTAAAATGAAATTACTATTCCAACTCCAGGATTCCATTGGCCTTTCCAGTTCCAAATGCAAATCTACTGTTCATAATCCTAGCAGTGATGACAGAATAGAAATGACTTTAAAATTAGTAAGTACGATATGAAAAATACATTAATGATATTTTATTAACATAAAAAGCAGTGGTCCATCATAAGCCTCTGAGCTCTGCCATCTTCAAGCCCACCTTCAGGCCCACCTTCAAGATCCTCACATCTGGTAAGAAGAAAATCAGCAAATATCTCCATTCCCCCACCACAGAGAACTAGGCATTGCATATTGCACATGTATACACAAAATTCCAGTTTGTTCTTAGATTTCGAAATTGTCAGGGACACTTTCATTTTATGCTTGTTTTTCATCTTGAACAAAAAGGAAACAGGGAAATAAAAGGATCACCTTTTTAAAAATATATTCCAAATTTTTATAGATGGTAAAACCAATAACAAAAATTTTAATTAATTTTAAGTTTTGTTATGTCTGAAGAAAGCTAAGTTCAATTTCTGAACCATCGTTTCTCTTCTATGCCAGTCATGCTCTCTGTCCTCTCATAATTACCCAAATATGTTTAATGATTTTGACAACCCAAAGGTTGACATCTTAATTGGCTAATGAAACAGGATGGAGCAGGACAGTCTGTTTCTTTTAACAATGAATGGCTGGGAAACACATCCCAGGAATCTGCCAATTACTGTTAAGCAGAACCAAGTTTTAGTCTTACTTGAGAGGCTGTCACAAACTGATCTGTTAGAAGGCAAGTTTTTTGCTTTAAGTCCAAGGGCGGGCATATTCTGTTTGCATAGTTTTCTTTATCATCAAAGAAAAACAACAACATAGTGCTTGAATCAACAGAGTTCTTTTAGGTCCATTTAAAGTAAAACTCACGGTGGAGGAGCCAAGATGGTCGAATAGGAACAGCTCCGGTCTACAGCTCCCAGCGTAAGCGACTCAGAAGACAGGTGATTTCTGCATTTCCATCTGAGGTACCGGGTTCATCTCACTAGGGAGTGCCAGACAGTGGGTGCAGGACAGTGGATGCAGCACACTGTGCACCAGCCAAAGCAGGGCGAGGCATTGCCTCCCTCGGGAAGCGCAAGGGGTCAGGGAGTTCCCTTTCCTGGTCAAGGAAAGGGGTGACAGACAGCACCTGGAAAATCGGGCCACTCCCACCCGAATACTGCGCTTTTCCAACAGGCTCAGGAAACTGCCTACCAGGAGATTATATCCCACACCTGGCTCAGAGTCCTACGCCCATGGAGTCTCGATGATTGCTAGCACAGCAGTCTGAGATCAAACTGCAAGGCGGCAGCAAGGCTGGGGGAGGGGCGCCCGCCATTGCCCAGGCTCGCTTAGGTAAACAAAGCAGCAGGGAAGCTCGAACTGAGTGGAGCCCACCACAGCTTGAGGAGGCCTGCCTGCCTCTGTAGGCTCCACCTCTGGGGGCAGGGCACAGACAAACAAAAAGACAGCAGTAACCTCTGCAGACTTACATGTCCCTGTCAGACAGCTTTAAAGAGAGCAGTGGTTCTCCCAGCATGCAGCTGGAGATCTGAGAACCGGCAGACTGCCTCCTCAAGTGGGTCCCTGACCTGTGACCCCCGAGCAGCCTAATTGGGAGGCACAGCCCAGTAGGGGCAGACTGACACCTCACACGGCCGGGTACTCCTCTGAGACAAAACTTCCAGAGGAACAATCAGACAGCAGCATTCGCGGATCACGTAAATCCACGGTTCTGCAGACACCACTGCTGATACCCAGGCAAACAGGGTCCGGAGTGGACCTCTAGCAAACTCCAACAGACCTGCAGCTGAGGGTCCTGTCTGTTAGAAGGAAAACTAACAAACACAAAGGACATCCACACCAAAAACCCATCTGTACATCACCATCATCAAAGATCAAAAGTAGATAAAACCACAAAGATGGGGAAAAAACAGAGCAGAAAAACTGGAAACTCTAAAAAGCAGAGCGCCTTTCCTCCTCCAAAGGAACGCAGTTCCTCACCAGCAACGGAACAAAGCTGGACGGAGAATGACTTTCACGAGTTGAGAGAAGGCTTCAGATGATCAAACTACTTCGAGCTGCAGGAGGAAATTCAAACCAAAGGCAAAGAAGTTGAAAACTTTGAAAAAAATTTAGACGAATGTGTAACTAGAATAACCAATACAGAGAAGTGCTTAAAGGAGCTGATGGAGCTGAAAGCCAAGGCTCGAGAACTACGTGAAGAATGCAGAAGCCTCAGGAGCCGATGCGATCAACTGGAAGAAAGGGTATCAGTGATGGAAGATGAAATGAATGAAATGAAGAGAGAAAGGAAGTTTAGAGAAAAAAGAATAAAAAGAAACAAAGCCTCCAAGAAATATGGGACTATGTGAAAAGACCAAATCTACGTCTGATTGGTGTACCTGAAAGTGACAGGGAGAATGGAACCAAGTTGGAAAACACTCTGCAGGATATTTCCAGGAGAACTTCCCCAATCTAGCAAGGCAGGCCAACATTCAGATTCAGGAAATACAGAGAACGCCACAAAGATACTCCTCGAGAAGAGCAACTCCAAGACACATAATTAACAGATTCACCAAAGTTGAAATGAAGGAAAAAATGTTAAGGGCAGCCAGAGAGAAAGGTCGGGTTACCCACAAAGGGAAGCCCATCAGACTAACAGCAGATCTCTCGGCAGAAACTCTACAAGCCAGAAGAGAGTGGAGGCCAATATTGAACGTTCTTAAAGAAAAGAATTTTCAACCCAGAATTTCATATCCAGCCAAACTAAGCTTCATAAGTGAAGGAGAAATAAAATACTTTACAGACAAGCAAATGCTGAGAGATGTTGTCACCACCAGGCCTGCCCTAAAAGAGCTCCTGAAGGAAGCACTAAACATGGAAAGGAACAACCAGTACCAGCCGCTGCAAAATCATGCCAAAATGTAAAGACCATCGAGACTAGGAAGAAACTGCATCAAC
Source organism: Homo sapiens (assembly GCF_000001405.40). Taxonomy (NCBI): domain Eukaryota; kingdom Metazoa; phylum Chordata; class Mammalia; order Primates; family Hominidae; genus Homo; species Homo sapiens. The sequence continues at coordinate 195,525,079 of NC_000002.12, forward strand.
TAACGAGGAAAATAACCAGCTAACATCATAACAACAGGATCAAATTCACACATAACAATATTAATTTTAACTGTAAATGGACTAAATGCTCCAATTAAAAGACACAGACTGGCAAATTGGATAAAGAGTCAAGACCCATCAGTGTGCTGTATTCAGGAAACCCATCTCACGTGCAGACACACACATAGGCTCAAAATAAAAGGAGGAAGATCTACCAAGCAAATGGAAAACAAAAAAAGGCAGGGGTTGCAATCCTAGTCTCTGATAAAACAGACTTTAAACCAACAAAGATCAAAAGAGACAAAGAAGGCCATTACATAATGGTAAAGGGATCAATTCAACAAGAAGAGCTAACTGTCCTAAATATATATGCACCCAATACAGGAGGACCCAGATTCATAAAGCAAGTCCTGAGTGACCTACAAAGAGACTTAGATTCCCACACAATAATAATGGGAGACTTTAACACCCCACTGTCAACATTAGACAGATCAACGAGACAGAAAGTTCACAAGGATACCCAGGAATTGAACTCAGCTCTGCACCAAGTGGACCTAATAGACATCTACAGAACTCTCCACCCCAAATCAACAGAATATACATTCTTTTCAGCACCACACCACACCTATTCCAAAATTGACCACATACTTGGAAGCAAAGCTCTCCTCAGCAAATGTTAAAGAACAGAAATTATAACAAACTGTCTCTCAGACCACAGTGCAATCAAACTAGAACTTAGGATTAAGAAACTCACTCAAAACTGTTCAACTACATGGAAACTCAACAACCTGCTCCTGAATGACTACAGGGTACATAACAAAATGAAGCCAGAAATAAAGATGTTCTTTGAAACCAACAAGAACAAAGACACAACATACCAGAATCTCTGGGCCACATTCAAAGCAGTGTGTAGAGGGAAATTTATAGCACTAAATGCCCACAAGAGAAAGGAGGAAAGATCCAACATTGACACCCTAACATCACAATCAAAAGAACTAGAAAAGCAAGAGCAAACACCTTCAAAAGCTAGCAGAAGGCAAGAAATAACTAAAATCAGAGCAGAACTGAAGGAAATAGAGACAAAAAAAACACTTCAAAAAATTAATGAATCCAGGAGCTGGTTTTTTGAAAGGATCAAAAAAACTGATAGACCGCTAGCAAGACTAATAAAGAAGAGAGAAGAATCAAATAGACACAATAAAAAATGATAAAGGGGATATCACCACCGATCCCACAGAAATACAAACTACCATCAGAGAATACTACAAACACCTCTATGCAAATAAACTAGAAAATCTAGAAGAAATGGATAAATTCCTCAACACATACATCCTCCCAAGACTAAACGAGGAAAAAGTTGAATCTCTGAATAGACCAATAACAGGCTCTGAAATTGTGGCAATAATCAATAGCTTACCAACCAAAAAGAGTCCAGGACCAGATGGATTCACAGCCTAATTCCACCAGAGGTACAAGGAGGAACTGGTACCATTCCTTCTGAAACTATTCCAATCAATAGAAGAAGAAGGAATGCTCCCTAACTCATTTTATGAGGCCGGCATCATCCTGATACCAAAGCCGGGCAGAGACACAACCAAAAAAGAGAATTTTAGACCAATATCCTTGATGAACATTGATGCAAAAATCCTCAATAAAATACTGGCAAACCAAATCCAGCAGCACATCAAAAAGCTTATCCACCATGATCAAGTGGGCTTCATCCCTGGGATGCAAGGCTGGTTCAATATACGCAAATCAATAAATGTAATCCAGCATATAAACAGAACCAAAGACAAAAACCACATGATTATCTCAATAGATGCAGAAAAGGCCTTTGACAAAATTCAACAACCTTCATGCTAAAAACTCTCAATAAATTAGGTATTGATGTGATGTATCTAAAAATAATAAGAGCTATCTATGACAAACCCACAGCCAATATCATACTGAATGGGCAAAAACTGGAAGCATTCCCTTTGAAACCTGGCACAAGACAGGGATGCCCTTTCTCACCACTCCTATTCAACATAGTGTTGGAAATTCTGGCCACAGCAATTAGGCAGGAGAAGGAAATAAAGGGTATTCAACTAGGAAAAGAGGAAGTCAAATTGTCCCTGTTTGCAGATGACATGATTGTATGTCTAGAAAACCCCATTGTCTCAGCCCAAAATCTCCTTAAGCTGATAAGCAACTTCAGCAAAGTCTCAGGATACAAAATCAATGTACAAAAATCACAAGCATTCTTATACACCAATAACAGACAGAGAGCCAAATCATGAGTGAACTCCCATTCACAATTGCTTCAAAGAGAATAAAATACCTAGGAATCCAACTTACAAGGGATGTGAAGGACCTCTTCAAGGAGAACTACAAACCACTGCTCAATGAAATAAAAGAGGATACAAACAAATGGAAGAACATTCCCTGCTCATGGGTAGGAAGAATCAATATCGTGAAAATGGCCATACTGCCCAAGGTAATTTATAGATTCAATGCCATCCCCATCAAGCTACCAATGACGTTCTTCACAGAATTGGAAAAAACTACTTTAAAGTTCATATGGAACCAAAAAAGAGCCCGCATCTCCAAGTCAATCCTAAGCCAAAAGAACAAAGCTGGAGGCATCACACTACCTGACTTCAAACTATACTACAAGGCTACAGTAACCAAAACAGCATGGGACTGGTACATAACGCCGCATATCTACAACTATCTGATCTTTGACAAACCTGAGAAAAACAAGCAATGGGCAAAGGATTCCCTATTTAATAAATGGTGCTGGGACAACTGGCTAGCCATATGTAGAAAGCTGTAACTGGATCCCTTCCTTACACCTTATACAAAAATTAATTCAAGACGTATTAAAGACTTACATGTTAGACCTAAAACCATAAAAACCCTAGAAGAAAACCTAGGCAATACCATTCAGGACATAGGCATGGGCAAGGACTTCATGTCTAAAACACCAAAAGCAATGGCAACAAAAGCCAAAATTGACAAATGGGATCTAATTAAACTAAAGAGCTTCTGCACAGCAAAAGAAACTACCATCAGAGTGAACAGGCAACCTACAAAATGGGAGAAAATTTTTGCAACCTACTCATCTGACAAAGGGCTAATATCCAGAATCTACAATGAACTCAAACAAATTTACAAGAAAAAAACAAACAACCCCATCAAAAAGTGGGCAAAGGATATGAACAGACACTTCTCAAAAGAAGACATTTATGCAGCCAAAAGACACATGAAAAAATGCTCATCATCACTGGCCATCAGAGAAATGCAAATCAAAACCACAATGAGATACCATCTCACACCAGTTAGAATGGCAATCATTAAAAAGTCAGGAAACAACAGGTGCTGGAGAGGATGTGCAGAAATAGGAACACTTTTACACTGTTGGTGGGACTGTAAACTAGTTCAACCATTGTGGAAGTCAGTGTGGCGATTCCTCAGGGATCTAGAACTAGAAATACCACTTGACCCAGCCATCCCATTACTGGGTATACACCCAAAGGACTATAAATCATGCTGCTATAAAAACACATGCACACATATGTTTATTGCAGCACTATTCACAATAGCAAAGACTTGGAAGCAACCCAAATGTCCGACAATGATAGACCGGATTAAGAAAATGTGGCACATATACTCCATGGAATACTATGCAGCCATAAAAAATGATGAGTTGATGTCCTTTGTAGGGACATGGATGAAATTGGAAATCATCATTCTCAGTAAACTATCGCAATGACAAAAAACCAAACACCGCATGTTCTCACTCATAGATGGGAATTGAACAATGAGAACACATGGACACAGGAAGGGGAACATCACACTCTGAGGACTGTTGCGGGGTGGGGGGAGGGGGGAGGGATAGCATTAGGAGATATACCTAATGCTAAATGACGAGTTAATGGGTGCAGCACACCAGCATGCCACATGTATACATATGTAACTAACCTGCACATTGTACACATGTACCCTAAAACTTGAAGTATAATAATAATAAAAAAAAATAAAGTAAAACTCACATATCTAACTTTTCATTTTTCAAAGAACGAATTATTATTATTATTATTCTGCTTCCATATCTCTAGAAATCATATTCTTTAAAACTACACTTCCAAGCCGTGTTTCTAGCCTCACAATATATAGATTGTATAAAGGGTTCACACTGCAGGCTGATACTCTCACTATCACCCTTTACTGTCTTGAAATTCACACTCCTTACCTATGATAAATGCATCTTCATGCAGGTATACATTTTCACATATGCTCATGAATGACAAACACAAATGTGGTAGAGAACTAAAAACCAGGGCCAGGTGTGGTGGCTCACGCCTGTAATCCCAGCACTTTGAGAGGCCGAGGCGGGTGGATCACAAAGTCAGGAGTTCAAGACCAGCCTGGCCAAGATAGTGAAACCCCATCTCTATTAAAATACAAAAAATTAGCCAGGCGTGGTGGCGGGTGCCTGTAATTCCAGCTACTTGGGAGGCTGAGGCAGAGAATTGCTTGAACCCAGGAGGCAGAGGTTGCAGTGAGCCGAGACCGTGCCACTGCACTCCAGCCTGGGTGACAGAGTGAGATTCCGTCTCTAAATAAATAAATACCAAAGTGGAGTTCCCAACATACAAATTCATCAATTATCTATTTTGTTCATATTGTTAACAAAAGAATTGCTAGTTTAATAATGCCTGTTATTTGTTCATTAAGTCTGTCTTGTTTAGGTAAATTTGTTAGAAATATTTGCAATAGTGAACTGATGGGAATGTTGAACAACAGATCCAAAGGAGCTCCAGGAGTCACCAGGATACACCCTCCCTTGAATGAATTTGTTCAAATTAATTTTAGTCTTGTCTGTAATCTACTCAGGTTTCATGTTAATGGAACAAGCATCTGATTAATTTAACTGCAATCATATGCCCCACCTCACCCCATTTTTCAAAATGGAGAGAGGCTATTCCTTGAAAAAAGAAATTTGGCAATACCAAAAGTTGGAATGGATGTTAGGCAGCTGAAAACAAGGAACGTCCACCCTGGTCCAGCCCTTTGGCTTCCTGATATCCTCATACATCATCCTTCTTTACATTATAGATCCAAAATGTCCCTATCCAACATTTTGTAAGTATTGCCAATAAAATTGACAAAGGACTCAACCTCTCTCCAAAGAAAGAAAACCCAAAGTTGGTCAGTTTCTGGTGAAGTTGCCAAAAGTGGCACGTGACTTACTCTTGACCAGTCATTTAAACCATATTTCCCTAGAAACCATGGGTGGTTCAAGGAAAGGCGCAGGACCCAAGGTAGACCAATCATAGCCAGTGGGACTTCCCTTATTCCCCCACGGAAGGCTTGAAATACTGCCAACAACTTAATCCTCTTCTTTATTTCTTAAGAAAGTTTGAAGTAAGATTTTCCCTTCTTCCAAACAGAGAGTACTAACCGCCCTTCCCTTGGCTTTCGTCAATGAGGAAAAGATTACACTGCTATTACCAAAATAACAGTGAAAGGCATACTAGGAAGCTAAAAGTCAACCAGTGACCATTGTATCCCCTGTTCAAATATATTTTAACAGTTTTATTTGGGTACCATTTACATATTATAAAATGTATCCATTTTCTGTATACAGTTCAATGAATTTTAATAAATGTGTACACTTGTGCATCTACCACCACAGTTCAGTTTTACAACACTTCTGTCACCACAGAAAGTTTCTCTGTGCCCATCTGCCATCAGTCCCAACTACAATACCCATACCTACATAACTATTGATCTGCTTTTCTGGGCAATAGTTTTGCTTTCTGTAGAAATTTCATATAAATGGAATCTTAACACATGTAGTTCTTGTGCTTGGCTCCTTTCACTTTGCATAATGTTTTTGAGATTCATCCATGTTGCTGCATGTATTAATAATTTATTCCTTTTTATTGCTCAGTAGAATTCAGCAAAATGGATATATCACATTTTGTTTATCCATTCATGAATTAAGGGACATTTAGATTTTTTTAACACTTCTTATTTGGCTATTTTGAATAATATAGCTATGAATCTTTACATACAAGAATTTGTGGACTTATATTTTCATTTCTTTTGGGTGGATTCTAGGAAACTATATTTTTGACTTTTAAGAAACTGCCAAATTGCCTTCCAGTTCACATTTTACATTCCCTCCAGCACTGAAGAAAGTTCAAGTTCCTCCACATCCTTCACAACACTTGATATTACGTCTTTTTGATTATTGCCTTTCTACTTGGTATGTAGTGCTATCTCACTGCATTTAAATTTGCATTTCCCAGTGATTAATGAGCATCTTTATTTGCCATTTTCATACCTTCTTCGATGATGTGTCTACTTAAATCTTTGCCCATTTTTGAACTGGGCCATTTGTTTTCTTATTTTTGTAAGAGTTCTCTATACATTCTGGATTTAAGTTTTTTATTGTATGTTATTTGCAAATATTTTCCCTGCAACCCCTAATCCTTGCCAGTCTTTTTGCCTGCTGAAAGGAATAGTAGGGAACACTGATAACAATGTTTATTGAGGCAGTGTGATACAAGATGTCTTAATGCAGTCTTTTTTTATCCAAAACAGACCTTTGAGGGAGCTACTCTTATCATTCCTGTATCACAAATGACAAAAGTACATTTTTAAGGAATTAAGTTGCTTGCTCAGGATCACATGGCAGGAGAAGTGAAGAGAATAGCACAGGTTTTTTCCCTAACCCACTCTTGTATCAATCGCTGGCCAGTCAAGATAGATTTCTTGCCAAGACTCTTGACTCCCCTAGAGGCCCAAATTTACCCAAGGAAAAAAATGCATATATAGCTATAGCCCTTTGATTTCTTTTGCACCCACTGGAAATAATAAAAGTTACTCAAGCAGTAAGCAACAAGCAGTCCCCCACGTCACTCTAATTCCTGCCAACTGTCCATTGTATGGATGCCAGAAGCCACTGAGCCATGGAAATTACAGTAATAGAAGAGTGGGAGGAAATCAAATTAGTCTTATGCTCCATGACAGCTAATACCAAAAACTTTACATTATAAAAAAATGTTAAAAGTCTACCCATAGAGCATTCAAACAGAGTTTAAGACAAAAAGGAGCAGAAGTGTAGAGGTAATTTCCCCCAGTTCACAGGACACTATTAGCACCTTGAGGGCTCCAATGAAGTATATAGAGAAAATGGTGGCCATGTGTTTTTAGGAGAGAATGTCCCACAAAAGTACTACCCATCGGGGAGCCCAAACAGAAGGAAAAAATGGCAGCCACTACATGGTAGCCAAACAGGCTTATTGATTAGTCTCTCTCTCTTTCTCTCTGTCTCTCTATCTCACACACACATACACACACACACACACACACACACACACAGAGTTCTGTAATTTTGCATGACATAGTGTATATTCAGTATTGCACAGAATGATTCAATGAAACTTACAAGACCAGAAATAAAAATATTAGTCTGGTCCTGCCTACACACTATCCCTTTTACCTTTTACTCCAAGTTATTTAACACTCTCTGGGTCTCACCTTTCTATTCTCTTAAAAGAAGCAATTGGACCAGATAATATCTTAAAACTTTCACAGCTCTAACCATCTCTAATGTTCAAAGAGCTACCCAGTTCACACTTTGCCAAAGAAATTGTAAATTGTGGTATTTCCTGTAAAAGAACTCTCCGATTCTAATCTTTAAAAAAAAAATTCTGAAGCCTATTTCATTCTCTGAAAACTCTAAATTAATGTTTAGGATATGTCTATCATTTTTAAAAAGAAAATGCCCTTCAGGCAAAAGAAAACTCCACGTCCTCATCTGTGGGCTGGCCTTCTTAAAGGCACAATGCATTCCTAACTTCTAACCTTGGAAGGGCACTTTTTTTTTTTCCTATCGTAAGAGCTCTCTGAAGTCTTGTTTGCAGAACTGTCTGCAAGGCTGCTTGTCACCTTCGAATATACTCCATCAACATGCTGCCACTTCATCTTGTTTAGGCTCTTCGACTGCTTTATAGAAGGACACTGAAGTCCACATCTATCTCCTTGAGACAGGCAAAGAAACAAATCCTTTATCCTGTCTCAAAAAGAGCTGACAAGCTTTTAGTAGTGTTTATCTTCACTGAAGGGTGATAACCTTGAAAATGAAAGTGAAAAGAGACTGATACAATTAGGTATGTAGTCTTCTCCATACTGTATTACAATTGGTTTTCTTTTATAGTTTAACATAGTATAACATTCTTTTATAGTTTTATATAAGTCGAAGTTTTCTGTTGTCCACACTGGTTTTTCTAAAACTAAATTTAAAGTTACAGTTTATTTACAAAATATCAGTGCATCATGTTGTGACTATTTTGCAAAAATGTAATTTTCCTCTTAAGCCAGAAGGGGTTAAAAATATTTCTTTGAAATGTTTTATCCTACCATTCTTCCCATATCATCTATGCCATTTTTTTCTCTCCCTTGACATTTGACTCCATGTTATGTCATATTCAGAGAGATTTTTCTAAAATAAATTTCCCAGATTACAGGCAAATCTTAGAATTCTAATTATTTACATCTTATAGAGTCAAGGACAGTAAAGGGTAGATTTGACATTTCATTAATAACTTGTGTATTCAAATTTCCATTTGTGTTAAATTGTGCCCACTCCCGAGGTTCCAACAAATATAGATATGCCTGGCAAGCTAGTAGCTTGGTTATCCACAGGTCATTTTGTGTGAACAACCATGAGTCCCTTAGAAAAGAATTCATCCTGCTGTGAGTTGGCTGAAAGCAAAAAATACAAAAAAGAAAAGAAAAGAAGAAAGGAAAATAGCTCATCCTATCAGAACAAGAAGTCAGACACAAAGATTTGGCCACTAGAGGAGAGTGGTGTCTCTGAGTCCAATGTCATGTCTGCTTTGTCCCCATGCCAGCTCCACAAGTTTTCATGTCTAAGTCACAGGGGGGAAAGAGTCCACGAGCAAAAAATCTAAGTGTAACTCAAAATAGAAGAGAGACATTCTTTCCCACTACGTGGCAGAGCAAGGCGTATCTGTGGTCTCTTGTGGGTGTCTGATTCAGCTACAAGAGATCACAGTGGTTCCTAACAAATGACTGGCAACAGGTTGCTGAAAGGGGCAGCAGTCAGCAGGTAAACTTGTACCCAGCATTCGCAAACCCCTCCCTGGCGACTCATCGACACACAGAAGGGTCACTCTCATGAGACTGAAATCCTGCAAAGGAAGAGGAAGCATCCTCTAAGGCACCACTGCTACTCTCCTCTCTCTGCTACAGCTACCTTTCCATTCTCCCATGCCTCTCTCCATGGGTGTGCTTAGCCAACAAATCCAGGATCTGTGGCAGTACTGAATCATCAAGTCCCAGGGGATAATAGCCAGAAAGGGCCTTGGAGGCCAGATTGACACTGCCCTATCCCATCTCTCTGGAGCTAGTTGGTGCTGGCAAGGCTCTGAGTAGCAACACAGTCTGTGAGTCAGCGTCCGCCCACAGCTGAAGGTTGTTGCTTGTTCTCAGTGGGAGCTGAGTGTGGACAAAATATCCCTGTGGGCTTAATCTGGCCTGCAGGCTGTATTTAGCCACCCCTGCTCTGGTCCTAAATTACTTCGCAGTGATACAAGAATTTCTAAAAGTTACACTGTAAGGTTTTGGCTTAGAACTTGATATTACCTCAAGTGTGTTATCCTAATAAAATACAGGCCATCTCATGCTTTTTATTCCATTTATACAGAGCCAATGATCTTATGCATGGAGGTCTTTCTTTGGCCTTGATTGTTTTTTTATCTTTCCATCTTCCCACCTCCACAAAATCTTTATTAAGTCTTGAAGATATGCCAGGGAGTAGCTCTGAACAATGTAAATTATAACTTTCCCTAAAATGGCACAAGCTAAAACATAAAGATATTAAGACTCCATAACAAGGTTTTAAGATGCTTAGAACTGTACCACTGGGCTGGGCATAGAGTAACACATCAGTAGGTAATTTTTTAGTTGAATTTTGATGAATGAAATGGAATGAAGTATCTGTTTGTTTGTTTGTTAAGAGCAAGGCAGTGTCATATACTCAGAGAAGGAACTTGGAAGAAGCTTCTTTGAAGAAGTCATAGGTTCACATTCTACTTCCCTTACAAAACGTATAACCTTGGGAAAAAACATAAAATGGAGATAAATTATATCTCTGCAGAATGTTATAATGATAAATTAGGTAAGTATGTAAATCATCTGATATAATGTCTGCTTCAATTGGAATTGACCATCTTTTTTTAAAGTCATAAAGATTATCCTTATGGCTATATGCAACGAGGACTAAAAGGTCAGTGTCTGTCACTTCTCTAAGCAAATGTTGGGCAGATCAGATAAGGGATACATACTGTCAGGAGGTCTCTCCTGTTTAGAAAATGAATGTCAGTTATAATTTGAAAATGGAAGTTTTTGAAGGCATCTAAGCACTGGATGCTATGAAGAACTCCCAGAAATATCAAGAACTCCCAGAAATATCAATTTTCCACTTTCCTATCACAGAAAGCTCTAGGCAGTCCCTAGTTTAAACATGGCATATACCATTTGGCCTGGAACATCTGGGAGGTGAGACTACCCCCATGTTCCAGGGTCAGATTTGGCCCACTGGACAAGTCACCACCTCTATTCATCTGAGGCAATTCATTGTGGAGACAGCACTAGACCGACTCAGGGGTCTAAAACCATGAAATCTAGAATTGGTTCCATTCCCTTCCTAGCTGTATGGCCTGGGCAAGTTACTTAAGCTCCTTGAATCTCAGATTCCTCATTTATGCAATGAGAACAATATCTGTTCTTCCTGCACGATTAAGTTACTGATGGTTATTGTCATTTGCTCTACCCTAGCTCCACCTATATTGCTCGGGCTTAATGAGTGTTTCCTCAGCCTTGTGTCAGGTCTCGACTTGTATTACCTCATGTAGTTCTCATATCAACTTAATGAGGTAACTGTGATTCCCATTTTACAGATGAGAAAACTGAAACACTGAGGGGTTAATTAACTTACATACTTGGTTAGTGGCAGAGCAGGAATCTGACTTCAAAGCCCATGTGCCTAGCCATTATGCTAAGCTGTCTCTTAGAAACAGGTAGGTTTTGAGTGCCCAGCACTCATTTAACATGTATGTATTTAGTGCAAAGTTCTCGCCCTTGAGGACCTCATATCCAAAGTCATAGTGTAGAGATGTGCAGGGTCAAATTGATCTTTGTACCCACCCCGGAAGATCTGAAAGAACCCCAGGTCTTCAGCAAGTGGAGCAATTTCCTCTGTTAGGATGTAAGACCGAAAGAGACACACCCACAACCAGAGTCACCCACACTCCGATGGGGCTAGCGATAGTCAGTCTGGCCATGTGGTGCCACTTCCTCTCTGGTTTGTAAGCACTTTCTCTTCTATTTCTACTAACAAGGCATTTAAAGAAACAATTGTGTTCTTTAGTCAGAAGAAAAATTGCATTTTGTTTAGTCTGAAATAAATAAATTTAAAGCTACACTGCAGAAATAAAACCTTTAAAAATCACATAAATGATCATATATTTTTTCTGGGTTTTCTTACTAATATGCATAGCACTACAGTACTTAATTGTTTCCACAGTCAGAGCCTAGAATTTTAAAACTCCAAGATAGTTGTCTAATGCCATTTTACATAAAAAGATTAGATTGAAACTTTCGTCTCCTCATTTCCAGTCCTGCACTCTTTCCACTGAAAGACTGTCATTCTTTAACTATGCTAGTTTTAATTCCCTGCCTGAAGAATTGTGTCCTTTCTTCCCTTCTGCCAAATTCCTATTGATTGGCTGGTGATGAGTTAGTAAATGCTTGATGAGAATGCCATTTAGGCCTTCAGTGTCAAGATCAAGGAAGGCTTATAAAGAGATGCCTTTCATCTTTTCCTAAAGTCAGTGCCTTAGGTAATCACTTCATGTCCAGAGGCAAAGAGTCCCCCAGATGAGGTGCCATGACTCGGGGAACTCTGGCCTCAGCTTTGTCAGCTCATTAAGAATACTGTCTACCACAAAGTGACTTTTGAACACACTAAGTAGCAAGAATCAAATGGTTTCTGCAGCGACAGGGTCAGCTGGATCAGAGCCTCAGCCTTGAAATAAATCAGATATTGAAGAAGTAAACAACAAAAGAAGCTGAAGACAGACTGGATACAGACATGGTGCTTTTATCTGTCAGCCAGCAAGCCATCAGCTTTCTCTTTTGCAAAGAGACATGGTGTTTCTATAGTGCCATCTTATACGTTGGGTTACATGCCCATCTTACTTGCTTGTTTGTCAGCTCTTGGAGAGCAAGGACCCTATCATGCATATTTTTATTCCTTAGTTTGCAGCACATTCTCTTTTATATAACAGGTGTTTGATGTATGAAGAAATAAAAAAGAAAGGAAGGAAAACTCTATGTCCTGTATCCTGAAGAAATTTATAATAAGGCTTATTGCTTTTCTCCCAGACTGTATAAAATTCAATGATAGAAAACATGCAGAATTATCTTGTAGAAGAAATAGAGAAAATGGAGAACAAGAGAGGCTATTAAAGACAGGAATTAATTTATGGCAGGGTAGGGAGGCTCATGCCTGTAATTCCAACATTTCGGGGAGCCAAGGTTGGTGAACTGTTTGTGCTCAGGAGTTTCAGTCCAGCCTGAGCAACACGGCAAAACCCCATCTCTACAAAAAATACAAAAATTAGCCAGGCGTGGTGGCGCATGCCTGTAATCCCAGCTACTTGGAAGACTGAGGAGAAAGGATCGCGTGGGCCCGGGAGGTTGAGGCTGCAGTGAGCTGTGATGATAAATACAGAAATAAATAAAAAGAAGAAAGGAATTAACTTTTGTTTAGGGAATACTATGCCAAACACTGTAGCAGGCAATTTGTATATACCATCTTATCTAATCTTACCATAACACCATGAGTCAGATATTCATATTTCTCATTTTTATATCTATAGATAAAGAAACCAGGACTCAAAGATGAAGTAACTTGTTCAAAGTCTGGCAGCTACTAAGTGACAGAGCTGAAATTCAAGCCACCAACTACAAGGTTCATATTCTGTTCACTTCATCAGGCTGTTTACTGTAGGCAAAAATACTATTTTACAGCCATAATTAAACAACTTTCTAGCAAACGGCATTTCTATCATTCTAGCACCACTAGCATTATCGCCTCTTCTCCCATTGACATATTTTTTTAAGGCACTAACCTGGAATTTCTTCTTCCAGTACAGATGGACTAAGGGGGCGCAAACCCCCCTGGGTGAAACAACAAAAAGAAAAACAGATAAAATATATTAAACAACAGCTCTCAAGATACTAGCATCAGGCAACAAACCAAAGTGATCCCTGTGAGATAGTAAACAAATGAGGTGAACCCTATGACAGGTGCAACTTACTGCTTTGCAGAGTTTCCAGGCCATGACACTAAGAGGAGATATCCAAGCAGAGCCCAGTGAATGACCCAGATTGAGGAGACAGAGCTGAAAGTCCAAGAAGACCCAAGGCAGCTGGAATTTGCAAGACCGAGTACCAGAGAAAAGAGGGCTGAGCAGAGATAGAATTCCAGAGATTTGTAAAGGGTCTCCCTTAAGTATTTAGCAGAGTATTAATCATTGTAGGCATTTGAGGCAGTTACCTGTGGCCAGGAAAAAAACCACCCAAGAGGATTAAAGGAAACAGTGTTTTAGCACTCACACAAGGCCAGAAATAGCCTATTTTCCCATCCAGATTGACTTAACTTCGTAATTTGTGGGGCTTTGGGTAAAAAAGTCTACTCATTAGTTAGTCTTACCTCAGTAGTAGGGAATAAGTAGATGTAGACTAAACACTATACTGGTACCACCAAAAAAGCTTTAAAAACAGACTTAAAAGAAGTAAATGCTTTTCAAGTAATTTAACTGCATCCTAGAACAAAAGACATGCAATTGGAGTCCCTGAAAGGAGGATGTGAGAAAAAATATTACAGGAAATAATGACTAAAATTGTTTCAAATTTGATGAAAGGATAGACACAAGAAACTCAACAAAACTCAAAGCGTACAAGAAACATGAAGAAGCCAGGTGCAGTGGCTCATACTTGTAGTCCCAGCTGCTTGGGAGGCTGAGGCAGGAGGATCTCTTGAGCCCAGTAGATTGAATCTGCAGTGAGCTGTGAACGCACCACTGTACTCCAGCCTGGGAGACAGAGCAAGACCCTATCAAAAAAAAAAGGAAGAGACATGAAGAAAACTACACTAAGGCACACAATAATCAAACTGCTCAAAATCAGTGATAAAGTGAAAATCTTAAATGCAACCAGAAGGAAAAAGACATTATATACAGAGAAACAACGATAAGGATGACATTAGATTTAACTTCAGTAATAATGCAATCCAGAAAACAGTGGAACAACATTTTTAAAGTGCTGAAAGAAAAAAGCTAGAATTCTACTCTCAGTAAAAATGTCTTTATAAGAATTTTTTTCCTTTTTTTCTTTTTTCCTTGAGATGAAGTCTCACTCTGTTGCCCAGGCTGTTCTTGAACTCCTGAGCTCAAACAACTCTCTGCCTTGGACTCCTAAAGTGCTGGGTGGGATTACAGGCGTGAACCACCGTGCCTGGCCAGGACATTTTTGGACATACGAAGCTGAAAGAGTTCATCACCAGCAAATCCATACTACAAAAAATGTTAAAGAAATTCTTCAGGCAGAAGAAAAATACCCTATATGAAAATTTTAATCTGCACAAATAAATGAAGAGAACCAAAAATGGTAATACATGGCATGATTGTTAATTTTATGTGCCAACTTAGTGGCCATGAGGTGCCCAGATTAAACATTATTCCTGGATGTGTTTGTGAGGGTGTTTCTGAATGAGATTACATTTGAATCAGCGGACTCAGTAAAGTAGATTGCCCTCCCAGTGTGGATGGGCCTCATCCAATCTGTTAGGAGCCTAAATGGAATAAAGTGTGGCAGAAAGGAAAATTCACCCCTTTTGCTTCCTGCCTGTCTGGTTGAACTGAGACATCTCATCCCATCTTCCCTAGCACTCAGATTGGGATTTACAACACCAGGTCCCTTGGTTCTCAGGCCTTTGGACTTGGACTGAATTACACCACTGCTTTCCGCGGTCTCCCAACTCGTGGATGGCAGACTGTGGGACTTCTTAGCCTCCATAATCATCGGAGCCAATTTCTCATAATAAACATATTTACTATACCCTACTGGCTCTGTTTCTTTGGAGAACTCTGACCAATACACATGAGTAAATACATAAAGTATTTTTTCTTATTTACATCTATTAAAAGATAGTTGACTGTTTACCCAACAGTAGTAACAATGTGTTTGGGGGTTTATAATATATGTAAAGGTGAAATGCATAATACTAACAGCATAAATGCAGGCAAGGGAGAAAAGGAAGTCTACTGTTATAAATTTATTGTACTATACATGAAGTCCTATAATATCACTTGAAGTTAAACTGTAATAAGCTAAAGAAGTATAAGCCTGGCCAGACACAGTGGCTCACGCCTGTAATCCCAGCATTTTGGGAGGCCAAGGAGGGGATGATCGCTTAAGTCCAGAAGTTCAAGACCAGTCTGGGCAACATGGTGAGATCCCATCTCTACAATAAGTAAAAAAAGTTTACCAGGTGTGGTGGTGCATGTCTGTAGTCCCAGCTGCTGGGGAGGCTGAGGTGGGAGAATTCCCTGACCCCAGAAGTTTGAAGCTGTAGTGAGTCATAATCATACCATTCCACTCCATCCTGAGCAACAGAGTGAGACCCTGCCTCAATTAAAAAAAAAAGAGAGAGAGAGAAGTATACGCCCTACAAAGCTATAAAAAACAATAAAATAACAAAACAAGTTATAGGGAATTCATCAGCCAAAAAAAAAAGATAAAATGGTATCATACTTGCACACCAATGTTTATAATAGTTCTATTCACAATACCCAAAAGGTGGAAACAACCCAAATGTCCATCAACAGAAGAATGGATAAACCAAATATGGTATATATATATACAATGGAATATTATTCAGCCTTAAAAAGGACTGGAATTCTGATACATGCTATAACATGAATGAACTTTGTCAACACTATCCTAAGTAAAATAAGCCAGACAGAAGAGGACAAATATTTTATGATTCCACTTTTACGAGATACATAAAATAGACAAAATTATAGAGATGGAAAGTAGAATACAAGTGTACCAGGGCTTGGGAGGAGAAGGGCATGGGGATTTATTATTTAATGGATACAGAGTTTTTATTAGGGATGATGAAAAAGTTCTGGAAATTGATAGTAATAATAGTTACAAACATTGTCAATACACTTAATGCCACTAATTGCATATTTAAGAGTGGCTAAGATGGTAAAGTTTATGTTATGTATATTTTACTACAATAAAAAAATTTTAAAGCTATCACAAAAGATTCAATTAAAAGGCATTCATTTACGTCCTATGGATTTTGCCTTACTTACGGTTTCAACTCTCCTTCATTATGCTTTTAAACTGTTTATCTTTCAATTTATAGAAATGATTTTTTCCTTCTAACATCACATTCTGTGATGATGCTTATTTATCTATATTACAGCAAGGGTCACTGTGCTCCTTCCATCATTCAACTTCCATGCAAACTCAGCCAAGGCCAGGAGTGGTACTCCTAGATTACAAAACTTAGAGCTCAGTCCTTTTAAACCAGGTGCCCATGCTCTCCCAACAAGGTCTCCATTTTTCAAGAGCACTGAATTGTTACTTGAAGACCCAGAATAACAGTCCACCAGGAACCAGGCAGCTATTACTTTACCATCTTCCAAATAAGGTGTTTCTTTTTTTTTTTTTTTGGAGACACAGTCTCACTGTCTCCTAGGCTGGAGTACAGGGCTGTGATCTCTGCTCACTGCAACCTCTGCCTCCCAAGTTCAAGTGATTCTCCTGCCTCAGCTTCCCGAATAGCTGGGATTACAGGCACGTGCCACCACACCCAGCTAACTTTTGTATTTTTAGTAGAGACGTGGTTTCTCCATGTTGGCCAAGCTGGTCTCGAACTCCTGACCTCAAGTGATCCACCCGTCTCAGCCTCCCAAAGTACTAGAATTACAGGCGTGAGCCACCATGCTTGGCCCAAATAAGGTGTTTCTGATTACATCTCCTTATCCACAACATTGCCACCTGCCCTCTACATCTGTACCCAAGTGTGGCTAACCTTAGTGTTTCCAGTGAACCTGTTACCCACATTGCTCAGGGAGCTATCTTCAGTGATTCAGAGGTCAGTTACTTTCTTAAGAGAGACCAAAGCAATTTTCTGCCACTCTCTTGCTAGAGAAAAGAGAGGAAAACACTCACAGTCACTCATGCTCTAGGTCTACTTTGGAGAAGGGTAGCCTTCTATATTTGAAAATTATTTTCGGTCTTCCTTGATCATGAAAAGAAGAGGTATACAAACCCTTATTTTTCTACAACTGGCTATAATGCCTTAAGACTAAAAAATTTCTTTTAATTTTAAAAATAAAAACTGTCAGTGTTTCAAAAGCAGAAAGTACATCTGTAAAAATAAAAGAAAAAAAGACTGTTAGTGTTTCTGTTGGGGTGGTTGATTAGATCCATGGTTCATACCCATGCTGATCTCCATATCAAATGGTGGCTCCTCCACACCCCACTCTTCCCTTCCCATCACACTTTCTCATTTTTTGTAATGTAGACAGGCTGAGAATTTTCCAAATCCTTAAGCTCTGCCTCCTTTTTGCTTAACAATTTTATCTTCTCTTTATTTCTCTCTTCTTGCTAGCTGCTCCTTCAACATTCACTTGCAAGTTCTACCTTCCACAAAACGCTAGAACATGAACACAATTCAGCCAAGTTATTTGCCAATTTATAACACGGATAGTCTTTTCTCCATTGTACAATAACATGTTTTCCCATTCTGAGACCGTATAAGAATTGCCCTTAATGTCCATATTTCCACCAACACTCTGTACATGATTGATTGTTGTCTAATAAGATGAAAACTTTCTCTACAGCACTCCTCTTTTTTTGAGCTCTCACCAGATCACCTTTAAAATCTCTTCATAGCAATATTGGCTTTATCCAGCATGCACCTCAAAACTTTTCCAGCCTCCACCCATTACCCAACTTCAAAGCCACTTCCCCATTTCTAGGTAATTGTTACATCAGCACCTTACTCCCACTACCAATTTCTGTCTTAGTTCAGGCTGCTAAAACAGCATTGATGGGGTGGTTTGAACAACAAACATTTACTTCTAGCAGTTCTGCAAGCTTGGAAGTTAAAGATCAAGGCACCAGCAGATTCAGTGTTTGCTGAGAGCTCTCTTTCTGGTTTGCCGAAGACGGTATTCTTGTTGTATCTTTACCTGGCCAAGAAAGAAATCATCTCCCTCATGTTTCTTCTTATAAGGGCACTAATCCCATTCATGAGGGCTCTACTCTTAGGACCTAATTCCCTCCCAAAGGCTCCACCTCCCAATACCATCACATTAGGGGTTAGGATTCCGATGTATGGATTTGGGGGGGACTCAAACAGTCCATTATGCTTAGGCTTTTCATCTGAAATAGTGCATTGGTTACCAAAACCAAATCAAAATGATTAATAATAAGAACAATAATAAAAGTAGCAGCTAGAGTAATAGCCAACCAAAAACTGAATGTTTACTTTGTACTTTACAAAACACTTTACATATATTATTCCATTTATTCCTCATCATAATTCTACAAGTAAGAAACTATTATTAACATTGAGTATACATAGACACAAAGAAGAGAAGAATAGACACCAGGGCCTACTTGAGGGTGGATGGTGGGAGAAAGGTAAGGTTTGAAAAACTACCCACTGGGGCCGGCGCAGCGGCTCACACCTATGATCCCAGCACTTTCGGAGGCCGAGGCAGATGGATTACCTGAGGTCAGGAGTTTGACACCAGCCTGGCCAACATGGTGAAACCCTGGCTCTACCAAAAATACAAAAATTAGCAGGGCATGGTAGTGGGTGCCTATAATCCCAGCTACGCGGGAGGCTGAGGCAGTAGAATCACTTGAACCTGGGAGGCGAAGGTTGCAGTGAGCCAAGATT
Source organism: Homo sapiens (assembly GCF_000001405.40). Taxonomy (NCBI): domain Eukaryota; kingdom Metazoa; phylum Chordata; class Mammalia; order Primates; family Hominidae; genus Homo; species Homo sapiens. Next base: position 195,544,154 of record NC_000002.12, read on the forward strand.
GCGCCATTGCACTCCAGCCTGGGCAACAAAAGAGAAACTATGTCTGAATAAAAAAAGGGGGGTGGGGGGGATGGGAGGGGAGGGGGAGGGGAGGGGAGAAAAAAAAACTATCCATTGGGTACTATGCTGATTACCTAGGTGACAAAATTATCAGTACACCAAATGCCCATGAAATGTAACAAACCTGCACATGTACTCCTGAACCTAAAATAAAAGTTGGAAAGAAAAAGAAACTATTATTATGCCTATTTTCCATGGAAAGCTATTTAACTAGAAAAACTCAACTCAGCAGCTAATTAATAGATGCCATACCAGAAACAATAAAGTAGCAGGTGATTACCCTCCTGCTGTTACTACAGCAGATAGGCCAAATCAATTTATTTCAACAAATGTTTATAAAGTTCCTAGCACGTACCAGTACTACACTATGCACTGGGGATACAAAGAAAGGGTTAGTCATGGGCCCTGCCAAGGAGCTCATAATCTGGTGATGAGTATTTTAAAGGCAAAAAACAAGAGGCAGTAAGATTCGTTAAGTGTACTACAGGAGTATGGGATATACAGAGAAGGAAGTGAATCATATCATGTAAACTTTTTTATCTCAAAAAACAACACTAAGTTACACATTAACTGGAAGAACAGCAGCAGCAATAAGAGTGTAAGCAAAAAATGAGTGTGAGGGAAAGTACATAAAACAGTGTCTTGGTGTTTTTATATCTTTTCATATTTTTATATAGGTTTCTGGATTTGATTTGAAGCATACAAATGGTGATAACAAGCAAGTAGAGAGATACACTATTTCATTTTTCCCAATACTTTTTAAAAAAACGTTTGTTAGCTTTCTTTACCAACCTTTTATCTCAATACCTAGGAAAGTCTATTGAATCAATGCAATCAAATTTAGAAATAGTTCTTGGCAATGACCCAAATTGGCAAGCAGATTAACTAATTGGATTTTTAGTCTCTATCAATAATGACACTAGTTCATTAAAATTGCTATACATTTTAGTGTAGAAAAATTTAGGCCAGGCACAGTGGCTCACACCTATAATCCCAGCACTTTGGGAGGCCGAGGCGGGTGGATCACCTGAGGTCGGGAGTTCAAGACCAGCCTGACCAACATGGAGAAACCCCATCTCTACTAAAAATACAAAATTAGCCGGGTGTGGTGGTGCATGCCTGTAATCCCAGCTACCCGAGAAGCTGAGGCAAGAGAATCACTTGAACCCAGGAGGCGGAGGTTTCGATGAGCAGAGATCGCGCCATTGCACTCCAGCCTAGACAACAAGAACAAAACTCCATCTCAAAAAAAAAAAAAAAAAAAAAAAAGGAAAGAAAAAAAGAAAAATTTAGAGGGGCTGGGCACAGAGGCTCACGCCTGTAATCCCAGCACTTTGGGATGCTAAGGCAGGAAGATAACTTGAGGTCAGGAGTTCGAGACCAGCCTGGGCAACATGGTGAAACACCATCTCTACTAAAAATACAAAAATTAGCCAAACGTGGTGGCACAGGCCTGTAATCCCAGGTACTCGGCAGGTGGAGGCAGGAGAATCGCTTGAACCTGGGAGACGGAGGTTGCAGTGAACCGAGATCACGCCATTACACTCCAGCCTAGGCAACAGAGCAAGACTCCATCTCAAAAAAAAAAGAAAAAAAAAAAAACTTAGATAAATCTTTCTTATACAGTGCTGCTGGCCTTCCTTCTTAAGAGTGAACAGTCCATAAATTCAATAACAGAAAAAGCTATGCTTCTTAGTTCACTGAATAAATCGTTGTGATTCAAATTACAAGTTTTGTTTGTTTTTTGAACGCTGCAGAAGGCAATTCTGAACTGGCCAGAATATCATCAAATTTGGTTAAGGCTGGGTGTGGTGACTCAAGCCTGTAATCCCAGGACTTTGTGAAACTGAGGCAAGAGAATTCCTCAAGCCCAAGAGTTTGAGACCAGCCTGGGCAACATAGGAAGACTCCTGCTTCTACAAAAACAAAAATAAAAAAGTAAGTCAGGCATAGTGGCAAGCACCTACCGTCCCAGCTACTGAGGAAGCTGAGGTGGGAGGATCACTTGAGCCTGGGAGATCAAGGCTGCAGTAAGCCATGATCACACTGTGGCATTCCAGCCTGGGCAATAGAGCGTGACGTTATCACAAATAAATAAGTAAATAAAAATTTAAAAATAAAAGAAAGTTGGTTAAGTAAAACTATAATTGACCATAATTGACTTTTTGTTGTTTTTGAGACCAAGTCTCACTCTGTTGCCCAGGCTGGAGTACTGTTGCGGCATTTTGGCTCACTACAGCACTATAATAAAAAATTAAACAGTGCAGTGGCTCACACCTGTAATCCTGGGTCCGGAATTGGCGGGTTCTTGGTCCCACTGACTTCAAGAATGAAGCCGCGGAGCCTCACGGTGAGTGTTAACAGTTCTTAAAGGCAGCGTATACGGAATTTGTTCCTTCTGACTTTAGGATATGTTCGGAGTTTCTTCCTTCTGGTGGGTTCGTGGTCTTGCTGGCTTCAGGAGTGAAGCTGCAGACGTTCGAGGTGAGTGTTACAACTCTTAAGGTGGCACGTCTGGAGTTGTTCGTTCCACCCGGTGGATTCGTGGTCTCAACGGCTTCAGCAGTGAAGCTGCACACCTTTGCAGTGAGTGTTACAGCTCATAAAAGCAGCCTGAACCCAAACGGCAAGCAGTAGCAAGATTTATTGCAAGAAGCGAAACAACAAACCTTCCACAACGTGGAAGACGACCACAGGGAGTAACCCCGCTGGCTCGGGCAGCCGGCATTTATTCTCTTATCTGGCCCCACCCACATCCTGCTGATTGGTCCATTATATAGAGAGCCGATTGGTCTGTTTTACAGAGAGCTGATTGGTCCATTTTGACAGGGTGCTAATTGGTGTGTTTACAATCCCTGAGCTAGACACAAAAGTTCTCCACCTCCCCACTAGATTAGCTAGATACAGAGTGTGGATTGGTGTATTTACAAACCCTGAGCTAGACACAGGGTGCTGATTGGTGTGTTTACAAACCTTGAGCTAGATACAGAGTGCCGATTGGTGTATTTACAATCCCTCAGCTAGAGATAAAGGTTCTCCAAGTCCCCACTAGACTCAGGAGCCCAGCTGGCTTCACCCAGTGGATCTCACACTGGGGCCGCAGGTGGAGCTGCCTGCCAGTCCCGCGCTGCCATGGGCCCGCACTCCTCAGCTCTTGGGCGGTTGATGGGACGGGGCGCCCTGGAGCAGGGGGTGGCGCTTGGTCGGGGAGGCTCCTGCCCGGCAGGAGCCCACGGCACGCGGGGGTTGGGGGAGGCTCAGGCATGACGGGCTGCAGGTCCCCAGCCCTGCCCCGCGAGGAGGCAGCTAAGGCCGGCGAGAAATCGAGCGCAGCAGCTGCTGACCCAGGTGCTAAAGCCCGAACTGACCGGGGAGCCCCGCCGGCCGCGCCTAGTGCGGGCCCGCCGAGCCCACGCCCACCCGGAGCTGGCGCTGGCCTGCAAGCACAGTGCGCAGCCCCGGTTGCCTCCCGCGCCTCTCCCTCCACACCTCCCCGCAAGCTGAGGGAGCCGGCTCCGGCCTTGGCCAGCCCAGAAAGGAGCTCCCACAGTGCAGCAGCGGGCTGAAGGGCTCCTCAAGCGCGGCCAGAGTGGGCGCCAAGGGCGAGGAGGCACCGAGAGCGAGCGAGAGCTGCCAGCAGGCTGTCACCTCTCAATCCCAGCACTTTGGGAGGCCGAGGCAAGTATGTCACTTGAGCTCAGGAGTTCAAGACTAGCCTGGCTAACGTGGTGAAACCGCGTCTCTACTAAAAATACAAAAATTAGCCAGGCGTGGTGGTGCATGCCTGTAATCCCAGCTACTCGGGAAGGTTAGGAACAAGAATCGCTTGAACCCGGGAGGCAGAGGTTGCAGAGAGCCAAGATCACATCACTGCACTCCAGCCTGAGTGACAGAGTGAAACTGTGTCAATAAATAAATAAATAAATAAATAAAGCAGGATAAGACAGAGAAGGTTGGGGGCTCACAGATACATTATCACATGAGTAAAACCTGCAGGAAGTAAAGAAACAATCCAAGTAGATCTTCCAGGAGAAGGAACAGCTATTGCTAAAGCTCTGAGGCAAGAGCATTCCTATCCTGAAGAAAGAGGAAAGGAAAGGAAGAAGGAAGAGGGATGGAGGGAGGGAAGGCAGGCAGGAAGGAGAAAGGAAAATGGCTTGGGACTTGCAACAGGGGTGTGGCTTGTTTGCTTTCTTATAGGAGAGGGAGCACACAGATGGCCAGGTGCAGGAGCCAGGGCAAGCTCTTTTGGGCTCTGGCCTCACAGTAACGTTTAGGGGTGTGTTACAATTAATGCTCTTTTAGCCACTGCCATCCACAGACAGCTGAGTGTTTAAACCAGCTCAGTGGAGAGTTAGGGTGGCAGCCTTTTATGCCTTACACTTTTGGTACCAGAGCCCTTGTCCAGAATCAGGTCACACGGACTTGAGGAATGGTGAATGTGGGGATTTTACTGAGTGGTGGAGGTGGCTCTAAGTGGGATGGATGGGGAGCTGGAAAGGGGATGGAATAGGAGAATGATCTTCCCCTGGAGTTCAGCCTTCCTACAGCCAATCTCCTCTTCGAGCATCCCCAGCTGAATTCCTCTCAGTGTTCAGATGCTCCTTCTATTCTCTCCTTCTCTGCTGCACCAGTCTGCCACTCTGCTGCTCTTCTGCTCCTCTGCTCATCTGCTCGTGGAGCCTAGGGTTTGGAGTTTATATGGGTATGGGATAGAGGGGCATGGCAGGCCAAAAGGCAACAGTTGGGCACAAAAACAGGTATCCTGTTTTCATTTAGGGCCATGGGTTCAGGCTTGAGGTTGGAGCCCTCGCCAGGGACCCTGCCCTCCTGCCTCCTGTCTCTATCAAAAAGAAGCCAATATGGCAGACTTGAAGGAAGTTATAAGACATAGGACAGAGCGGGGCCGGGAGACACACATAGAGTGCCTTGTGGGCCATTGTAAGAACCTTGGCTTTTACTCTGAGACAGAAGTCACTGAAAAGTTTTAAACAGAGGCATGTTGCAATCCATCAGAGTTTCATTTTAAAAGAATTTCTCTACCTGTTGGGTTGCGAAGAACCTTCAGTAGACTAGCACTAAGGTAGAGACCAGTGCAAAGCTACTACATTCATTCAGGAGAGAAAGAATAGCAGACTGCATCTGCATAGTAGAGGTGAAGGAGGAGAAAAATGGTTGCACTCTGGATGGATATATTTTGATGGTAGAGCCCACAAAATTAACTGATAGATTAAATGTGGGTTGTGAGGCAAGAATCAAAATGACACCATGGTTTATGACTCAAGCAATTGGAAGAATAAAATTTCCTTTTACTTAGATTGAAAAAACTGTAAGAGGAGCAGATTTGGGGCTGGAAGCAGTTGGGGGTGGGAGGGCATGGAGAGGAATACCAGGACCTGTTGATAGACACAAAAGTGGCACTGTCAGTAAGAGGTTGGATATATGAGTCTAGAGTTCAGGGGAGAGGGCTGGGCTGGAAATATAAATTTGGGAGCCGTCAGCATATAGAGTGTATTTAAAATCATGGTATTGGATGAGGTCATCTAAGGAGTAAGTGTAATTAGAGAAAAGAAGAGCCCACAAAACATACCAATATTCAGAGGTCACAAAGAATGGAAAGAACCAGCAAAGAAGATTGAGAACAAAAAAACCAGGATCAATATAGGGTCAAGAGAGGTTTTGGGTTTTTTTTTTTTTTTTATTGTTTTTGCTGTTTTTAAGGTAGGAGAAATTACAACTTGTTGATATATTTTCTTATTGCATTATAACACTTTTCAATTACAAAGTAGATTCAGATAAATTTAACTCTGTCCTCTTAGAATTCTCTAGATGTACCAAGGTGACCCATTTGTCTCATAGTATTCTATTTGCTTTTACATTTTGCTAATGAACTGCCTTACTGTAGTTCATAAAATAAACAACATATATTCTACTAGCCTTTTCTAAATATTTTCATATCTTGCATGCGTTGGAATCATTAATAAAGACTTGAAAATTAAAAGTGTGCTCTGCATATGTGTGCGTGTGAGAGAGATATTTGAAAGCAAACTGGATATTACTTAAAGCCTAAAATTCATAATTCATTTTAGCCAAACTCCTAAAAAGAGAAATTGATCATGCAGAAAAATAGTTCACCCAGAAAGTAAGATTATTTCCTCTTGTATGTAATAATTTTTCTCCTTTAATCTCCCTGATCTTTCCAAATGAACACCCTCCAAAAATTAAATTTACTTTAGATATGCATAATTTCTAAGATTCTGATTCTAGTAATTTTTTGTGCAGATTTTACAAAGAATTCAATGAAATTTGTGAGTATGGATCAACTGCAGAACAAGACTCTCTTAAAAGGCTAATAAGTTTTCAACTGGACAGAATTTTGTTTAGAGAAATATATTGAGCAATGTGAACTCCAAATGTGTGTTTTTCTCTCCTATACAAATAAATTATACAGAGATCTTGTCGGTTTGGTTCCAGACTACCCCAATAAAATGAATATTATAGTAAAGGGAGTCATACAATATTTTGGTTTCCCACTGTATATAAAATTTATGTTTACACTATACTGTAGTGTATTTTTTTAAGCCAGTCAAATTTAGCAGTGGGACTTCAGTTCTATTCGGAGTACAAGAGCATTATGTATTTTAAAAAAAAAAGTAGAAACCTTAATTTTAAAATACATTATGGCTAAAAAATGCTAAGAAACATCTGAGCCTTCAGCAAGTCATCATCTTTTGCTGGTGGAGTGTCTTGCCTTGATGTTGATGGCTGCTGACCGATCAACATGGTCAGCAGTGGTTGCTGAAGGTTGGGGTGGCTGTAAGACAACCTAATCATAGTAAGACAATAATGAAGTTTGTCACATAGATTGATTCTTCCTTTCATGAAAGACTTCTCTGTAGCATGCGATGCTGTTTGACAGCATTTTAGTCTCAGTAGAATTTCTTTCAAAACTGGATTCAATCCTCTCAAACCCTGCTGCTGCTTTATCAATTAAGTTTATGGGTTATTCTAAATCCTTTGTCATCATCTCAACAATGTTCACAACATCTTCACCAGGAATAGATTTTATCTCAAGAGACCACTTGCTTTGCTCATCCATAAGAAGCAGCTCTTGATTTGCTCAAGTTTTATCATGAGATTGCAACAATTCAGTCCCGTCTTCAGGCTCCACTTATAATTCTAGTTCTCTTGCTATTTCCACCACATCTACAGTTACTTCCTTCACTGAATCTTGAAACCTTCGAAGTCATTCATGGGGATGGGAATCAACTTCTTCCAAACTCCTGTTAATGTTGATATTCTCCCGTTAATCACCAATGCTCTTAATCGCATCTAGAATGGTGAATCCTTCCCAGAAGGTTTTCAATATACTTTGCCCAGATCCATTAGAAGAGTCACCATCTATGGCAGCTATAGTCTTACAAAATGTATTTCTTCAAGAGTAAGACTTGAAAGTCGAAATTACTTCTTGATCCATGGGCTGCAGAATGAATGCATGAAAACAACATTTGTCGTCCTGCACATCTCCATCAGACCTTTTGGGTGACCAGGTGCATTATCAATAAGCAGTAATATTTTGAAAGGAATCTTTTTTTCTGAGCAGTAGATCTCATCACTGGGCTTAAAATATTTAGTAAACCATGCTGTAAACAGAAGTGCTGTCATCCATTTATAGAGCACAGGCAGAGTTGATTTAGCATAATTCTTAAGGGGCTTAGAATTTTCAAAGTGACAAATGAGCATTGTCTTCAACTCAAAGTCACCAGCTGCAATAGACCCTAACAGGAAAGTTAGCCTATCCTTTGACACTTTGAAGACAGACATTGACTCCTGTCTAGTTATGAAAGTCCCAGACACCATCTTCTTTCAACAGAAGGCTGTTCTGTCGCCATTGAAAATCTGTTGTTTAGTGTAGCCACTTCCATTACTGATCTTAATTAGATCTTCTGGATAACTTAGTGCATCTTCTACTTTGGCACTTGCTGCTGCTTCACCTTTTTTTTTTTTTTTTTTTTGAGACGGAGTCTTGCTCTGCAACCCAGGCTGGAGTGCATGGTGCACTCAGCTCACTGCAACCTCCATCTCCCAGGTTCAAGCGATTCTCCAGACTCAGCCTCCTGAGTAGCTGGGACTACAGGTGGCTGCCACCACATCCAGCTAATTTTTGTATTTTTAGTAGAGATGGGGTTTCACCATGTTGGCCAGGCTAGTCTCAAACTCCTGACCTCAGGTGATCTGCCCACCTCGGCCTCCCAAAGTGCTGCGATTACAGGTGTGAGCCACCGCACCCAGCCTCATCTTGTACTTTTATGTTATGGAGATGGTTTCTTTCCCTAAACCTCACGGACCAACCTCTACTAACTTCAAACATTTTTTTTCTCAGCTTCTTTACCTCTCTCAGCTTTCATAGAATTGAGGAGAGACACTTGCTCTGGACTAGGCTTTGGCTTAAGAGAATGTTGTGGCTGATCTTCTGTCAAGACCACTAAAACTTTCTCCATGTCAGCAATAAGGCTATTTGACTTTCTTATCGTTCATATGTTCACTGGAGTTTCACTTTTAATTTCCTTCAAGAACTTCTCCTTTGAATTTACAACTTGGCTAACTGTTTGGAGCAAGAAGTCTAGCTTTTGGCCTGTCTTGACTTTTGGCATGCCTTCCTCACCACCCTTAAACATTTCTAGCTTTTGATTTAAAGTCAAAGATGAATGACTCTTCCTTGTACTTGAACACTTAGAGGCCATCATAGGATTACTAACTGGCCTAATTTCTTTTTTCTTTTCTTTTCTTTTTTTTTTCTTTTTTCTTTTTTTTTTTTTTTTTTTGAGATGGAGTCTCACTCCCATCACCCAGGCTGGAGTGGAGGGGCGGGATCTCAGCTCACTGCAACCTGCACCTACCGGGTTCAAGCGATTCTCCTGCCTCAGCCTCCTGAATAGCTGGAACTATGTGCATGCCACCATGCCCAACTAGTTTTTTTATTTTTAGTACAGACAGGGTTTCACCATGTTGGCCAGGCTGGTCTCAAACTCCTGATGTCAAGTGATCCACCTGCTTCGGCCTCCCAAAGTGCTGGGATTATAGGTGTGAGCCACTGCACCCGGCTATAACTGGTCTAATTTCAACATTGTTGTGTCACAGAGAATGAGGAGGCCTAAAGAGAGAGTGGAAGGAAAAGGCCAGTCAGTGGAGCAGTCAGAACACCTACAAGACTTATTGATTAAGCTTACCCTCATATATGGGTGTGGTTCCTGATGTACCAAAACAATTACAATAGTAACACAAAAGAGCACTGATCAAAGATCACTATAACAGATATAGTAATAATGAAAAAATTTGATGTATTGCAAGAATTACCAAAATTTGACATAGAAATGCAAAGTGAGCGTATACTGTTGGGAAAATGGTGCCTACTTCCTCCACTGAATCTTGAAACCTTCAAAGTCATTCATGAGAGTTGGAATCCAACCTCCTCCTATCCAACCAAACTCCTGTTAATGTTGATGTTCTCCTGTGAATCACTAACGCTCTAAATGGCATCTAGAATGGTGAATGCTTCCCAGAAGATTTTCAATATACTTTGCCAGAAGATTTTCAATATACTTTGCCTTGTATACTTTCAATATACTTTGCCAATATACTCAGCTCAAGGTTGCCACAAACCTCCAATTTGTAAAAAATACAAGGCACAAGCCAGGCGCGGTGGCTCACGCCTGTAATCCCAGCACTTTGGGAGGCTGAGGCAGGTGGATCATCTGAGGTCAGGAGTTCGAGACTAGCCTGGCTAACATGGTGAAACACCGTGTCTACTAAAAATACAAAAATTAGCTGGGCCTGGTGGCACAGGCCTGTAATCCCAGCTGCTTGGGAGGCTGAGGCAGTAGAATCGCTTGAACCCAGGAGGTGGAGGTTACAGTAAGCCAAGATCAAACCACTACACTACAGCGTGGGTGACAGAGCAAGATTCCGTGTCAAACAGGAAAAAAAAAAGGCACAATAAAGTGAAATGAAATAAAATGAGGTATGCCTGTATGTGGAATAAATCGTGCCTGTGTGAGTTTTGCTTTGTTTGGTGTTTGGAACTTTTTTGTTTGGTCTGAGATATTATATTTACACACTGCTATTCTGGGCCTATGGTCTCAAGAAAAATCATTGCAAACTTATTATTTACAAGTCATGATTTAGGCTGGAGAACATGAAGGAACCCCATCTCTACTAAAAATACAAAATTTAAAAAAATACGAAATACAAAAATTAGCCCGGCATGGTGGCGGGCGCTTGTAGTCCCAGCTACTCAGGAGGCTGAGGCAGAAGAATGGCATGAATCCAGGAGGCGGAGCTTGCAGTGAGCCGAGATGGGCCCACTGCACCCCAGCCTAGGCAACAGAGCGAGACTCTGTCTCAAAAAAATATTAATAATAATAATAATAATTTTCTTCTGACTACTCACCCGAATGTTTGTAATAAAAGACAAATGAGTTTAAGGATATCTGAGTACAAATAATATATAAATCACAACTTCTTTTTTTCTTTTTTGAGACAGTCTCGCTGTGTCATGCAAGCTGGAGCGTGGTGGCATGATCACAGCTCACTGCAGCCTCGACATCCTGGGCGCAAGTGATCCTCCCCATCAGCCTCCAGAGTAGCTGGGACTACAGGTGCAGGCCACCATGCCTAGCTAATTTTTGTATTTTTTGTAGAGACAGGGTTTTGCCATGTTGACCAGGCTGGTCTCGAACTCCTGACTCAAGCTATCCACCCTCCTTGGCATCCCCAAGTGCTGAGATTAGAGGCGTAAACCAGCACTTTTTGAGGCTGCAGCAGGCGGATCACCTGAGGTCGGGAGTTCGAGACCAGCCTGACCAACATGAAGAAACCCCGTCTCCACTAAAAATACAAAATTAGCGGGGCATGGTGGCATGTGCCTGTAATCCCAGCTACTGGGGAGGCTGAGGCAGGAGAATCGTTTGAACCTGGGAGGCGGAGGTTGCAGTGAGCAGAGATTGCACCATTGCACCCCAGCCTGGGAAACAAGAGCAAAACTCCGTCTCAAAAAAATAAAAATAAAAAATACAGAAGAGCGAAAACTTGTTTCATATACCTAACTCCCAAATCTTGAGACCTCATCAAGTGTCAGAAAGTAGACTACCAGGCATTCTGCATAGCCCAGAAAAGCCACTCACAGGACACTCTTGCCTAGAGTAGGCCTAAGAGGAGAATAAAACTTAACAAGAAAAATTCAATTAAATTTTTTCTTACAAGCTGAAATGCCTGAATAAGTTTCGGAATGTAAATGTTTCTTGACCTAAAACTCGTCCATCTCCCTGAGGTCTGCTGTTCTTGAAAATCATTAAGATAAAATAGTCATTCAATAGCTCTTCCTGGGATGAACCACAGCACTGTTAATATTACATCAATATCAATGTTATGATAATTAGGTAGATGAATTATTACAAATATTGCCTACTATTTATAGATGAAGTTTTTTATGTATAGACATCAGTTAATTTATACATCTAAATGTGGGAAAGAAATTATCTGATGTAAAAAAAATTAGGCATCAAGGCTTTTAAATTCAATTTCTAACCTACCACACACTGTGGCCTTGAGCAAATTACTTAACCTCCTGGTGGCTTAATTTATACATCTACAGAAGGGTAAATTACCACCTATGCTATTTACAGAGAGGATGAGGATTTACTTAACATAGTAATTAGTAGAATTCTATCATTTTGGTAAAATTCTAACTCAGCTGGAAATCTACACAGATTTAATTTATGGGAAATCTTAATACTGAAATAACTACTAATGTATTTTTTAAAGGAATTATCCAACTGTAAAATTGGCAAATGTTTCCCTTGGGCTAAACAAATGAATTTACTTTGTTGTAAACTCATCAGCTCACTGGATCAGACTATAGGACTAGAGAGTTCAAGGCCATAGGCATAGTTTCCACATTGCTGAGATACACACACAAAAACTATCTCTGCTATGACCTCAGTTGTATCCCTAATCACATCTCAATCTACTGCTTTATAATACATGGCACAGGTCAGCAAGGAATCTGGTTTGGCCTAAGAATGAGGATGCTTCAGTAATTCCTCTATCAGCATTATTGAAAAAAGCGATGCAAAACCCAAATCTTACTAACTGTATAGGTCAGTAAGATCACCTTTGTTTCATTACTGAAATCTAAGCCTCAGAAACATAGAGGTTTTTGTCTGTTTCTTTATTACCACATCTCAACCTCCTAGAACAATGCCTGATATTTAGTAAGCAATAAACACCTATTTAATAAATCAATTACTCTCAATCAGGAATTTGGAGCTTTCTTTCCTTCCATTCTCAAAGGAATTACAGGATTTTCCAGAAGACGATCATTAAAAAGCCTATTTTTGGATTGTTAGGTTATATAATGCAGTAAAATTGACATACATATTCAAAATATTTACAAATAAACAACGTAAGGACAACCCAGAAGCATTTTTATTCATTATGACATTGACTTATAGGGTGCTACTTTTGACTGTTTGCCCAAAGCCTTCCCAATTTATACCTGTTGACCTAACATAATTATTAATAACACCTTCTTTTATTATCAGGAAGTCTTACTTTTTTTGTTGTTTTTTTTTCTGAGGCGGAGTCTTTTTCTGTCACCAGGCTGGAGTGCAGTGACATGATCTCCACTCACTACAACCTCCACCTCCCGGGTTCAAGTGATTCTCCTGCTTCAGCCTCCCGAGTAGCTGGGACTACAGCGCGCACCACCATGCCTAACTAATTTTTGTATTTTTAGTAGAGATGGGGTTTCACCATGTTGGCCATGATGGTCTCAATCTCTTGATCTCGTGATCTGCCCACCTCAGCTTCCCAAAGTGCTGGGATCACAGGTGTGAGCCATCATGCCCCTCCAATAAAATGTATGCTTAATCCTACCTACTAACCTAAATACACACCAGGAAATTCAGAACCTATTCCTTTTGCAAGTTGACTTTCTCTAAGAAAAGCAAAAAGAAAAAACCTTGACATGATCCATCAGAATGTCTAATAGTAAAGACCAAAATGTACTGTGATATAGTGAAAAGAATAACAACATAGAAGTTTAAAAACTTGAAACATAGGCCGGGCACAGTGGCTCACACCTGTAATCCCAGCACTCTGAGAGTCCAAGGTAGGCGGATCACCTGAGGTCAGGAGCTCAAGACCAGCCGGGCCATGGTGAAACCCCGTCTCTACTAAAAATACAAAAAATTAACCGGGCATGGTGATGTGCGCCTGTAATCCCAGCTACTTGGCAGGCTGAGGCAAGGGAATCACTTGAACCCAGGAGGCAGAGGTTGCAGTGAGCTGAGATCTCACCATTGCACTCCAGCCTAGGCAACAAGAACAAAACTCCATCTAAAAAAAAAAAAAAAACTTGAAATATAGTCTAAATTGTGCCCACTAATTAGCTGGGTAACTTTGGAAAAAAATGTTTAAATGGGTCTCACTTTACACACTGAGGAAGGCAGGATTTATTGACCTAAACAAAAATCTTTAAGAGCCCTCTTGCTCTATTATTTTCTAATTCTTCAGTTTATCTATTGCATTTTCTCCTTTATTTTTATTATTTTTTGAAATATGATTTTTGGCACATTGATTTAATTTTCTAGTGGTTAAATTATTTGAGACATCATTTAAATTCTTTAAAAATCAGGCCAGGTGTAGTGGCTCATGACTGTAATTCCAGCACTTTGGGAGGCCAAGGCGGGCAGATCACTTGAGGTCAGGAGTTTGAGACCAGCCTGGCCAACATAGTGAAATCCCATCTCTACTAAATAAATAAATAAATAATTTAAAAATCTAAAAAGGAGGCAAGCATGGAGGCTCACACCTGTAATCTCAGCTACTTAGGAGACAAAGGCAGGAGGATCACTTGAGTTCAGGAGTTTGAGACCAGCCTTGGCAATATAGCAAGAAACCATCTCTAAAAAAAAAAAAAAAAATGAAAAGAAAAGAAACAAAAAAAACTAAAAAGGATATAAACTTTTGATTCTAATGCTTTATATAGCAAACATATGATTTAGAATAATTTAAATTATTACATTCAAAATATGTGTTTACTTCAAATATATTTTCAGAAACCTTAAACAATAAAAGTAAATAAATAATGCTTTTTAGCCTCATCCATCTAAAAGCAGGTAGATGGGGAGATGACTCATGACCCAGAACCCCAAGATTCTCAGGTCATGGTCACCTTTTGCCACTCTCACCACCACCTCCAACAAAGCAGTGGAAAAGCCTATATGCTGACCTTGTGGTCCAAGGAGATTTAAAGTGTGGTGGGGCATTGTGGGTTGAACAGTATCCCCAAAAAGATTTGCTCAAGTCTGAACCCCTAAAACCTACAAATGGGACCTTATTTGGAAACAAATAAGAGCCTCGGTGATATAATCAAGTTAAGATGAGGTTATACTGCATTAGAGTATATTTACGGAAAGAGGTATGAACATTCTGACAATCAGTATACACTACTGGTAGGAGTGTAAATTCGTTCAACCCTTGTGAAAAGCAGCATGGCAATTCCTCAAAGAGCTAAAAGCAGAACTACCATTCTACCCAGCAATCCCATATATATCCAGAAGAATATAAATCATTCTACCATAAAGACACACACATGCAAATGTTTATTGCAGCACTATTCACAATAGCAAAGATATAGAATCAACCCAAATGACCATCAATGACAGATTGGATAAAGAGAATGTGATACTTATATACCAGGGAATACTATGCAGCTATAAAAAAAGAACAAGATCATGTCTTTTGCGGGAACATGGATGGAGCTGGAGACTATTATCCTTAGCAAACTAATGGAGGAACAGAAAACCAAATACAATATGTTCTCACTTATAAGTAGGAGCTAAATGATAAGAACTACGAACACAAAGAAGGAAACAAAAGACACTGGGACCTACTTAAGTGGGGAGGGCATCAGGAGGGAAAGAAGCAGAAAAGGTAACTATTGGGTACTTGGCCTAACACTTGGATGATAAAATAATGCATACAACAAACTCCCATGACATTGGTTTACCTATGTAACAAACCTTCCCATGTACCCCACAAACCTAAAATTAAAAGTTTAAACAAGGGGAAAATTTAGACATACACAGAGACAGGGCCATTTGATGATGGAGACAGAGATTGGAGGGTTGCAGCTGCAAGCCAAGCAATGCCAAAAATGTCAGCAAGCACCAGAAGCTAGGGGAGCGGCCCAGGTCAGTTTCTCCCTTAGGGCCTCCAAAAGGAACCAACCCTACCAACGCTGATTTTAGACTCCCAGCCTCCACAACCGTGAAACAAATACAGATGTTTAAGCAACCCAGTTTGTGGTGTCTTGTTACAGCAGCCCTAGGAAACTAAAACTGGGAGCATCAAAGCCATTTCCTGCTCTATTGTGTCCTCGTCCCACAGATGAGCCTAGAAATGCCTGACTTGGCTATGTAAAAATACAGAGAACTTGCCACTTTCATGAGAGGCTGACTGCTCATGAACTGTCACAGGACAGGTGCACTTCATCAGCCTCAGCTCATGCTTTACTCATGGTCTTTGTTGGTTCCTTTGAAAGCAGGATGTGGTTTGCCCCAGCTTCCCTCCTTCTTGGAACCAGCATGTAACGCATACTTGTTTTGAGAGTTTTTTTTTTATTATTATTACTATTGCAGAGAAACAGGGCTTTAAAAAGATTCAAAAGCATTTCAAAACTATGAAAATCTCCCAAATATATAAGTGGTATATGTGGGCTTTGCTGAGATGTCATTGCAGTTTGGCCTGTTTATTGTCATCTGGTACCTGCTCCATAAGGATGACAGTTATTATTTGTAGAATCATTCCATGAGCCACTTCTAAAGATGCAGCTTTATTAGGCCACTGAAAATGGAAAGATGAGATACAGTCTCTGATCTCACAGAAATTACACTTCAGAAGGGACAGAAATATTTAAGCAAATCAGGGCAATAGGTGTTAAAAATTAAAAAGTGTACGTGGCATATTGAGGTGGCATAAGTTAGGTATCATTAATAATTTCAAGAATAAAATGATCTTGAATTGAGATTTGGAAAATATAGATATTTGTCAAGTAGGCGAGGCGAGAAAGGGCATTCCAGCATGGGCAATGGTCCAGGTATGTACACACACATACACACTCACACACACATTGGCAAATTTGAGGGAACTGCAAGTAGTTTATTGTGGGTAGAGTAATATAAAATAGAATTGAAAGCAAGTTTTTTAAAATGAGCCTAAGGGAATACGATAGTAGCAAGAGAGAACTTTGTTCAGAAAATTATTGCATACGTTTCTATTTTTTTTTTCTTGTTTTTGAGACAGGGTCTCACTCAGTCGCCCAGGCTGGAGTGCAGTGGCAAGATCTCAGCTCACTGCAGCCTTGACCTCCCGAGCTCAAGCGTTCCTGCCACCTCAGCCTCCCAAGTAAGTTTCTGAGACTATAGGTGTGCGACACGAAGCCCAGCTAATTTTTTTTTTTTTTTTTTTTTTTTTTGTAGAGACTGGGTTTTGCCATGTTGCTCAGGCTGGTTTTAAACTCCTGAGCTCAAGTGGTCTGCCCACCTCAGCCTCCCAAAGTGCTAGGATTACAGGTGTGAGCCACCATATCCAGCCAGGTTTCTATAGTTTTTTTTTAATAGGTAGCTTTCACATGTGACTCCATGCATCAGAGTAGGTAATTCAAAGAAGAGAACCTCATCAGTTAAGACTCACAATATCATAAGGTAAAAACTAATCCTTTGCTCAAAAGAATGAGAAAAATATTTACTATAATCCCAAAGTGTAGTTGTGGTGGCAGAAGGGAAGAAGAGAAAGGAACAGAAATGAAACAAAAATGATCAGGAGGTAGAGTACACTGGACAAAATAACTGTAGGATGGCTCCCAGTTTTCTTGCATTGGTGACAAGGAGAATGGAGACACTGTAAGCTAAAGGCAAGAAAGACAGTGAGTTCAGTTGTGGGAATATCAACTGTTTAATACCCTATGGGGAAATACTAGTAAAGTTGTCCAGTGAGCATCAGGGATGACGAACTCAGATGACAGGCATGATTGGAATTAGAGATATCAAATGAGCTTATAGTTAGAAGTTGAAGCTAAAAAAAAAAAATGGATAAGCTCAGTCAAATGGGCTTGTAGACTAAGAAAAGAAGGTATGTAATGATTAAGAGCATAGGCTCTGGAGCCAAAATGCTAGCGTCTGGATCATAGCTCCATTACTAGCTAGCCATGTGATCTTAGGCAAATTAACTTCTCTGTTTCAGTTCCTGCAATTATGAGGTTGTGAAAATTAACTGAGTTATTTTATGTAATGTACTTAGAAGTGTGCCTGACCCATAGTAAATATTCAATAATCTGTGAAGAGAGAAAATGGGGACATGGGAAAAGAGAGAGGCAGAGACAGAAAAAGATTGGTGAGAAAGACAGCCAAGGAAAAAAGCGCAATGAAAAGCAGTATACAAGCAGTGGACAAAGAGAAGGGGGCTATAAGAAAGGCTGGAAAGGTGCTAAAGGACGAAAGAAATTAAAACCAGCAAGGAATGTAAGAATCTCAAGATGAAGTGTTGGTTCAAAAGTTGGATCTTGCTGGGTGCGGTGGCTCACGCCTGTAATCCCAGAACTTTGAGAGGCAAGGCAGGCAAATCACTTGAGGTCAGGAGTTCAAGACCAGCCTGGCCAACATGGTGAAGCCCTGACTCTACTAAAAGTACAAAAATTAGCCAGGCATGGTGGAGTGTGCCTGTAATCCCAGCTACTCGGGAAGCTGAGGCACGAGAACTGCTTAAACCCAGGAGGTGGAGGTTGCAGTGAGCGGAGATCTGGCCACTGCACTCCAGCCTGGGCAACAGAGTGACACCCTGTCTCAAAAAAAAAAAAAAAAAAAAAAAAAAAAAGACATTAAGAGTCCACCGGATTGGTATTTGGGTCAGTAGGAGCTCTCCGAGAGTACAGCACAAAAGCAGAAGCAGATGTGTGGGAGGTGTGGGAGGCCACTGCACAACCTCCTCACTAGCCTCCTGCTGTTTTTACCTACTTGTGTGTGTACCTAATAGAATTTTTCTTGATATGAAGGTGCAACCTGAAGATTTAGCATTTTCTTTCAATTTAGTCAGCTTCCTGTTTTTCATGCAAATTGGTCTGGAGAGAGCCGTTTTAAGTAGATAAAACAAATTCGCAAAAATTGTATTACTTGTATTATCACCTTCCCCAGTTCCACCACTATCAGTCAACATCGCCTGCTCTTTCCCAAGGATAACAGTGATGATGGCAGAGAAACAGCAGAGACAATAAGAAAATGCCAAAACAAAAATATAAGAAGATAGAATAAGAACCTGTCTCAATAACTCCACAGCGCTGGAGCGGGAACATCTGTGTATGTGAAAATGTGTTAGGATATGTGTTTCACATGCCGATTTCCAGGCCCTGCTTTCAGAGAGATCAGGGAATCTGGATTCTAACACATCTTCCATGTGATTCTGATGCAAGCAGCCTAGGAAGCTGACTTTTCAAAATAATCACTCAGAAGTGTGTAAATATATTGAGTAAATATACTTTCATTATAAGATCAGAGATAACACAAAAGCAAGGCAAGATATTTCATGGTACTTAGTCCCACACTTAAAGTATTCCTAAACAGAAGTGTTTCTCAAGCTTTAAGGATTGTTAAAATACAGATTGCTGAGCCCCACACTATTTCTGACTCCGTAGGTCTAGAATGTGGTCCAAGAATTAGCTGTAACACGCTCACGGGTGACCGTGTGTTGAGAACTCCTGCTTCATTGAATTCTAGCAGTCCCTGGGTGTGCGTGGCCTTAGGGTAGGCGGGTAACAGGGATGAGTCCCAGGACACCGCGCACCCCCCCGCCCCCCTCCCCCCACTTCCCCCGCCCTCTCCACCCACCGCCACCCCCCACCCGCTCCCCACCCCGCCTCTCCCCACCCCCTAGGGCCCCCCGCCCCTCCCCATCCCCCCATCCCCCGCCCCCACACCTCCCCCGCCCCCCACACCTCCCCGGCCCCTCCGCCCCCCCCGCCCCCGCACAACGTCAAATCCGCACATACACAAGTCTTGCAGTTGACCCTGCCCAAGCTGTGAATGTGAAATGCTGGCCCTCCATACACACAGGGTTCCTATCCCACCAATGCTGTTTTCCATCAGCATTTGGTTGAAAAGAATCCGCGTATAAGCAAGCCTGCGCAGTTCAAACCCCTGTTGTTTAGAGTCAACTTACTTTGCTCTCCTCTGTCAGCAATATGAAGAAAATCATGCTGGTCATTATATATATATATTTTTAAAACATTAAAAAATAGGCTGGGCATGGGGCTCACACCTGTAATTCTAGCACTTGGGGAGGCGAGGCGGGAGGATTGCTTGAGCCCAGGAGTTCCAGACCAGCGTGGGCAACACAGACACTGTCTCTATTAAAAAAAAAAAAAAAAAAAAAAAAAGCATAAAAGATAAAGTAATTCTTTGTTTGTTTGTTTGTTTGTTTTTGAGACGGAGTCTCACTCTGTCACCCAGGCTGGAGTGCAGTGGCGTGATCTCCACTCACTGCAACCTCCGCCTCCCGGGGTTCAAGTGATTCTTCTGCCTCAGCCACCCGAGTGACTGGGATTACAGGCACCCGCCACCACGCCTGGCTAATTTTTATATTTTAGTAGAGATGGGGTTTCACCATGTTGGCCAGGCTGGTCTTCAACTCCTGACCTCAAGTGATCCGCCAGCCTCAGCCTCCCAAAGTGCTGGGATTGCTGGCGTGAGCCACCTCGCCCAGCCGAAAAATAAAGTAATTCTGATCCATGGTGGTAAGTGTCACACAGCCTTATATACTAAAGCAGGAGAATGATTTCACACATGGATTATATCAGGTGGTCTCAAGGCCAGCCCAGGTAGGTCAAAGTGCAGACGTGAAGATTTTGCTCCTTCAGTTACATCGCAGTGGTTTTGCACAGCCATCCTAAAACTTCCCTGAGAGGGTTTAAATGACACATGTAAGGTACTGGGTTCAGCCTTAGCAAAAGATGTTGTTTCAATTTGAGCATACGTCAGGAGAGAAATAGTTTGAGAATTATTTCTCCTCCCTAACACTTGGATGTTGTGTAAGAACTCAAAATGAAGATTCAGTTAATGATAAAAATCAGCTTACTGTTCTCGTAAATGACTTATTTTCTAACTATGATTCATAATTACATACTTGCATAGCGTGTGTTCAACATGACTGTACTGTGATTCTTTCTAGCAACTAGTTTTATATTCCTTTAAAATGAAAAACCTGAAAATGTTTTTGTATGATGCATTTATTGTAACAAATTTAAGTGTAGGATTCCTTCATAATTGTACATTTCATCCTTTTTTTATAGTAAGTGCTTTTTCACAAATATATATTACATGCTGACTTTCAAATAAGAAAGGCTATCACAGGAAATAATACCTGTTAGGTTTTCTTTTTTTGAGACAGAGTTTTGCTCTTGTTGCCCCGACTGGAGTGCAATGGCACAATCTCAGCTCACTGCAACCTCGGCCTCCCAGGTTCAAGCGATTCTCCTGCCTCAGTCTCCCGAGTAGCTGGGATTACAGGCACCCACCACCACACCTGGCTAATTTTTTGTATTTTTTGTAGAGACAGGGTTTCACCATGTTGGCCAGGATGTTCTCAAATCATGACCTTAGGTGATCCGCCCGTCTCAGCCTCCCAAAGTGCGGGGTATTACAAGCATGAGCTACCATACCCGGCCAGGTTTTCATATTCTTGTTGTAACAGTATTACTTTAAATGTATATGCTCAAGTGGAAATTGTTAATTATGGAAAGAACAGGTGTTTTATGAGAGAGACAACATTTATAGTCTTTAATAAATTTATAACAATTAGAAATGAAGATTTGTGACCTCAATTACATAGTCACGAGTATTTTTTTAGGTGAATTTAAGGCAAACAGGTTTTTTAAACAAAATTACTGGCGATGAGAGTGGAAAGTAATTACCATTTTATCCCTCCACTCTCACACTGGCTTAGAGAATAAGAGCGGTTTACCTCACAGGTGTTTTAGACGCAAACCCAGTGGTTCTGATCTAATCACTCCAGCATAACGATGGGATTTCTGGAACCCCATGGGTGTCCAAAGGTGCTTCTGTCAAGGGAATAATGGCCACAGTGTGAGCTGCCAAATAGCAATAGCTTTTCAAGATGCCTTCTAAGCTGCAGTAGAAGGAAAAGAGAATTCCTTCTTTCTTTAAAAAAAAAATTTTTTTGATTACCATTATAAAGAAAAACAAAAAAAGTATAAGTTGTTTTTAAAATTAAAGTAATATATATGGTTTTTTAAAGTATTAAAAGAAAAATGGTTTTCCTTTTTATTTTTCATAACACTCGCTCCTCAGAATTAACCATAGTTAATAGTTGTTTGGTATATATACACATAAAAATATTTTGCATACATCCCAGGTAATACACCTTTCCTTTGTCTCATTCACACAAGTGCAGTCATACCATACCATAGCTTTACATCTTGTTGAAAAACATATCTTGGGGGCCGGGCGCGGTGGCTCATGCCTATAATCCCAGTACTTTGGTGAGGTCAAGGTGGGCGGATCACTTGAGGTCAGGAGTTTGAGACCAGCCTGGCCAACATGGTAAAACCCCGTCTATACTAAAAATACAAAAATTAGCCAGGCGTGGTGGCATGAGCCTGAGTCCCAGCTACTCTGGAGGCTGAGGCAGGAGAATCACTTGAACCCAGGAGGCAGGGGTTGCAGTGAACCAAGATTGCACCACTGCACTCCAGCTTGGGCGACAGAGCGAGACTCCATTTCAAAAAAAAGAAAAAAAGAAAAGAAAAACATATCTTGGGTTTCTTTTTATATCTGCAAATAAAAATTTTCTTCATTCTTTTTTATTGCATAATATAGAATTGAATGTGTTTACAAGTTATGAAATCATTCTCTTATTAACAAACATTTGGGTGGTTTCTAATTTTTGCTATTACAAACAATGCTGCAATATAAGTATATCCGTAAGGTAAATTACTAGTTACAGAATTGTTGGGTCAAAGGGCATATGGTTTGCAGTTTTGATAGGTATTGTTAAATTGGCTTCTTAAAGAGTTGCCAAGTTTCACTCCCACTGACAGTGAATAAAAGAGCCTATCTTTTATTCACTGGTTCTTTTCTTAATCGTTGCTTCCAGCTACAGTAAGAGAAGGGGCGTATTCCAAATACTGGCAAGAACCCATCTACTGCCTGTAGAATTCTCCTCCACTTGTCAGTGTACCAAAGGACTTGCTGAATTCTGGTGATAACTCTCAAAGGCATCTATCTAATTTCACTAGTCAGTTTATCATGTAAATACATATTTAGCATATTTATCAAAGGATACCCACCATATGCTAGTTTCCCTAGAGCTTACTGATAATCTCGAATTTTTCAATCTGTCCTATATTTTATTTTGTCCTTGGGAAATATATAGTCCCAGTATCTGGATGGTAATAATAAATAATAATAGCTCCCTTATATTAGACGATTGCTCTAGGAACTCAGAACGTATTATACACATTATCTCATTAATCATAAAGCACCCCTTTAAGGTTGGCATTTTCATCTGTATTTCAAAATAACATAGAGCTTGAGCCACAGACTGTTAAGAATTTCCCTTAAGGGTCTTCATGAATTAATCAGTTTTATATGTTCTGGCCTTCTGATTTGAGTTCAGCAAAGTTCATGACAGAGGCTCTCTGAGTTCTCTTCATTAAGGAAAGTCTCAATGCTTTTATAAAACTATAACAAGCAAAATGGAGCAGAGGTCTCCAGAGGCAAAAGGGAAGGTTGTGAACTACTTTTCTCAAAGGATTTTACCATCTTCAATTAAACAATTACAAAGGAACTAAAAATCAGCCTCTCCCTCTCCCTCTCCCTCTCCCTCTGTCTCCCGTCTCCCGTCTCCCGTCTCCCGTCTCCCGTCTCCGTCTCCCCATGGTCTCCCTCTCATGCGGAGCCGAAGCTGGACTGTACTGCTGCCATCTCGGCTCACTGCAACCTCCCTGCCTGATTCTCCTGCCTCAGTCTGCCGAATGCCTGCGATTGCAGGCACGCACCGCCACGCCTGATTGGTTTTGGTGGAGACGGGGTTTCGCTGTGTTGGCCGGGCCGGTCTCCAGCCCCTAACCGCGAGTGATCCGCCAACCTCGGCCTCCCGAGGTGCCGGGATTGCAGACGGAGTCTCGTTCACTCAGTGCTCAATGGTGCCCAGGCTGGAGTGCAGTGGCGTGATCTCGGCTCACTACAACCTACACCTCCCAGCCGCCTGCCTTGGCCTCCCAAAGTGCCGAGATTGCAGCCTCTGCCCGGCCGCCACCCCGTCTGGGAAGTGAGGAGTGTCTCTGCCTGGCCGCCCATCGTCTGGGATGTGAGGAGCCCCTCTGCCTGGCTGCCCAGTCTGGAAAGTGAGGAGCGTCTCCGCCCGGCCGCCATCCCATCTAGGAAGTGAGGAGCGCCTCTTCCCAGCCGCCATCACATCTAGGAAGTGAGGAGCGTCTCTGCCCGGCCGCCCATCGTCTGAGATGTGGGGAGCGCCTCTGCCCCGCCGCCCCATCTGGGATGTGAGGAGCGCCTCTGCCCGGCCGAGACCCCGTCTGGGAGGTGAAGAGAGTCTCTGCCCGGCCGCCCCGTCTGAGAAGTGAGGAGCCCCTCCGCCCGGCAGCTGCCCCGTCTGAGAAGTGAGGAGCCTCTCCGCCCAGCAGCCACCCCATCTGGGAAGTGAGGAGCGTCTCCGCCCGGCAGCCACCCCGTCCGGGAGGGAGGTGGGGGGGGGGTCAGCCCCCGCCCGGCCAGCCGCCCCATCCGGGAGGGAGGTGGGGGGTCAGCCCCCCCGCCCGGCCAGCCGCCCCGTCCGGGAGGGAGGTGGGGCGGTCAGCCCCCCGCCCGCCAGCCGCCCCGTCCGGGAGGGAGGTGGGGGGGTCAGCCCCCCTGCCCGGCCAGCCACCCCGTCCGGGAGGTGAGGGGCGCCTCTGCCCAGCCGCCCCTACTGGGAAGTGAGGAGCCCCTCTGCCCGCCAGCCGCCCGTCCGGGAAGGAGGTGGGGGGGTCAGCCCCCCGCCCGCCAGCCGCCCGTCCGGGAGGGAGGTGGGGGGGTCAGCCCCCCCGCCCGGCCAGCCGCCCCGTCCGGGAGGTGAGGGGCGCCTCTGCCCGGCCGCCCCTACTGGGAAGTGAGGAGCCCCTCTGCCCGGCCAGCTGCCCCGTCCGGGAGGGAGGTGGGGGGTTCAGCCCCCCGCCCGGCCAGCCGCCCCGTCCGGGAGGGAGGTGGGGGGGGTCAGCCCCCCTGCCCGGCCAGCCGCCCCGTCCGGGAGGTGAGGGGCACCTCTGCCCGGCCGCCCCTACTGGGAAGTGAGGAGCCCCTCTGCCCGGCCACCGCCCCTTCTGGGAGGTGTGCCCAGTAGCTCATTGAGAACGGGCCAGGATGACAATGGCGGCTTTGTGGAATAGAAAGGCGGGAAAGGTGGGGAAAAGATTGAGAGATCGGATGGTTGCCGTGTCTGTGTGGAAGGAAGTAGACATGGGAGACTTTTCATTTTGTTCTGCACTAAGAAAAATTCCTCTGCCTTGGGATCCTGTTGATCTGTGACCTTACCCCCAACCCTGTGCTCTCTGAAACATGTGCTGTGTCCACTCAGGGTTAAATGGATTAAGGGCAGTGCAAGATGTGCTTTGTTAAACAGATGCTTGAAGGCAGCATGCTCGTTAAGAGTCATCACCAATCCCTAATCTCAAGTAACCAGGGACACAAACACTGCGGAAGGCCGCAGGGTCCTCTGCCTAGGAAAACCAGAGACCTTTGTTCACTTGTTTATCTGCTGACCTTCCCTCCACTATTGTCCCATGACCCTGCCAAATCCCCCTCTGTGAGAAACACCCAAGAATTATCAATAAAAAAATAAATAAATAAATAAAAATAAAAATAAAAATAAAAAATAAAAAAAAATAAAAATCAGGCCACAGGTGGGGAAGAAATCACATTGTAGATTAAAGTTTACATTAATTTTAAGATCCAGGAGATTTTCATGGTGGTAATTTAAATGAGACAACTAAACCTATAAAATTTCATGAGACACTCTCAAGCTTTGATCAGATTGGAATAGAAGGGGATGAACTGAAAGTTTTGCTAGGTTGGTTAGACAAGATGTAGGGGAAAACCTGTTACATAGGCCACGTGAGGCCTAATAACAAACTTGGCAGAACTGTCTGACAATGACACCAAGTGAAACGCTCCATTCAGCACCACCATTGGGAAATCTAGGACTGGTTGCATGGAATTTCTGGCCTGACACATAGAAGATCTCCTACAGAAGCCGCATGTGGACCAAGAAAGACATTGACAGGACTCTGTAGCATTTCCTTCAAGTTTATTAAATTGTCAGCTACGTGTATACAGTGGATTGTTCCATTGTTGCATTTCTATTCTTCTCTCATGAAAGTTAAGATTCTGAAGATACACAAAAAGGTGAAAATGCCTTTCACACAGGAATCCCACTCAGGGATCCTCTTCCTGTAGTTCTGCGGTTTTAGTAAGGGCTGCCATTGCCTCCTCCTGTTAGAATTTGCAGCAGAATCCTGTGGCCTGGGAGGAGGAAATGCACTATAGTGAATAGAAAAAAATAATACAAAATCCCATAAATAAAATCCCCTCTCTTGCTTTATAACTTCAGTCAAGAGTGACTTGTGAACTAGTAGCAGAGCTCAAAAGACAGTATACAGACTTTTTTCCAGAAAGAATGCTGGGACAGAAGTTTTTAGCATTTCAAACACTAAAATAGACCGAAGAAATTCAAAAAAATAATGTGCAAAATATCGTGGGCTTCAGTTAGCAGAACTGATTTGCTTTCTATAGCAGCAAAATTAGATGTGACTATCTTCAATGCTATGAACAATGGAGCTTAGCTACATAGCTCATATTTGTGCTAATTTCAGTGCATTAAAAGGTTTTTCATTGTTTTTATTGTTTCAAGCTACTCATAAATATGCACACTCAAGTAGCTGTACTGAAAAATTATGCCATGTTTGATGAAAAAGCTTCTTAAGATCACATACAATTGGTATCTCCGACACTTGAAAGATATCCTACATGTGAAGCAGTTGCTTTAAACACACACATGCACATACTAAGCTGTCCTCACTAGGAAGAGGCAAGGTCAGACTCCAGCGGGTTCCTGTCTCCTGTAGGGTTTGTCATTAGAGAACAAAGGCAAATTGCCAGTGCTTATGTACATGAATTGTCTTTATCCTCCTTTGTTTTGGTTATGGGGCCTATCCTAGTGATTTTACAAGATGCCTGCTGTGTTCCTGAGAAAATAAAATGTGCAAAGCTTGCTTCCCTTCAGCTTGTCCATACCCATGGAAGACATCTTGAGTGATTAATTGCTGAACTCTTAACTGCTCCTCTCTCCATTCCTTTGGTAGTTTGGTGTTAATCACAACCAAGTTGTCCTTTCAAGTGAAAATGCTGGCAGGTCCCTTTAGGTTTTATTGGGCCCCAGAGACATTTGGCCTAATCTGAATCTAAAGCTTAATTTCCAAAATTTAATCGATCTGATCTTTTTTTTTTAAGCCACTCATACTGACAACAATATAGATGACCTTTGGCCGGGCTCGGTGGCTCAATCCTGTAATCCCAGTACTTTGGGAGGCCGAGGCGGGCGGATCACAAGGTCAGGAGATTGAGACCATCCTGGCTAACATGGTGAAACCCCGTCTCTACTAAACATACAAAAAATTAGCTGGGTGTGGTGGCGGGCGCCTGTAGTCCTAGCTACTCGGGAGGCTGAGGCAGGAGAATGGCATGAACCTGGGAGGCGGAGCTTGCAGTGAGCCGAGATCTCACCACTGCACCCCAGCCTGGGCGACGAAGCGAGACTCTCAAAAAAAAAAAAATAGATAGATAGCTAGATAGATAGATAGATAGATAGATAGATAGATAGATAGATAGACAGATAGATAACCTTTTTAAAGATCCTTTTAGGCAATTTCAGTGGTTTGGGAGAACATTCAGTGCAGAAATCTTTGTATTCTCTAAAACTGGGAGACCTTTTTATAGACTCACACAATGAAATACATTTAGCACTAGAAGGGATCTCAAAATCATCTATTACAGGCCTATTGTTTTATCAGATAAAATTTCCATGATATAATTTTTTTCTAAATATGTATATTTTGGATAAAGTAATATAAGCATATAGTTCAAATGTCAAAAGGTACAAAACACTGAACAGTGAAAAATAAATGTCTCCCACTCCTAGTCACCCAGTTAGCATCTTTGGAGGAAACCACTGTCACCAGAGATAGTCTATGCGTGCTATGATATCCTTTCAGCAAGAGCTTCAGACCTAGCAAGACCAGAGAGGTCATAAATTAATTGTATTTGGAATTATCATAAAGTAATAGTAGACCTTTTAACTTCAATCTCAACTCTCATTACTTACTAACTTGAACAAGTTAATTAATGTCTCTTCCTCAATTTCCTCATCTGTATGATAGAACTAATGATACCCACCAGTCAGGATTGTCAGGATTATGTGAGGTAATGTACCAAAGTCCCAGATACATACCTTAATTTTGACTATGGGAAAATATAATCTTTTTTTTTTTCTTAAATCTATCTGCATTCTAAATGTAGAGGACACAGTTTCATTAAGGTAGGAATGAGGATAACTATACAAAATATATAATAAGGAAAAATATGGTATGATGTCTGTTTGCATAGCACTATCAGTTTATTTTTCCCAGCCTTGATGAAGTTGATTGGCTTCTTCCTTAATCACTTTCATTTCATTAATAGTTGTCTTTCATCTTCTCCAAGAGCACATCACACAACCTGAAAGTCAGAGGTCTCCCTGAAATCCACTACTTTCGAAGATTGTATGCTGATCATATTACTGAGAGAGTTCAAGAGGAGGGAACTTATCACTTAATAAATTTCGGTGATGCAACTAATGTGTCCTAGGCATTCTGCTAGGTGGTACAGAACCAAGCAAAACACAATGGACAAGATGGTACTAACGACTGTTCTACTTAGGGAGCCAGGAAATTCAAGGGATTGCTTTGTCTCCTAAGACCTAGAAAATCATTAATCTCACTCAAATTTAAGAGTTCAGTTACAAGTAAAAGGAAATCCAATCAAACAACTTAAACAACCAAGGGAATGTATTGGCCGATGTGACTGACGAACCAAAAACTGGGCAGATTTTAACAAAACCAGTAGTCCCATAATGTCAATAAAGACCTGCTTTCTTTCCACTGCTGCACTCTATCTCCTGTGAAGCAGTTTTCGTCTTAGGCTGCGTCTTCTAGTGTAGTCAGAAGCAACCACAGTTACATGCTTCCTAGTTCATATCTACAAAAGCAGAGAGTACCTTTGAAGCAACTCCCATGGATCAGACAAGAATTTTCTTTTCCAAAAACTTCAGCAATTGGCTGGCAGTGGTGACTCAGGCCTTTCACCCTAGCACTTTGGGAGGCTGAAGTGGGCAGAACACTTGAGCTCAGGAGTTAGAGACCAACCTGGGCAACATAGGGAGACCCTATATCTACAAAACATCAAAAAAATTAGCCGGGTATGGTGGCCCCCTCCTGTGGTCCCAACTTCTTGGGAGGCTGAGGTGGGAGGACCACTTGAGCCCAGGAGATCGAAACTGCACTGAGCCATGATCCCGCCATTGCCCGTCAGCCTGGATGACAGAGCGAAACCCAGTCTCAAAAACAAAAAAAAAAAAACAAACAAAACTCCAGCAACTGTCTCCTTTATTGTCCATTAATGGTTCACATGCCTACTCTGAATCAGTCACATGGACAGAATGATGTAATAATGCTGATTAGTGTAAGACAAACAGGTTCTCTGGAGGTGGGCAATCCAGCCCAAGCCATGCTCAAAAACATACTGTTTGTTTAAAGTAGAAAAGGCTCTGGATGGTGAGAAGGGATTTTACAAATGTCAGTGTAAGCTCTTGCTACTGCTTCTCTCTGCATGTCTATTCTAGGTTGCTCTTGTAGGCTGGCTCCACATGTAAGGATTTTACTTTGGGTTCCCTCATAATTTAATGTTCATGTAGCTGAAGCTTGCCATAGAGGTCTCACACTAAATACCTGTGACCCGACAACTCCAATTCTCATCACTTAACTATGACTTTTGTGTCTCAGTGAAATTTTTTCAAACAATATCATCTAGTTGGCTTGGCCTAACCTATGGATCGACTCTCAGAGTAGGTCTCCCCACCCTGGTCCAATCATCATAACCAGGGAGTAGGGTCATATGATATAAACATAGATGACTAGGCCCATCTGTTCAGCAGGGGAACAGATTCTTTTAGAAGGGAATGTGGGCAGAAAGGCAATTATATACATCTCTAACCAGAAAAATCCCAGGGGTGGAAATGATAGGAAGAAATGGCACCAAATTTAAAGATAAAAGAAAAGCTGCCACTGTAATTCAAAATTAGACAATGTAACTGATCATAGACTTTTGCTATAATCGCTATTTTGGCCTTATAATCTCTGAAATTTACTTTACAGAACAGTGAAACACTTCTTTGAGGAGAAACATTATAGAAGAAAACAATCTTTGATCTAGAAACCTAAAAAGATATTTATGCTCATTATATTCCAGGTGCTGAAGAGTGTCAAAGCACAGCTAAATATTATGCCATTTGTGCAGACTCGGAATGAGTTTAAGCACTGAAAGAGCTACCAGAATACCCCAGCAGAACATCTCAAAACAAAGCATTATTTCTCTCTTAAGAAAATTACCAGGCTGGGCACGGTGGCTCACACCTGTAATCTCAGCACTTTGGGAGGACGAGGCAGGCGGATCTACCTGAGGTGAGGGGTTCGAGACCAGCCTGCCCAATGCGGTGAAACCCCGTCTCTACTAAAACTAAAAAAAATAGCTGGGTGTGGTGGCGGGCACCTGTAATCCCAGCTACTCAGGAGGCTGAAGCAGGGAGAATTGCAGTGAGCCGGATTGCACCACTGCACTCCAGCCTGGGCGACAGAGTGAGACTCCATCTCAAAAAAAAAAAGGGAAAATTACCTATTTGCACTTCTTGATTTCCAGGAAGGTGTTAGAGATCTTCATCCCATCCCCAGCCCAAGTCTAGACGTGTTCACCGGAAAGGAAGAAGTTTTTGAGTTCTCAGCAGTAGCTGTGGCTCTAAGGAAAGCAGTGTTGTATGGGTATTAGAGTAGTACAACCAAAGCTCTGCTGGAACAAAAGAGGAACACAGAAAGCTAGGAATGACAAGTGTTTTTCTTCCCTCTCATATGATTCAGTCAGGCTGTCTTTGACCTACATAGCCATCTGACTGGCCACTGTTTTCTTTTCTTTCTTTTCTTTTTTTAGAGATGGGATCTTGCTGTGTTGCCCAGGCTGGACTGAAACTCCTGGGTTCCAGTGATGCTCTCTCCTGAGCTTCCCGAGCAGCTGGGACCACAGGCATACACCACTGCACTGCACTGCACTTGATTAGGTATATTTTAAAATGTAAAATAATAGTGAAAGGATTCTCCCTAGTCCCCATAAACCTGGGAATGGATCGAGGTGAGGACACCAAAACTTTCCCCTGAGACATGGAAATTGCACTGAATGTTTCTTGATGGTTCTAATGCATTAAGAATTAAGAGCTCTTTGCCTAGATTACCCCCAAAATATTAAAAATAACAAAACAAAGTAGAACTAAGGAAAAATATAAGACACATAGAGAAAATGTTTTTCAAAAAATGTTATTTGACCTATGGCTAATTCTGATTTTAAAAGCAGTTAAACAAACGAAACACAACCTAGTGATGCTTACGACTGAAGAAACCATTGATACCTGAAAGAAGGGAAGACTTTAGATATAAAGGCAGAGTGGAATTTTTTTAACCAACATTTCATGCAGCAGCTCCACATGGCCTTCCCATGTCTCAATAGCTTTGATTTGTGGAAATAATGGTTATGCAATTTCCACATATTGTGCTCCAATCACAGCATGTAAGCAACAATAAAAAGAAAACAACTAAATGTACTTGAAGCTGGAGATTTTGATAAGGTTTTCTTTTCACTTCACAAAGTTTGTTAACTGGATATTTTTCTAAGGCAACTGAAATATTCCTGCTGAGTTTCAGACAGATATATGTAAAAGCAGCAAAGTGTCTGATTTTCTTAAATGTATCTATGGCAGCAACACTAGTTAATTTAGTTGTGAAAAAATAACCAAAAAGAAACTATCGGACTATAAGAATTCCACAGTTGGCAGACTGTTGGTATTTCTCTTTCTCTTTAAATATATATATAAATATATCTATAAATATATATAAATATCTATAAATATATCTATAAATATATATATTAAATATATATATGCCATCTGTTTACAAAAGATGAGAAATGTTGGAGAAAATTATTTCCCTTAGGGTATAATGTTATGGCCATTCAGAGAGAGGTCTCTGGTATTTTCAAGGAGAATTTGGTACAAGAACAAGACAGCATCAGGTCTGCACAGTCATTGGCTGCAAAAAACAAAGATGATTTCCTTTAGTCCCTGTTTTAGTTTTACTCTTTGAACTTCCAAGTTTATTTATTGTTATTATTTTTAATGTGGCACAGATTGTTTTAAGAATCAACTTGGTTCCCTTTTTTGAAGTCCTTTTTTTTTTTTAATTTGTTGAGACTGGTTTCTAAAGTGCTCCACCTCCACCACCTGTCATTAGATGGGGGGCTGCGGCTTGGAGAACACTCACAGTTCTGAGTTCAGCTGTGGACGGAATAATGAAGGGCAGCTGCAGAAGGAGGTAGAGCTGCAGATTCAGAGGTAGGTGGCAATACAGTATTTCAAAATAAAAACTACCAAGCTTCAGATCGGTGATAAATTGTCATGCACTAAGTGTACCTGGAGAAATAAAACTAATCTCTATCCATTTTAATTCTCTCAGAAGGACTTTCCCTCTTACATATAAAATCCTGGGAATTTCCCCCTCCTCATCCAGTCATTTCTATGTGATTAATCATACATTGGTTACTCGTCACTAGATGGCATTGTGCAATGTTTCTTGACAGCAGTAACTAAATTGGTAAAGTTACAGCTTGGGCTATTTTTTGGTATTTTCTTCTTTGGGATGGATCTAGAGGATCTAAATCTGATCCTGGATATGTCATCATCTTTATATGTTTTATGAGTATGGCTTTGTAAAATTTGTGTCTTCTTTGAGAGTCTTTTTCTTAGTATAACTTCCTAGTACATGAACCCAATAATTATCAGTCTTAAATGAACAATAAATAAATTCTTCCTCTAATTTTCCTCCAAGTCACATGTACAAATGTTTACTTACATTTGCAGAAATAAAATAAAGCTCAACATATCTAGGATCTCTACCTAGGCATGAAGGTAGAAAAAAATATATATGGAAATTTGCTTTATCTAAGCATGGCCAGTTGAAATCAAGCTGTGGATAAGCCATGAAGATAGAGTAATATAAAAAGATCAGTTAATGCTTTCATAAACCTGTGAAATTCACAAAGGAAATATAATAGCCATAAGTAAGTAAAACTGATATAAATGTGTTATGAATTAGTAGTCACAGTCTTGTACTTTTCCAGACATGACAAATAATTGTGACCATTTTTATTTGTTGTGTTCCCATAAACCTTATGGTGCTGAAGAATAAATTCTAATTTCTGTGCTATCAATAAAATAGGACACATTTTCCCAAGTTATAATTATGACTTAGTGACCTGAGAATTTGTAAATAACAATGGATGATAAAATTAATTATTTGGAATGAAGCTAACAAGATAAATGACAGATAGATAGATAGATAGATAGATAGATAGATAGATAGATAGATATGGTAGATAAATGCATAGCAGCTAATACAGCATTTGACATTCTGAAGTTATATAAAAACTATAATATTGATCTGCTGTTTTCATTTACTTATTTTAAAATCTGAAAAATTGTTTCTCTTTTTTAATTTGCCTTTTTATTTTAATTTCATTCATTTGTCCATTCAAAAACATTAACCAAACACCAGCTTTGGATCTGTTCAATACCAGAGATGCAAAGATAAGTAGGATACCAAATGTGCCCTCAAAAAGCCTTTAGTCTTTTATGTTAAGCATCCATAAAGTAACTATCAGAATCATTCATGAAAGAAGGAGCAAGGGGGAATGAAAGAGGGAGATATGTAATGCAAAGAGTCTTAGAAAAGGAAACAAGATGCAGGCCGGGTGTGGTGGCTCACACCTGCAATCCCAGCACTTTAGGAGGCCGAGACAGGAGGATTGCTTGAGTCCAGGAGTTTGAAACCAGTGTGGGCAACATAGCGAGATCCTGTCTCAAAAAAAGAACAAAGCAAAAAAGATGCATGGTTTATGGTCACAGCTCTAACAGTAACTCATGCTATAACCCTGGACCTCCCTCATTGTATGTTCAAATGAAATAATTTTATAGAAAAGTGCTTTGTAAACTGTAAAATGTTTTTAAAATACTAGTTTTTAAAGCTTTTTCATATAAGAAACCCACTTTTTTTTTAATAGAACTTTGATCCTTCAGGCCAATGCAGCTCCCTTTTAATTTTCTGTTTCAAAATTCCAGCTGCATACATAAAATCCATTAAATTTCCAACTCATCTTGTAAAACAAAAATTGGACAGAAGCACCACAATCTTGGAGAGAGAAAAGGCAAAAGGCTAACCTAAATGCCCAGTGATCACATCAAACTCTAAAACACTGAGATGCTCTGATTGTCCCCTTTCCCCCTTCTACTCTGCTGATTCTTGCTCTTTCTCTTAGTTTCTGCAGGTGAGAAACGTAATTTCAAGTAAATCTGTTACAATAAAACATGACAGATGAAAGACCCCCATTCTGGTCCTAGGCCATTACCTCTTCCACGCTTTGATGGTAGAAAAAAAACAAAAAGCGTTTGAATGGATTGCTAGATTAGGAGATTCAGTACAATATCATCTATTCTTAGACCGGTTTAATAGTTCTGCAAAATGCCTATTTTTCATTAAAGCCAGTCATACTGTAATCTACAATAGATAAGTCAGAAAAAGTTTTATTTTCGGTATACAGACATCATTATGTAAGAAATAAGAAACTCAAATGTATTTAAGGCCACAAAGAAAGATACATAGGTGGGGTGGGGGAGAGCATTAGGGAAAGAGCTAATGCATGCTGGGCCTAATACCTAGGTGATGGGTTGCTAGGTACAGCAAACCACCATGGCACATGTTTACCTGTGTAACAAACCTGCACATCCTGCACAGGTACCTTGGAACTTAAAAAAATAAAATAAAATAAAAATAAAGAAATTATATATTTATTTTATTTTATTTTATTTTTATTTATTATTATTATTATTTTTATTTTTTTGAGACGGAGTCTCGCTTTGTCGCCCAGGCTGGAGTGCAGTGGCACAATCTCAGCTCACTGCAACCTCCGCCTCCCGGGTTCACGCCATTCTCCTGCCTCATCCTCTCCAGGTAGCTGGGACTACAGGCGCCCGCCACCACGCCTGGCTAATTTTTTTGTATTTTTAGTAGAGACGGGGTTTCACCATGGTCTTGATCTCCTGACTTCATGATCTGCCCGCCTCAGCCTCCCAAAGTGCTGGAATTACAAGCGTGAGCCACCGCGCCTGGCCATAAATTATATATTTAAAAAAAAGAAAGATACAAAAAAAGGTGTCCTTGGTCAAGTACTTGACTGGATCTAAGTATGTGTAGAGAAGTGTTTTATCTTAATTTCCTGGTCCTTTATGTCTTTTACTTTGTTACTGCATTAAGCTGTTTGTAGTATGATGACAGCTTACCAATAAAAAAAGATTTCTATTTTTTTAAGTTTTTAAAAATTTTTAAATTCAATTAAATTTTTTTTCACCCTGCCCATCCCTCAAAATTAACTTCTAATTAAGCATTTTGGCTAAAAATGTTTCCTCAATATATTAGAAAAACCTGGTTATTCCTGGGCTCAAGCTCCTGGACTCAAGCAGTTCTCCCACCTCAGCCTCCTGAATAGCTTAGACAACAGGCATGTGCTATCACATCTGTCTAATTTTTTTTTTTAAGAATGGGGGTCTCACTATGTTGCCCAGGTTGGTCTCAAACTCCTGGGCTCAAGGGATCCTCCTGCCTTGGCCTCCCAAAAGTGCTGGGATCACAGGCCTGAGCCCCTGGGCCCAGCCTGAATGATTAGTTTCATCCTAGAATATTTGTTTACCTTCAGACATGGGCTATGAGAAATCTGGACGGTTAGAAATAAATGTTTAAAGACCAAGATACCGTATACATATGTAACTAACCTGCATGTTGTGCACATGTACCCTAAAACTTAAAGTATAAAAAAAAAAAAGACCAAGATACCTATTTAATATATGATTTCTTTCCTGACTTTCCCTTCATTTTTCAGATTTATGACATTTTTGTCTTTATTTAAAATATCACTTCAAGCCAACAAGTATTATAAAAATGACATATTGGTATTTGTGCACAAAGAACCGAGGAAATGGAATTTTACTTTGCCAGTTTCAGAGACCATAGCACTCAAGCTTCTCATCATCAGTATGTTTGGATGAAAAGATAGTCTTTGTCATGAAAGTATATGCACCCACATTTAGCCATGGACAAAACTTTCCTGGAAGGAAGCAGAGATTTTTTTTTTATTATTTTGGGAAAGTGTACTGAGGCATATCTCTAAAAATAAAATAGCACTTCATCAGTACTGGTCATTTTTTAGCCACATATGACAAATGATCACATATGCTCATAAAAATCTAAAAGGAACTGAATGTTGTTCTCTTCTGAAATGGCTAAGTATCTTTCCTTTAAACTGTATTTTAAAACAAAAACAAACTTTACCACTTTGATTGAAGAAAATGCAGGAAGCCATATGGTCCCACCCAAAGTTCCTGCATGCAAAATATCATGGGGAGGAAGGTTCAAGGTGTTTTTAAGAACATAACTTTTATGTTTCTGCCCTTTAACAATGGCACTTCCTGTTTTGTCCTCTAACTATAATGAGGCTATCAAGACAGATTATGGACTTCTCCTTTTTGCACAGTGAAGAGCGTGTATACACCATCTTACCACGTGTGTAGAATTCAAACTAAGTATTGCCATTACTCAATTCTCCTGAGGTCCAACAGGTTGATCTATGGTCTCTCAACAAGGGTTGGAATGTTCAGTAATTTACAGTTACCTAGTCATAAATCTGGTATTGAAGTCAATGGAATGTCCAGTATTCTTTATCTCAAATATACATGAAGCTACATGTTGCAACTAAATAGCCCCTGTGTTTTACTAGAAGCTGTTAACAACCCTTAACAGATTAGGATTCAGTGATTGCCTCCTTGTAAGGCAATTATTTTTTCTTCTTTTTTCTTTCAAAAAAGAGAAAAAGAAAGGAAGAAAATAGGAAAAGAGGATAAAATGAAGGAAAGAAGAAAGAAAGGAAGTGTGGAAGAGGGAGGAAAAATGAAGGAAGGAAAGAAAAATAGAGTAGAATGAGAAGATCATGACTTCAAGTGAGAAAGAAGCTACTTTCAATAATCAGAGTATCTGTTGCTTCCCAAAATCAGAAAAAATATGTTTTTAGGGCCAGGTGCAGTGACTCATGCCTGTGATCCCAGCACTTTGGAAGGCTAAGGCAGGCGGATCACTTGAGGCCAGGAGTTTGTGACCAACCTGGTCAATATGGTGAAACCCTGTCTCTACTAAAAATACAAAAATTAGCTGGGCGTAGTGGCACATGCCTCTAATCCCAGCTACTCCGGAAGCTGAGGCAGGAGAAGCACTTGAACCCAGGAGACAGAGGTTGCAGTGAGCCAAGAATGCGCCACTGCACTCCAGCCTGGTTGACAGTGAGATTCTGTCTCAAAAATAAATAAATAAATAAATAAATAAATAAATAAATAAATAAATAAATATAAATAAATTTCTTCAGGCATTTCTTATTATAATTAATGGTTTATGTTTGGTCTTTAAAAAAAACAAGAAACGTACATGTTTTAGATGTAGATTCCAGATTGTTACCCATACCAAATGATACTAAAACAATAACACATTTGCTAAAGCAAAAGATAAGAAAAACACCCACAAAAGATGCTATTGATGTAGCTAATGCAGTGGCAAAGTTGTTAAGACTGCTAATTCCTTTTGGAAATCTGTGCAACTTGATGAGCAGCTGCACAAAATATATTAGTGGGAGATCTGAGATAACCAACAATAATTAGGAAAGTCCATTTTTAGCAGAATGCATTCTGGGGCAGAAATAAGTTTAAATGCAGATTTTCTGGCATAATAACTAAAGTGATTAGGTTTTCCTGACTAATATTTCTATAAATTTACAAAACTGAAATCAGACCAGCCTGGGCAACATAGGGAGACCTCATCTCTACAGAAGAATTTAAAAATTAGCCAGGCCTGGTGGCATGAGCTTGTAGTCCCAGCTACTCAGGAGGCTGAGGCAGGAGGATTGCTTGAGCCCAGGAGGACAAGGCCCATGGGTCAAGTAACCCATGATTGTGCCATTGCGCTCTAGCATGGGCAGCAGAACAAGACCCCGTTTCAAAACAACAACAAACAACAAAAAAAGAAAAAAGAAAAAAACCCTGAAATCACAATAAGCAATTGACAAAAAGCAATGTTTTCAGTAAACACTTTGTAAAATAATTGTGCTCTAAAAATTATAACCAGTACACGCTTTCTTTCATTCTTAAAGTTATTTTTTTTCTTTTTTAGGCACCAAAATTTTTATTGACCCCCCCTCCTGCTTTCTTTTAACATTATAAATGTTATATAAACATTTTAAACCAAATTACTCTTTTTGACACAGGGTTGTGATAAGAACCATCCTGTTACAAAGTGGTGGTGGATCTACGCTTGCTTTTACTTTTTCTGGCCCCTCTCAACCTCTGGCTGTCGCTTCTCTGTCCTCTCTTGATTGTTCCTTAACAGTCTATGCTTATCTTTGTACAATACACACTAAAAGTACCAACCTCATTGTTACATAGTTTAAAAGAAGCCCCAGCACTAAACCAGGCTTTCAGGAACATTCCAACTCCAACAGTTCCTCCTTGCCCTTGGATATAGCTCCTTCTCAGCTGTCATGGACTTAGGAACCATTGAGCCTATAAACAAACACATGGGTATAACTCCATAGGCCTGGTGAAGGCCTAGATGGTAAAATGTATGGGTTTTGTGACCCCACTATCAACCTCCAGGCTAGTGAAGAACTGACTTAGTGAGCAGTTCCAAGACCACTGAGCTCATGGTTCCCTCTGGCTGTCTCCATTATACCTCCATCATAACCAGGGCTTCAGGAGGGGCCTCTGAATTCCCCCTGCCACATTTGTAACAGTATGAGGGATGCAGCAGAGTCCAAAAACTAAGTGACCAACTTCAGGGTGCCAATGGGGGACACTGACAAACCAATCATAAAGTTGGTGCCATTTGCTCTTGGGCAGGAGAGGCGGGGTCCAGGGAAGCACAGCAGCTAGAAAGTAGAGGGAAGGCCTGGCTCTCAGTAGCAGTAGGGATCAGACTCGAAGGGGCTATCACGGGACATGCCCAGGTACAGGGCCTGCTTCTCAGTGAGCTTGGTCAGCTTCTCATTCAGCTTGCTCCAGTGGGCTTCAAGCACTGCTTCATCCAGCTTCTTGGGCCCAAAGTGAACCCTAATGGGGTACTTGTCTGGGTGAGTCCACAGCTCAATCTGTGCCATCACCTGGTTGGTGAGGGAGTTACTCATCAAAGAGTTGGGGTGGCCCATAACACAACCCAGGTTGACCAGCCAGCCCTCAGCCAGCAGGATGATGCAGCACCCGTTCTTTAACCAGGAGCGGTCCACCTGGGCTTGATGTTCATCTTCCCGACAGCATTTTTGTTGAGCCACTCGACATCAATCTCCATGTCAAAGTGCCAGTGTTACCATGACGGCATCATCCTTCATCTGCTTAAAGTGCCAATCAAGGATGCTGTCATTACAGCCTGTGGTGGTGACAAAGATGTCCTCCTGACAGGCCTTGTCCATGGTTGTCACCTCATAGCTCTCCATGGCAGCCTGCAGTGCATTGATGGGGTCAATCTCGGTGACAATGACATGATCCACAAAACCCCTGAGGGCCTGGGCACAGTCCTTGCCCACATTGCCATAGCCCACTATCACTACTACCTTGCTGGCAGTCACCACCTCTGTGGCCTGCATGATGCCATCTGTGAGGGATGCTTGCTTGCTCTTGGTGACAGAGTCGTTCACATTGATGGCAGGCACCTTCAGGATCCCATTGGCCATCATCTTGTGTAAGTTGTGGACCCCAGTCAGGGTCTCTTGGGAGATGCCTCGATGCCCAACAGGAGCTGTGGGAACTTGGTGTGAATGAATGACATTGAGGGGCCCGTCCTTTTAGTTCACTGTGTGCTGGATGCACCACTGGTACTCCTCGTCTGTTTCTCCCTTCCAGGCATACACTGGAATGCCAGCCTTGGCAATGGCAGTGCCGCATGGTCCTGGGTGGAGAAGAGGTTGCAGGTGGACAACTGCCCCTCAGCACCCAGGGAGATGAGGGTCTCAATGAGGACGGCGGTCTCCACAGTCCATGTGCAGACAGCCAGCGATGCAGGTGCCTTTCAGTGGTTTGGAGGTTGAGTGCAACTTCTACCTGCACATCAGGCCCAGCATCTCATCCTCTGCAATGTCTAGGGTCTTGTGTCCCCAGGCAGCCAGATCCATATCAGTGACTTTGTAGGGCAGTTTGTCAGACATGCTGGAAGCACTTCTGCATAGAGTGGGGGACACAGGTGAAGGGGGCCGGGCCTCCGACTAGGGACAGACACAGCACAGGCTGTTCCGGGCAGAGCAGTTTAGGTTTATATATTATATAATTTCTCATAAGTAAACAGTTCATAAATTGATACTTTTGATTCATTTTGAATATCAGGTCAGGGAATTAGGGATTAGATAAAAAATATGTATACGCATATATAAATATTTTTTTGAGACAGGGTCTGGCTCTATTGTCCAAGCAGGAGTGCAGTGGCACAATCTTGGCTCACTGCAGCCTTGACTCAAGCAATCCTCCTACCTCAGCCTCCCAAGTAGCTGGAACTACAGGCATGCCACCGCACCCGGCTAGTTTTTGTATTTTTTGTAGAGGGTTTACCAGAAGTAGATATATAATTTAAAAAAAATTTATAAGCTAAATATATAACGTGATCATGATAATTCATTAAGTTCACAAGACACTCAGTGCCTAGATCAAATGAGCTTTAGAAATTAAGGCCAGGTGTGGTGGTTCACGACTGTAATCCTAGCACTTTGGGAGGCCACGTCTGAGAGGATCACTTGAGTTCAGGAGTTCAAGACCAGCCTAGGCAACAGAGTGAGACCTCTTCTCTATTAATTTTAAAGAACAAAAAAATTAAAATTAAAAAAGTTAATGTTTAAATTAATTTTTAACTGGATCTCAGCAAGTCCAGTTTTAGATAATGAGAGTTATTCTGTATTTTAATCATAGTACCACTCATTACTTAATCTCCAGTAAGTCTGACCAATTTACTCCAATAAATTCATTTTCCTCTTTGTTAAATAGAGATAATAGCCCCTACTTTATAAGATTGTTTGGAAGATTAAAATGAGATAATGCATGTGAAATGCTTAGTGCAATGTCTGGTGTCTTACTAGTGCACAGTAAGCCTGCTATAAAATTACCAGTT
Source organism: Homo sapiens (assembly GCF_000001405.40). Classification (NCBI taxonomy): domain Eukaryota; kingdom Metazoa; phylum Chordata; class Mammalia; order Primates; family Hominidae; genus Homo; species Homo sapiens. The sequence goes on from NC_000002.12 coordinate 195,584,982, forward strand.
GTAGGCCGGGCACAGTGGCTGACGCCTGTAATCTCAGCACTTTGGGAGGCCGAGGCAGGTGGATCACCCAAGGTGAGGAGTTCAAGACCAGCCTGGCCAACATGGTGAAACCCCGTCTCTACAAAAATTAGCCTGGTGCCATGGTGGCACGTGCCTGTAGACCCAGCTACTTGGGAGGCAGAGGCAGGAGAATTGCTTGAACCCGGGAGGCAGAGGTTGCAGTGAGCCAAGATCACGCCATTGCACTCCTGCCTGGGCAACAGAGCAAGACTCCCTCTCAAAAAAATAAATAAAATTACCAGTTGCAATACTGTTACTGATGATGGTAATGATGATGCTTGTTCTACAAGGGTTCTAAACTTCCTCCAGAGGCTTCTAGTTTTACCTAAACTAAAAGCTAAGCCCTGCCCTCCCCACCTCTCTTGTTCTCCTTAAGAACGCAATTTTCATACAGAAATGAAATGTTAGAATTCCAGCGTCCTGCAGAATTACAGGACGTCTACAGGACACTGGAATTCTAACTTTATTCCTCAGTAATTCTTACTTACTTACAGTAGTTCTAATGTTATTCCTCAGTAATTCTTACTTAAGGTGTGTGTAGACTTGAAGAATGACAAAGCCATCCTTGACTGTGTGCAGTAGCTCACGCCTGTAATCCCAGCACTTTGAGAGGCTGAGATGAGCAGATCACTTGAGGTCAGAAGTTTGGGACCAGCCTGGCCAACATAGTGAAACCCTGTCTCTAGTAAAAATACAAAAATTAGCCGGGAGTGGTGGCATGGCCCTGTAGTCCCAGCTACTTGGGAGGCTGAGACAGGAGAATCGCTTGAATCTGGGAGGCGGAGGTTGCAAGTGGTGCCTCTGCACTTTAACCTGACCAACAGAGCGAGGCTCTGTCAAAATCAAAAAGAAAAAAGAAAAGGCCACTCTTGAATCATGTGGAAGCTGCTTCTGAAGAGAAAGAACTCACAAAGTCAGCACTGTTTTATTTGACATTTGCTCATTTTGCAGTGAAAACTACACAGCAAAGTCCTTAGAATCATCACTTTAAAGGTGTAAGTTTTAACATCAGTTATCTCTCAAGTGTAAAATTGTAGCCCTACAGAGTTTGATAAAATTGTAAAATGGAGTTTGGATGTTTAGGGAAAATTTATCTGTGCTAAGAAAAATGGAGAGAATTAACAAGCTATAAAAATTACAAAAGCTAGAAATTTGCAGTAGATTAAGATTTGATGGGGATCCATGGTGATGCTAATTAGTAACAGCAAGCCCCTCCCAAAAGCTCATCACAGGAATACCTTAGGCTGAGGTAGGCTCAGACCATTTTGACCTTTCATCCTATCTCTTCCTACCAACACAGAGGGAGATTTATTTTAGGGAAAGCACAACTGGCATTCTTCTTTGGACCCAGAGCACCTTGAAGAGCTGTTGCCAGGGTAAGTCTTCTTATGTTCCACCCACCCTGGATTTAAGGCATATCATTACTGAGGCTGGGCAAAGGATATTTAGTGCCTCTCTGACGTGACTGTGTATTTCTGTACTATTTAAGCACTTGAACTTGATGTTGTGGGGCTGGCACCCAACCAAGATTCAAGGATGGTAGAGTGCTTCTGGTGTATTAATGAAATATTTTGTTGAAGATACAAATTTCTACAGAATAGAAACTGACTACCCAAAGAAAAATTTTGTCAACTTTGAATCTAAGGTTTGTGTACCTTGTCTACATTCTCTCATCCAGCCTCCTTTCTCATCTTATTAGCAGAGAAATAAATCTAGGAACGACTAAGTCTAGTAACAAAATAAGTGTTTGGCACATAGAAAACTGAATTACAGATATTAATATATACACAGGAGATCATTTATTTGAAGCTTAAATTATTAGATCTATGTTTTTAAAAGCAATTCAATATAAGATGAAACAAAACTGAGGTGACTGGTTTCCTTGCCATCTCTCTAAGTGATGTGGTGTTCCATCTAATAGCTTATGAGTCAGTAGTGTGATCCACACAATTTAATTGTGAGGAATCAAGTAAGACAAAGATTATAGATTTGATTTGTTCCTCTCAATGTTGCTTTCAATTATGAGGGTCTAGATTCTAGGATCATGCAGAATGTTGGATATACGACACAATTCTCAGGCAACATTATTTAAGGCAATAAACAAAAGCGCAAAAAAAAATGTGTCTTTTAACTTTCCTGATAAGCTGTTATTTATTTATTTATTTATTTATTTATTTATTTTTTAGACACAGTCTTGCTCTGTCATCCAGGCTGGAGTGCAGCGGCGCAATCTTGGCTCACTGCAACCTCAGCGTTCCAGGTTCAAGCAATTCTTGTGCCTCAGCCTCCCAAGTAGCTGAGACTGTAGGCATGCACACCACCATGCCCGGCTAATTTTTGTATTTTTATTACAGACGGGGTTTCACCATGTTTACCAGGCTGGTCTTGAACTCCTGGCCACCCTCAAGTGATCCGCCCACCTCAGCCTCCCAAAGTGCTGGGATTACAGGCAACTTTCTGGATAAACTTTTGAATTAAGAGAAAAAGGAAACAATAACAAAAAAGTTTTAGCTCCTTCTGTGTGAAATATATAATTTTGACACAGATAGTGGTGCATATGTCTATGCTGATGGTTCATAACATCACAGTAATTTGCACAGTAGATGATACACTAAAGTCCTTCGGTTAGCAGCTTATAAATAGTTTGAGGCTTGTGTGTAATTCTGTAAAAAAAAAAAAGAAAGAAAATAAGCAGTTTGATCAAGAAAGATTTTCAGGCTGATTAGAAAATGGAAATAGTAAAATATTAAATCAGTAAAATACATAAAATCGTAATGAAAAAGATATACTGCTAGCATGACCTCATGTCTTTAAAGTGATCATTAAACCCCCAAATACCTAAATTATGTGATGAAGGAATATATACAGAAAAACTAAGGGTTAAACTGAACACTAAAAACTTTTCTAGGCCAGGAGCAGTGGCTCACACCTGTAGCCCCAGCACTTGGGAGGCCAAGGAGGCTGGATCGGTTGAGCTCAGGAGTTTGAAACCAGCCTGGGCAACCTGGTGAAACCCAGGCTCTACAAAAAAAAAAAAAAAAAAAATTAGCTGGATGTGTTTGTGTAGGCCTGTAGTCCTAGCTACTCGGGAACCTGAGGCAGAAGGATCACTTGAGCCCAGGAGGCGGAGGTTGCAGTGAGCCATGATCATACCACTGCACTCCAGCCTGGACAGCAGAGCCAAACCCTGTCTCAAAAAAATGTTTTTTCTACTCTAAACGAGTCATTTAGAAGCACTGATTCAAACTGCAAAACACTTTTATGAAATGGTGAAACAGAAAAATATTACGTGAATGTAAAAGGATGTTAGGAAGGACAAGAGATGATAAAAATAAATGCAGATAAATTTCCATACAATGTAAAGTATGCACATTAAAACATTTAAAGAGCATGTGCGCTTTTCACGATGCTGGCCTTAAGGTTGAAGAATCAAAGATAATACAAAGAGAGGTTGTACAATACAGAGACAAAACTGTGGTCATTAAATAGTACTTAATACCTTCTGGGAAACTAATATTGAACACTGAAAATGGGTAAAAAATTTTCAAATCCTGGTTTATATTATATATCCTCCACTGGAATTGCTTTGTAGTCTTAAAAAAATGTTAATATGTTGCACCTTGAGATTAGCTGTGGCAAGGGTATAATTTTAAAAATAAAAGAAAATTACTTACAGGCCCAGACTGCTCAGTAGGCATTTTAGGTCAGTGCCAACTGCTAAGTGTACTGGGGGGTGTCCAGTCCCTGGGATAGAAGCACAGATTCCAGGCTATTGGAATGGCTGAAGTGTGAATTAACTCTGTTGGTGCAAACTCTCTTCCAGCTCAAAATATTCTTGCTCCCAAAAGGAGCAGGCCCATCCCAAGTTTAGATTTCTGAAAACTTCTCTCTTGGAAAGTATGTTATTTATACTTCTTGTTGAATGCCTTGAAATTAAAAAAAAAAAAAACAAAAACAAAACAGAAAACAAAAAAAGTATGTTATGTATTTATTTTTAATTATTAAAAAATAATGTTTTTCGAGAGAGTCTCCCTCTGTCTCCCAGTCTGGGGTACAATGGCGCGATCTTGGCTCACTGCAACCTCCGCCTCTAGGGTTCAAGAGATTCTCATGACTCAGCCTCCCAAAAAGCTGGGACCACAGGTGCACGCCACCATGCCCAGCGAAGTTTTTTGTAATGTTACTAGAGATGGGGTTTCGCCATGCTGGCCAGGCTGGTCTTGAACTCCTGACCTCAGGTGATCCACCCGCCTCAGCTTCCCAAAGTGCTAGGATTACAGGCGTGAGCCACCGCACCCAGCCCTGAAGTATGTTATTTAGAAGGGCAAAACCTCCTGAAGAAATAATATTCTAGAAACGAAGGTCAAGAGTAGCTTTAGAGAAATCCTGATGACTATTTTGTCATTCACTGAAACAAATCAATGAAATGAGCACACTAAGTGAAACCATGACACATCAGTAATGTAAATCTGGAAGAATTTTGTTTCGTTTTTCTTCTATTGACATGGGTGATGGTGGTGGTGTTTGCATCTTTTGTCTTTTATTCAATCTTCAGGCTGTTTGTCATACAATAATTTTAATAATTAATAATTAAATTTCAGGTTATCTTTTTTTTGAGACATTGTCTCACTCTGTCACCCAGGCTGGAGTGCAGTGGCGTGATCTCTGCTCACTGCAACCTCCATCTCCCCAGTTGAAGCGATTCTCCAGACTCAGCCTCACCAAGTAGCTGGAATTACAGGTGTACATATCCACCTCAGCTTCTCAAAGCTCTGTGATTACAGGCATGAGCCACCACGCCTGGCCCAGTTTCAGATTGTCTTTATTTGACCTACTGTATATAGCCTAGTAGATATTTCTCAATCCTGTCTAAAACCTGTGCTGATCTAGTCTTAAACTCCCTTCTTAACCTCACACTGAGGCTTCGGATATTAGATTATCCACTCAAGTCTCAGTTGCCTTTTTCCTTAGGATGCGATTCACATGCATCTCAGAGACCTGGAATGTCCACCTCTCAGCTTCTTTTCTCTTTGCTAATCCTCTTCAACTCTGTTTTCTATCCCCAATCTCCCATATTCCTCTTTTTTGATTACCACAAACTGGAGTTCTTCTCATTTCTCAATGGCCAACACTGAAATGTTCATAGTTTAGGAAATTGTATCCAGAAATAAAGCTGTATGTGGTAGAATTTCTCATAAAGGTACCTCAGGTAGGCAAAGCATTACTTTGATATAAGTAAATAATCCATCATTTACTGTGAAACTCTAAGATTGAGGTTTCAAGAACTAAAGAGAGGGCTAGGTGAGCCTCAGACACAGCACTCTCTACACACAGGGCCTGAAGGACAACAATGACCTGTAATGTCAGGCCGCTGTTAGCAGGTCCCTGATTGCAGCTGCAATACTTGCAGACCAAGAGGTATTTTGCACTGTTTGAATCTCTAAATTTTAGAAACTACTATATACACTTATAAAATGGAATATTTGCAGGCTGCCCAGACCTTATGGTATGTAGTACTTAATTCTAAAAGCCTTTCAAAGGAGCCAACATTAGCATTTTATTATTTTCTTCTTATAAAAATAATAAATTAAGGCTAAACCCTGGCTTACAGATGAACTATTTCTGGCTCACTATCCTTTGGCCAAATGCCTTAACCACTCAGCACACTTCTAGGTGTGCCAACTAAAGAGTTGGCACATCAGGGGATGGGAGAAGGGAGAAGGGCATGACTTTGCTTTTGTCTGGAAACCTGGTTTGAGTACAAATAAAACCAAAGGAAACCAATAGTGTTTATAAATAAGGGTATATTCTGGAATTGTGTAGGACAAAGATCAAGGCCTCTCAGATGTCAAGGAACCCCTGAACAGAAACCCTGACATCAAAGGCTGTGCATAAGGAGTAATACTTCAGAGTAAAGGGAAGCTTGGCAACCTACCAAACCAGCACAGTTTCTCCTTATTCTTCCTATACTTTAGACATGGAAGTGGGATGGTGTCTCTTGTGCAACTGCTAAGAAGAAGTGACCTTTGGATCGAAGGAAGTAGAAAGATTAAATCAGAAAGAATCAAGGTTCAGAGTCTGCAAAGCCACAAGCCCTCTGTCTGGGCCAGCAAGTTCAGTCTTTTGTTTTTTGTTTTGAGACAGGGTCTCACTGTGTCACCAAGGCTGGAGTACAGTGGTACAGTCACAGCTCGTTGTAGCCTCAACGTCCTAGGCTCAAGTGATCCTCCCAGCTTAGCCTCCCAGCTGAGCCTCGCACGTAGCTGAAACCACAGGTGTGCTCCACCATGCCTGGCTAATTGTTTTATTTTTATTTTTATTTATTGATTGATTGATTTTTTTGAGACAGAGTCTCGCTCTTGTTGCCCAGGCTGGCGTGCAATGGTGCAATCTCGGCTTACTGCAACCTCCACCTCCCGGTTCAAGCGATTCTCCTGTCTCAGCCTCTCGAGAAGCTGGGATTACAGGCACGCGCCACCATGCCCAGCTAATTTTGTACTTTTAGTGGAGATGGGGGTTTCTCCATGTTGGTCAGGCTGGTCTCGAACTCCTGACCTCAGGTGATCTGCCTGCCTTGGCCTCCCAGAGTGCTGGGATTACAGGTGTGGGACACTGCGCCCAGCCTTTATTTTTATTTTTTTGTGGCGATGGGGTCTCACTGCGTTGCCCATGCTGGTCTCAAACTCCTAGGCTCAAATGATCCTCGTGCCTCCTCCCAAAGTGCTAAGATTATAGACGTGAGCCACTATACCTGGAAAGTCTTTATTCTAGCTCTGCTATGCTTTGCCTTGCTTCCTTTAGCCACTAAAGGCTTGTGGAAAAGCAATGTATATAGTCGGATTCCAAATTCTTCTCAAGACAGCGACCTTCCAAAGTTAATTGGTTGTGGCTTCATTTGTAAATCCGTGAAGGTAGAGTGCCCAATATTGTAAAACATAACCCTAGATTTAACTTACTCATCCATTGGGTTAAAAGAAAAAGTATTTAATACAAAAAATTCAAAAGCCAAGTCAAAACTACCCTTTAAAGCAAAATGCTAACTCCAGGATTTTGGCAAAGTTTCTTTCCTTGATTGTAGTCATTTCAAGGAGAGAGAGGTTAACCTCTTCCCCTAATCTCACCTCTTCAAAGAAAAGAAGTTGAAGCAGAAAAATTAGCACTGATCTCATGTTAGGATTCAAAGGGCAGGATGAGGCTGTGTAATGTAGTGATGGAAATAGGATAAAACCCTTGTTACTGTTTTCCAGAAGCTAATCTGAGGGTTACCATGGTAACTCACCAGGGTACAAGACTGTTGTGAGCTTTAGGGAACAATTTCGGGATACATTCTTAAAAGAGAATATCAACTGCTTGCATCAAATGGGTGAGAAGTGGGGCACAGTGGCGCACATCTGTAGTCCACCTAATCTGAAGGCTGAGGCAGAAGTATAGCTTGAACCCAGGGGTTTGAGACCAGCCCAGGAAACATAGCGAGATCCTGTCTCCCTCTTACAAACACACACACACACACACACACACACACACACACACACGAGTAACAGAAGAGTCTTTTGGAAGTGGATCAAAACCGATTTAAGGTTTTGGTTTGAATTTTTGAAAAAGTAGGTGTCTTGGGTGAAAAACAACAGAAAAAAGTCAACCGGTAAGTCTTGCCAAGTCTGGAGGAGAAGACTCACACTAAATTGCAGGGCTAAAAGAAAGAACCTAAAAGTCAAAAGCAATTGGAGCTATTTGGTAATTAAAATATGTACATTCTTTTAGAATTGAAGCTATCTGCTATTAGCTTCTTTGTTGTCCTTTTGGTTACTTATGGAAGACTCCAATTCAGCGCATTTGATCCTACTGTTTTCCTATATTCTTTTCATTCTGAAGTCATTGTTTCTATACATATTAATCGCATTATACTTCTTTTCCTCTTTTACAGAAAAGCTACATTTAAAAACGGTGTCATTGCAGCAGTTTACCAGGAACAATTATTCCTGGTAGAAGCTATTTAACTAAATACATAGGACCCTGCAACTAGATTTTTACCTTCCTTTTAATTTTATTTGATTATGCTATTATCTAAGCTTGCCTCTTTGGCTTTTCAAATTAAAGTACCACATCTCTCTGTAAGCATAAGAATCTGTACAAACAGGCATTTTTTTTTTAGCTTTTCTAGAAAATTTGAGGGGAAATATTATGGAATAGAATGGAAAATTTACAACAACATTTAAGACAAAACATAGAACTTGAAGGAAATTTTATATTTGCGGCAGGCCAGTTTCATGACAACTATGCCCTCTTAGACTCCCTTACGTTTCTCACAATTAGTACTTTACGGAAAATTTTTAAAAGACACAATTCAAGCAGTCTCCCGGGGATTCCTGAGGACCAATACAAACAGTGTAATACAGTGCAATATGAAAACCCCAAATTACTATTTAATTATTTAGACTTAGTTTATGGCATTTTGATTGGTTTTCTTTCTTTCTTTTTCTCTCTTTCTTTCTTTCTTTTCTTTCTTTCCTTTCTTTCTTTCTCTCTCTCTCTCTTTCTTTCTTTCTTCTTTTTTTTTTTTTTACAGCAATTACAGGGTGAAGTATAGGTTAGTGTGATTCTAAGTCAAACGTAAGCAAACTACTTCCCACATACCAAATCCGGTCATCGCCTGTTTTTCTACAACTTGCAAGCTAAGAATGTTTTGTGTACTTTTCGGTGGTTGAAAAAAATCAAAAGGATATTTTCTGACATATAAAAATTATATGGAATTTGAGTTTCAGCTATAAGTAGAGTTTTATTGGAACACAGCCTCACTCATTTGTCTACACATTGTCTAGGACTGCTTGTGTGACAAGGGCAGAGTTGCGTAGGTGCCACAGAGACCACATGGCTGGCAAAGCCTAAATACTTATTACCTGGGCCAGGCGCGGTGGCTCACACCTGTAATCCCAGCACTTTGGGAGGCCAAGGCGGGCGGATCACCTGAGGTCAGGAGTTCAAGACCACCCTGGCCAACGTGGTGAAACCCTGTCTCTACTAAAAATACAAAAAAATTAGCTGGGCATGGTGGCAGGCGCCTGTAATCCCAGCTACTGGGGAGGCTGAGGCAGGAGAATCGCTTGAACCCGAGAGGCAGAGTTTGCAGTGAGCTGAGATCACGCCATTGTACTCCAGCCTGGGCAACAAAGAGTGAAACTCCATCTCAAAAAAAAAAAAAATACATATATATATATATATAGCTTTTCTCTAAAAGGTCAGGCTGACCCTTTAGAGAAAAAGCTAGCCGACCTCTGATCTAAATCATTACTTCCGCTATTGATTGTCAAGTTACAGCCTGAGTTATCTAAAGAGAAAACATTAATACTCCACTAATGAAAGCTATTCTTATGCAAGTTCATTGTCCTGATATAGAAACTGAAAGGGTAGAGACCAGAGTTGGTAGGTTTGACAAGAAGGAAGATAAGATACTGAAAGAGAAAACAAGAGTAATCTCTTCCAAAAACAATGGAAAACTTTCCAGTGATATTTGCTGATAGGTGTCCTTTTTCATATCAGAAACCAAAATGCCTTATTTTCCACTATTTGTAAACTCTAAAGATACTGTCACTTAATTAGCGATTTTCTTTCAGAAGAATTAATGATCAATGTGTGCAAGTTCAAGTTCTGACCTTATTTGTCAAACTGTCTGAGGTTGAATGTTCTGGGAAAATGACAAAAGGAAGGAAGCATTTAGATATGTGTCTCCTGAGACTTAATTCATCTTTGATTAACTGAAGAAGCCATAAGAATATCTTTCTGGGCAAATAATAACCAGCTTCCTTTAAACAGAGGAAAGATACTCTTTTGAATTAAAAATCTAGTTGTAATTCTAATTTAGCCAAGTTTATTATCTCACTATTAGAGCCTAAAGAGTGCAGTACTTTTTCTTGGGTCCTAGGTAATCTTTTTTTTTTTTAAAGACAAACAAACAAACAAACAAAAAACAGAACAATTGAATTTACAATAGTACGACAGCTTTATCAGACTGCTTCTCAATTATCTTGCTGATGCACATAGTGGGTGATGTTAGTAGGGGGTAAATGCTTGCTTGGGTGTGCCCGAGATTATATACAATTCCAGGAATTCCTAGCTGTATTGAAATCCCTCATTTCACACTCAGAGTTGTAGAATGCAAATGAATATAAGGAAAGCTATGAATCCACCCTTGTGTATGTATTAAGTAAACTTCAAACATTTATGCCAATTTTACAACTTGTGAACAACAAATTAATTGACATGTCTCGTATTTTCTTCAAATTTGGTCTTGAGGTGTCTCTCTGGAGAATGACTATAAATTCTAGCCCTGCGCTGATGGGGCTTCAGGGATGGTGGTTGTGGATGTTTACAGGGTGCTTTTCACAGGATACTTCTTTATGATAGTGGACAGCCTAATGTCTAAGTGTCCAACCTCTGATCAGGTGTCCCTCTCACAGGAAACTTGTTTATATTGGCAGAGAAACTTGTGGCTCTCATCTGACCTGTGTCCTGTTTAATCTTGTAAGAAAGCCAATCTCTAGGAGAGCTCTGATCAGGAAAGAAGTTAGGTTCAGCTGTGTCAGCCAGGTAAGACACAGAGGAGACCACTCAACAAAACACATGAAATAACAGAAGCAGTTTATTACTTACAGGTCCGAAAAGAAGAGGGCTGCATGCCTGGAAGGGGAAATGCAAAGTAGGGGCCCATCCAGGACACACATGCTTGATGGGGAGCGAGAGAGAAGGAGAGAAAAGACAAGAGGGCTAAAGCCTTTATTGGGGTCCAGGGTGTTACCTGAGCAGGTTTCCAGTGCGGCGTTCTAATCAGTGAGTCTAGAGCAAGCAGGCACAAGTTCCACGGAGGCACTTGTGGACTAAGATGGTCATTGAGGCATATCTGTGAAGTCCATGCAGGGTGTGGGGTCAGTGGGGTGAGTCAAGCAGATTGCATTTAGCTCTACCATAGGGAGGTGGACAGCAAGAGGCCGATAAGACATCTGGATCAAGCACACTGAGGAACTGGGAAGAGACAGAGAACTGAAAACTGTCAAGGATGAGGAAGTCTTGCTTCTGGTATGAGAAAGCCCAGCTTATACTCAAAATGGGTGTCAAGGCAACACGAAATTATAAGAATGTGCTATAACCTCACACAAACTAGTCACAACAACTCAGCTGAATGCAAACGATGACCTTAGAACACATTTAAGTTGAGCAATATAGCCTAGCCAAAATATTGGATGGCTTGGTTCTTTAGCCCCTTTGAAGCATTCTTTGGGCAACAACTCTGGTAATGGTGGAGTTAGTTGATGGCTTCAGCATCAGCGTCACAGTCGTTCTGTGAGATGAGGCTCCTGGAAGTGAGTTTAACAGTCTCTTAAAGCCCTGCATTTGGCTCCACCTCTTGCACCCATAGCCCCTTTGAAACCCGTTGCCCACAAGTGCTGTGGGCTGTTCAGTCCCACTGGATGCAGATACAGGTAAAGGATCAATCTTCATCTCTGTGCCATTCCCCACAAGCTGGCAATGCTTTTCAGAAATCTCACTTGCCTCACAAACTGCTGAGGGAAATATCTCATTGCATTGGAATTATTTACTTCTGTGTATGCTCTGTAGCATTTTCAAGAATATGCTCATTTTCATTAGGCTTGAACGACGTTCTGCCAAGGTCGTACCTTCTCAGAATCTTTTGCCCTTAAATATTTAATACAGCAGGTACTTCAGGAATGAGCATCTATCAAGATCATTTGGTATGAAAAATCATTCAATGCATGGTGCCTTCGTTTAATAAGTTACAGAAATAGAAGGAAAAGTTATGGTACGAGGGCGTAGATTACAAGGATGTCTGCTTTTAAAGAGAAAATGAAATGTCCTAAGTCAACACACTGGGCTTCTCAGTTTCTTCTATCTTTTACAATAGCTTCATCAGGCATGAGTAGCAGAACTGACCAGCAGATCAGCGGGGGCAGTGCAAAGCAACAGTAAAGTAGTACAAGGCAAGTTAAGATAATTGTTGCAAATCTGCAAAGAATCTTCATTCCCCAGAGAGTTGAAAGTCTAATTGCCAAAGAAAGGAATGCAGCTGTCATCTTGAAATGGAAGAAATACCCCTCAACTATTAATATGTTGGCTGGCAGTGTGTTCTGCAGAAGCTAGGGAGTCTCTTCTGAATATAGGGCTTGTTGCAAAAACTGATATTTAATTAATGTCACATCTCTAGATACTAAATTCTTACAGTATAGAACCCAATTTCTGGAAATGGCCTACACTATTTGGCAGCCACAAATCCAATAATAAGGCTGCCCTCAGAGCCCTGCCCATCTGGTTGGATTTTTTTCTCTATTTCTGCCTCCTAATTAGGAGATTAAAGCTATTTTCCTCTTGATTTATATATGTCTTTCTTTTTGACTTTTGAACAATATCATTTCTCTTGGTTTATTTTTCTTATTCTCTTAAGTGTTTTTACCAATCAATAAAGTGTTTAAATTTGTTCCTTTTTTTCTGTTTGCTTCTTCCATTTTATTTTTTTTGTAACTATGTTACTTCAATTTTAAATATGAATGTGCTGCTGCTTTCAAACATCCTCTTTTGAAAGAAATGATAGGATTTTATAGATTTTCTTAGCAAGTGAGAAATCAATTTAGCAACATGTTGCAAACAAATTTTACCCTTGATTAGACTGAAGTTTTTGGTCATGTATATAGCTTCTAATTTTTTTTCAACTTTTATTATTATGATCCATTTTCTGATTCATTAATTCCTACTCTTTATCCTTTTTCATCCTTCTGTTTACCTTAAGTTTAATTTGTTCCAGTTGCTTAATGTGAAAGCTTAGTGCATTCATTTTAAACCTTTCTTCTCTTCTAACATAAGCATTTAATGTTATAAATTTCTCACCAAACACTGTTTTGGCAGCATAACGTAACTTTTTTTTTTTTTTTTTTTTTGAGATACGGACTTGCTCTATCACCTACGCTGGAGTGCAGTGGTGCGATCACGGCTCACTGCAGCCATGATTTCCCAGGTGTAACTGATCATCCTACCGCCATCTCCCAAGTAGCTGGGACAACAGGCTTCCGCCACCACGCGGAGTTTCACTATGTTGCCCAGGCTTGTCTCGAACTCCTGGGCTCAAGTGATCCACCCACCTCGGCCTCCAAAAGTGCTGGGATTACAGGTGTAAGTGACCACACCAGGCCCAATATGTTGTATTTTAAATTTGTATTCACATAAGTGTATTTTCTTCTTATTACCATGTGCTATTTAGAAGTACGTTGCTTAATTCAAATATTTGAGGATTTTCCATGTATCTTGAAAATTATTGATACCTCGTTTCTGTGGAGAAGGAAAGATTTCTTATCCACTGCTAGGTTCATAGCTGAGACCCCTATAACAGAAGACATTAAGAGCCAGGTGTGTTGGCAAGGCAGAGGATCCCTTGAGCCCAGAAGTTTGAATCCAGCCTGGGCTATATAGTGAGACCCTGTCTCTACAAAAAATAAAAAAATTAGCCATGCATGGTGGTGCATGCCTATAGTCCCAGCTACTCAGGAGGCTGAGGTGGGAGGATTGCTTGAGCCCAAGAGGTCAAGGCTGCAGTGAGCCATGATTGTGCCACTGCAGTCCAGCCTGGGTGACAGAGGGAGACCCCCATCTCCAAAAAATAAAATAAAATAAAAGACATTAATGAGAAAAGCATACACATTTATTCAATATAAATGTTGTGTGACATGAGTACATTCATTACGGAAACAAGGAAACAGGGAAACCCGTATATATTCATGCTTAGGTTTGATGAAAAGTGAACAGTTTTGGGAAAATATGATTGGAGGACAAAAGGAGTATGAACTAATGTTAATAAACTGGGAGAACTTAGCAAGAGAGGGCCCTTGTAATGAGAGTCTTATGACCTGCCTCAGAGGAGAAGAGTGATGGGAAGAGAAGGCTTCCTGCTTCTGCTGTTTTCTCAAATGTCGAGGTACCATATTTTGGGCTAACATGTCTTGAACCCCATAATTTCCTTCCGTTACGGCCGGGAACATCTTTTTTAAAATTTAAATTCCTACAAATTTATTGATATATGTTTAAGTCCAAAATTTGATGTAACTTCTTGAATGTTCCATTTATGCTGAAAAAAATGCGAATTGTTATTTTTTGCATGGAGTGTTCTATATATGTCATTTAGTTCAAGTTGTTTGATAGTATTGATACAGTTTGTTCGCTGCTGTATCCCAAGCACCTAGAACTGTAGGTTCTTTGCAAATATTTGTTGTGTGAATGAATGATCTATATTATGGTGACGATTTTCATTTTCACCCTCACCGAGAATTCTAAAGATTAGGCTGGCTGAGGAATAATTCGAATGTAATTAGTGTATCTACACTAGCACCCAAGCAATTGCATATGAGTATTAAGCTGAAAGGCCATGTAGTTTGCATTTCTAGGTCTATCACTGCAGCGTTTACTGTATTTCTGATTATTTAAACTTCAAGAGATAGCTGCCTTTCAATACTGTTCCAAAAGAAAACATACCAGAGAAAAAGCCCTCAAATCTGTATATGGCAAGTCAGTACAAATTTGATTTCATGGTAAACAGCTGAGGATGGGTAGGGACTGAGACCAGAAAAAAAAAAAAAAAAAAAAAGAGAGATGGCACTGATTTTTTTTTTTTTTTTTTTTTTTACTTTAAGTTTCGGGATACATGTGCAGAACGGGCAAGTTTGTTACATAGGTATACACGTGCCATGGTGGTTTGCTGCACCTATCAACCCGTCATCTAGGTTTTAAGCCCTGCATGCATTAGGTATTTGTCCTAATGCTATCCCTCCCTTTGCCCTCCACCCACTGACAGGCCCTGTTGTGTAATGTTCTTCTCCCTGTGTCCATGTGTTTTCATTGTTCAACTCCCACTTATAAGTGAGAACATGCGGTGTTTGGTTTTCTGTTCCTGTGTTAGTTTGCTGAGAATGATGGTTTCCAGCTTCATCCATGTCCCTGCAAAGAACAGGATCTCATTCTTTTTTATGGTTGCATGGCCCTGAAATTTTTATATCATAAGTACATTCTTGAATGATTGCAAATTTCTTATTGCACTCTTTCTTTACAAAGCTTTTGTTTCTTTGCATAACTCTGCAAAAGAGCTGTCAGCCATGTTTGTGGCCCAGGAATAAAAATGGTAGTTCTTGCAGTAGAGATTATCAGTCTTTTTAGAGTAACCTCACCATCCCCCCACAAACTTATATTTCGTGTTTATTTCTTTTTAAAATTCAGGCAAATCAATATTAATTTTATTCTGAGATTTTTACAATACCCTTGAAATTACTATAAATATATTAGCTTGGTAGAGAAACCAGGATCTCTGGATTGGGATTGTGACTAATTTAGAATTTTAAAACGTATTAACTAGAGTTATAATTTGTGCAGTCTTCAAATGTGGCAGGAGGGTTACATTTTTCTTTTTTCTTTTCTTTTTTTTTTTTTTGAGACGGAATCTCGCTCATTCTTATTGCCCAGGCTGGAGTGCAGTGGCGCGATCTCAGCTCACTGCAACCTCCACCTCCCAGGTTCAAGTGATTCTCCTGCCTCAACCTCCCGAATAGCTGGGATTACAGGCACGTGCCACCACGCCTGGCTAATTTTTGTATTTTGGGCAGAGACGGGATTTCACCTTGTTGGTCGGACTGGTCTCAAATTCCTGACCTCAGATGATCCACCCACCTCGGCCTCCCAAAGTGCTGGGATTACAGGTGTGAGCCACTGCACCTGGCCAGGGTTATATTTTTCTTAATTGGTGCATCCAAATTAATCCATGTCAAGTTTGCACACTATTGATGTCCAGCTCTGCTGTCATTTCAATTCTCTAAGAGACCTTTTTCTTCTTTATCTTTCTTAACTTCCTCCAAGAAAACCTTGCTAGAAATCAAGTCTGGCCAGTTTTGCTAGTTCTTGCCTTAAGTATGAGTGCTATCTTTAAAATCATAGAGTCCTGTGTGTGTGCTAGTCTGAGATGTTTTTAATTAGGCCAAAACATGTCTTAGCCTGAGAAAGTATCTGCATAATTCTAGATTTTAATATATAAGACAGCTAGCCAAGAGAATATTATATGTGGATTGTTGTTGTTGTTGTTAAACCTATTGAAACTAACTTAACTTGATTCTCTATAAAAATCTTTCCTCTACCTCCTGAAATATTTTAATTAGATACTGCTCTGAGTATGCCAACAATCACTTGACATTCTGTTGTTTTTAGCTCGTGGTTACCTACATTTCTCTCCTATTTCTTCTCCTGTTACTCCCACCACTTACTACAACCCCAAAGAGCTTCTTTGTGCCTTGTTTTATGTAATCAGGAAGAATGATTCTGCTCTGGTATGAAGGAGAATCATTCCAAATCTAACAAGAACCGTTCAGTTTTGAGAACCTGAGAAGGAGACCATTAGTCATAGTTTTGAGGACCATCAGTGCCAGACAGAGACCTCTTGTAGGAGCCCTTGCTGGAAGAAGTGAGGGCTTGTGTGAGGACTCAGGCAAGGGGGCGCCCAGGCTGCCCCTCCCTTGGCCAGATGTCCCCGCACCGTGCCACTGAGCTAGAAAGCCAGCACAGACTCTCTGTCTTCCTTAAGATGCCAAGAGGAGGAAACACACACTTTTCCTGAAGCAAAAAAAAAAAAAAAGGGTTATAGGCCGGGTGCAGTAGCTCACGCCTGTAATCCCAGCACTCTGGGAGGCCGAGGCAGGCAGATCACCTGAGGTCAGAAATTTGAGACCAGCCTGGCCAACATGGTAAAACCTTGTCTCTACTAAAAATACAAAAATTAGCTGAGTGTGCGGTGGGAGCCTGTAATCCCAGCCTACTTGGGAGGCTAAGGCAGGAGAATCACTTGAGCCTGGGAGGCGGAGGTTGCAGTGAGACGAGATCGTGCCATTGCACTCCAGCCTGGGCAACAAGAGCGAGACTCCATCTCAAAAAACAAAAACAAAACAAAAAAAAAAACACGGGGTTATAAATCATGGTGCAAGTCTATAGTACTATGGCTATAGTACTATGGGTTCTCTATAACTCTTATACTTAGGTATTATGTTGGGTTGTCCTGGGAGGACACTTCAGTGCCAGCCTCTTTTTTTTTTTTTTTTTTTGAGACGGAGTCTCGTTCTGTCTCCCAGGCTGGAGTGCAATGGCGTGATCTCAGCTCACTGCAACATCCGCCTCCCGGGTTCAAGTGATTCTCCTGTCTCAGCCTCCCGAGTAGCTGGGATTACCCACCACACCCGGGTAATTTTTATATTTTGGGTAGAAACCAGGTTTCACCATGTTGGCCAGGCTGGTCTTGAACCCCTGACCTCGAGTGATCTGCCTGCCTCAGCCTCCCAAAGTATCGGGATTACAGGTGTGAGCCACTGCGCCTGACCTGCCAGCCTTCTTTTGAAAACCTTTAACTCAGCCAGGCATTGTGGTTCATACCTGTAATCCCTGTGCTCAAGCACTTTGGGAGGCTGAGGCGGGAGTATCACTTGAGCCCAGGAGTTCAAGACCAGCCTAAGCAACATAGTGAAACCTCATTTCTTAAAAAAAATTAAAACCTGTCACTGGTTTCTGAGTGTACTTTTATTTTGAGGATGTCCAGGGCCACTGGCCAGCTCTACCTGTGTGAAGTAGAAAAAGCCACCCTTCCCCATAGGCAGGAGAATACAGACTCATGCCAGGGTACTTGGCTTGTCTGGCGTGCTTACGTAGTAATAGCCAGTGCAAATATGCATGTGGCTGCCTGGTGGCTATATCTGTGAGTGTGGTCGCAGGGTCACTCTAGTTTAGTAAATAGTTTGTCCTTGATGTCTCTTGATATTACTTCCAGAGAATGATAGCCAGGGAGTACAAGGAAGTTACAGGGCAGATAAGGCTGGTGATTATCACAAGCTCTTCAGAGAAAGGCCATAACGTGTGGAGAAAAACCACGGCCGCTCTTATCTTTGGTGTGTCTCGGCTTAAATTTCCCTTCCTCACAGAGATCTTGTTTTGTCAACCCACCTAGAGAGGAATCCTGGTTTTGTTTGTTTGTTTGTTTGTTTGTTTTTTGAGACGGAATCTCTTTCGCCTAGGCCGGAGTGCAGTGGCGCTATCTCGGCTCACTGCAACCTCCGCCTCCTGGGTTCATGCCATTCTCCTGCCTCAGCCTCCCGAGTAGCTGGGACTACAGGTGCCCGCCACCATGCCCGGCTAATTTTTTGTATTTTTAGTAGAGACGGGGTTTCACCGTGTTAGCCAGGATGGTCTCGATCTCCTGACCTCGTGATCCGCCCGCCTTGGACTCCCAAAGTGCTGGGATTACAGGCGTGAGCCACCGCGCCCAGCTGGTTTTTTTTCTTCTTACAAGTGACACTTATTTGTATTTGTGTGGTTATCTTATTTATTAACTATCTTTTCAAATATTTCTGTGAGGTGTTCGCCAATATATCCCTAACCCATAGCTGACTACTTGACACAGAGTTGGCACTTATTAGACATTTGTCAAATGAAGAAATGTCTTTAGCAGCGTCTGGCCATGGCAAGGCAGGGGAGTATGAAGGGAATCTAAAATAACAAGAGGACAGAGGGCGTGTGACAGCCCTTGTTCAGAGGGATAGAGTCTGTTTGATTTCCCGTGCCACAGGCTTTCTTCAATCCTGTCACCTTTTTCCAGATAGGAGTTGCTGAGCAGTTGATGTTTCATTGCTTGTTTTTAACTACCATCCACTGAGAATGTCAGGCACTGTGCTAAGGACTTCATTTACATACATTAAGTCATCCAACCTGCACAACAAGTACTCAATGAAGTATGTTTAATTATTATCCTATTTTACAAATAAAGAAACAGTCTTGGAGGGTATGGGAGGGGAGGTGTTTGTGTGTGTGGTTATGTAACTAACACAATAAATGTCAATGCCAAGACTCAAACCCAGATCTATCTGACCCCAAATTATGCACTCTTTTATTGCTTCAGGTCTTGTTTACTTTGTAAAATATGTGCTTTGGTTTCAGACCCTGAATTAATGCATTCTTAAACATTATATTGCCTTCACTTTGAACAAAGTGATATGAGGCAAGAGATTCATAATGCAAATGCCTAAGATCAACTTGTTTACCCGGCGTCTAACGGCCCATCTACATTTGGTCTTTCTGGACTGTGACCTAATCTAGTAAATCTTGGCCTCCATATTCATTTCCTTATTTTGCTCTCTTCATTGGTGCTTGCTTCCCATATTTCAGGCAAAGAGCCACTGCATAGTGACTACAGCCCCCGGACAGATGTAGGCTGTTTCTTACCCTAAGCAAGGCACAGGGGGTCTGGTTATATAGTTCAACAGGGAACAATGCTTAGTCTTCCAAGTTGAGAAGTTTCTCTCTTTTTTTTTTTCACCTTAGAATTTAACTGGCCAGGTGTGGTGGCTAACACCTGTAATTCCAGCACTTTGAGAGGCTGAGACGGGTGGATTGCTTGAGGTCAGGAGGTCTAGACCAGCCTGGACAACGTGACAAAACCCTGTCTCTACAAAAAATATAAAAATTAGCTGAGCGTGGTGGCACCTGTAGTCCCAGCTACTAGGGAGTCTGAGGTAGGAGGATCGCCTGAGCCTGGGGAGGTTAAGGCTGCAGTGAACCATGACTGTGCTACTGCACTCTACCCTGAGTCACAGAGTGAGACCCTGTCTCAAAATATATATGCAATATATATATATACACACACACGTATATTTATACATATATATATATATTCTGCAATGAACATGGGAATGCAGATACTTCTTTTACATACTGATTCCATTTTCTTTGAATATGCACCCAGTAGTGGGATTGCTGAATCATACGGTAATTCTAGTTTCAGTGTAGAGGAACCTCTATACTGTTTTCCATCGTGGCTGTGTTCATTTACATTTCCACTATCAGCGCACTAGGGTTCCTTTTTCACCACACCCTTGCCGACAGTTATTATCTTTCATCTTTTTGATAATAGTAATTCTAAAAGGTGTGAGATGGTATATTATTGTGGTTTTAATTTGCATTTCCCTGAGGATTAATGATGCTGAGTATTTTTATATGTATCTGTTGGCCATCTGCTTGTTTTCTTTTGAGAAATGTATTTAGGTCCTTTTGCCGGTTTTTTGATGAGGTTAATTGTTTTCTTGCTATTGAGTTGTTTGAGTTAGGAGGTGGTATTTGATATCATTTCAATTAAGAATCCCTCCAGACCATACCTTCCTTGAAGATGCCGCATATGGTTGTATCAGGATTCACCGGTTTCTCTTTTGGGCATTACTTCTCTCCCACCCACCCTCTCATCCCACTTTCCTTGCCCAAAGAAGAAAGAAATGGGAAGAAAAATGCTTTTCTTTGTCTTCAAATGCAAAAGGTATTTTTTGTCCTAGGGCCAATAAGGTCAACAAAGTAAGCATGAAATATTATACTCAGGGTAGGAGCATAATGCATGCTATGAGAAAGGATACAAACCCTGCAAGATTTCAAAGGGATCTTTCACAGGGAGAAAAAGAAAAAAGTTGAGGTTGGTTGGGTGGGGATATGATTTAAAGAAGAGGAAAAGCCAGACTCTGTATTGTGTGTGTTGCCAGTTTGCTATAGTCATGGTATTGTAAAACAAATCAGTCCAAAAGACCTTGTTTTATTTATGTAATCAAGTAATCACAGTGTCTCTGAAACTTTTAGATGCAAGCACAGAAATAGAAGTATTTATGAAGTCAGACTTGCAATTGCCAGGAAGTAGTAAAGAATGCCAATGTAATTTCTGCTACCTGTGTAAGTCCTAAGGGAAATATGAGCTCATGAATACATATATAGAGATCATTACAAGGCTGAATTAAAATACATTAAATAGAAAAGTGGGCATAATCCCCTGAGGATATTCAACATAAAAGGAATAGCTGAAGAACAACCTGAAGCTTTAAAAATAGGGGAATCTAAGATCCTCACTGGCTGGAGAAAACAGTTACTACACACCCTTCCAGGAAAACACTTTATATAAAGTTTGGTGTTTGAAAGCCTTAGCTGATCTAAATGAATGCAAATTTAAGAGGAGGGGCTTGCTTTATCCTTCTATTTGTGGTCTCCACAGCCCCTGGACCTGAGAGGCTTCAATAATTGTTACCTGAGTTGGATTGAATTGAAATAAAGAAGTAAAGATCCTATATCATCTACTGAAATCTTTAAAGGGTAAGTTTCTTTCTTTTTTTTTTTTTTTAACCATTTGTTAAATGGTATAGTATATACTATTGGTTAAACAGTTGGACATTTCTTTTAGTAGTTGATTTTTGGGTAACAATGTCTTCAGTCATCCTGGAGTCATTCTGAGAGTGACAGACATGCCCTCCATCCACACACCAGAAGTGTCATATTTAGGGAGTGTGCCATTCAGTAAATCTTTGGTGTGTTACTAAATGGACATCAACAGGGGACTCAATGGGGACCAAAAGTAAATTTTAAAGACCTTAAAACAGAATGAAGTGGCTACCAATTAAAAGGAAGAAATATGTAGATTCATACAAAGGAATAGAAAAAAAAAATGCGACTTAAAACTGAGAGAATGCTGAGACAATGACAAGCATTAAAAATGGAGAAGCAGGAACAAGAAGGAAATTTATGTGCCCAAACAGATTGGTTTAAGAAGTATAATGTGGACCAAAGGCTGTATGCAAAAGTAACTCAAAATGATTGAAAAGAGATGCCCCCTCCCCAAATTTAGTCAACATAAGACATTCCTTTTGATAGAAAATGACCACTCTAAAAAATGTTGAAAGGAGAATCACAAAAGTAAACAATAAGAGGAAACATTTTTGAATAATGGAGGAAAAAAATTACAGTGCATAGGTACACATTATTAACATTTCAGGAATGTCTGTTTACTGCAATAACGTATCATGAAGAAAGTAATGAAGACAAGGTCTTGAAAGGAAGAAACACTGGGTGTTGTTTTTCTTTTTCTTATCATCTCAAAACTGGACTTAACCAAATATATTGGGATGGAGATTAACTACTTATGAGTAGATTTAGAATCACAACCAAACTCATCCTTAGATAATTCTGAAGCACGAATACAACCACCACAAACTTGAAAACCTGGATAATTCTACCAGAAAGCCAAATAAGCATTCATTATTGAAAGAAGCCATTTTTATTCTATGAAGTAATTTAAAATTCTGAGTTACTTACCTTCAGGCAAGCTCAGAATTTTAATAGTAAGAAGAAAATAACAAAGCACACCACCTTGGAAATCTGCGTGTCTTTAACTACAAAGAATCATTGACAACACAGAAACGAAAGGCCTAGGTACAGTTCTCTGAGTGAGAAATTATGATTGAATTTAAAAGTAAATAAGCTAGTTCAGACTATAATTTTCATGAAAAAATAAGGCATTAAGAATTTAAATCTTTTTCAGAACTTTTATTCCACACAAAGAAAGTAAAATGGGGGAGAAGCGCAGTAAATAAAGTTTTCAGTCAGCTTTTGGATTTTTTGGTGTAAAGAACTGGTTATGAGGGTATAAATTTACTAACAGTTAGATTTTAGTCTGCTCATTTAGGTTTCATCTTGTATAAGCAGAACATCTTGTATTTGCATGTTTTTGTTTTTTGAAGTGATTTTGTATTTAGGATCAGTTATGCCATGAAAGGCTTTATTCTTCCTTTCTTGTTAATTGTGGAATAACAAACATTAACCAATTTGCTTTTAGGCTAAAGACAGGCAAATGCAATTCAGTACCCAGCTTTAAAAATTCTTTTGGTTATGTTATCATTTGGCGTTCTAACCATCCTTTGCACTGACTTCACTTTTTACTGCATCGTCTTAAATGTGTAAATTTTATTTTTTTGCATGTTTGAATCCATAAGGACAATGATGTAGATGCTTATACATGCTTTGAGAAAATTTATGTATTGTGTGTATGTTTGTAATTTATTTTAAAAATCAACATCTATCCCATGAGCACCTATTTGGAAGTATGCATCTAATACATCAAGGCACACTCTATGTTACGCCAAAAGAAGAGTAATCAACCTTTGCCCTCAAGGAGGTTACCATCTATTTTAGCTGATTTAATATATCATGTATGTTCTGTCATAGGATAAAAGAACAATTTAGCTTTGTGTGTGTTGAGTAAGAATCTTGTCTGAGCAACAGTAAGATAAAATGGTTTTGGAGTTAGGTGAATCTGAGCTTGAAACCTAGCTGTGCACACTTAGTACCTTTGTTCCTTTATTTTTTATTTTATTTTTCAAGATAGGATCTCACACTGTCACCCAGGCTGGAGTGCAGTGGTGTGATCTTGGCTCACTGCAGCCCCAGTCTCCCGGGCTCAAGTGGTCCTCTCACCTCAGCCTCTCCAGTGGCTGT
Source organism: Homo sapiens (assembly GCF_000001405.40). Lineage (NCBI taxonomy): Eukaryota > Metazoa > Chordata > Mammalia > Primates > Hominidae > Homo > Homo sapiens. Next base: position 195,608,409 of record NC_000002.12, read on the forward strand.
CATTACAGGTGTGTGCCACCACATCTGGCTAAGTTTTTGTGGTTTTTGTAGAGATGCATTTTTTGCCATGTTGCAGGCTGGTCTAGAATTCTTGGGCTCAAGTGATCCATTCACCTCAGCCTCCCAAAGTTCTGGGCTTACAGGCGTGAGCCATCATACATATATGGCCAGCTTTTGTTCTTTGAAGTCTGAGATTTCAACTTATAAAATGAAGATACTAACTTTTAGCTTATAGAGGTGTCATGAGGGCTAAGTGCAGTAATGTATACAAAACACCTAATACATAGGCCCTAAGTTTTTAATTATCTTCCCTCATACATATTATTTAAATGAAATGTTCAGGTTTAGCATTGTCCATTATTGTCTCTATTCATTTTGGTCTAGGATTTCTAAATCAATTTCATAAATGCAGCCAGGCTATAATTGGCAGCACTTTTGAGTAGTGAATGAGACAGTGAGCTAGTGTTAAAATTTCAGACGGGAGGTAGGAATGCCAGATCATGAAGCTCAAGGCCCAAGCTGAAGCCTTCTAAACATTCATCACCAGCCACAGCCTCTACTGTCTGAAATAACCTCCCACGGCTGGGGAGTACCCAGAGGGAGAATAGGAGAAAAGCCTTCATCGTGTGCCTAAAAAGCCTGGAAAAAAGAAAAGTGGCTACGAAGGCAGGGATTTGTTTTGCAATAGCTTTTTAAAAAAGAAGAGCACATAAATGATATCAAAAGAGTTTCACTAGAAATAAACACTAGGGCTTCTCATCCTTCTACTCCTGATCTACCAGATCAAGCTGTTGGTTTTTCCCAGAAAGAACACAAAGGAAAGTCCAACCAAATGTACATCATTCATACCTGGATGGTACTTCTGCCCACAGTCTTCCCTCTTGTTGAGCAATATAGAAAGTAAGCTTGAGGCCAAACTTTAATTCTCTACTTGAAACCCAGATGATCGATTTCCTCTTTGTCCTCTCGGTCACTTAGCAGCCATCTCCCTCAAAAGAAAATCGGAGTACCCCCTACAACTTCTGAGGAGACACCAAACAATTCTAAAGTGTAACTGAAGTCCCCCAAACCTCCTAGTTTTGGGGGTGTTTTATCATTCTTTACTTTCCCTCCTATGCCTAATGAGAGAAGGAACTTTAAAAGAAAAACAAGTTGCTCATTCTTTCAACCCCTGGGGAAGGGGGTTATTTCTCTGTACTTTTTAAAGCGGGAATTCTCTTTCTTGAGAATTCCACTTTGTTGAACCTGTTGGCATTTTGGTGGCGGCTTTCTAACTTGGACTTTTTTCCCTCTATTGTGAATTTTTCTTTAATTTCATTATTGAAATTTTAAATTGTGGAACAACCTAGATACAGGAAAGTGTGCAAATCATATTATACCTCAATGAATGTTTATGCATTGATATACCTGTATACTTCACTCAACTCAAGATCTAGCACATTTTTAGCCCACAGAAGGCTCCTGGGGCCCTTTCCCAACCAATAACTCCTCCCTGGTAAACTCTGCTATTACCTTCATGTGAATGGAACCATAAACTATGTACTTTCATGTGTCAGTAATTTGTTATTTTGTTTCATAGTATTCCATGGCATGAATGTACCACAACATATCCTTCCCTGTTGATGAATCTTTTTATTGATGAATATTGCTATTACACGTGAAGATGCCTTGAACATCTCCACTGTGGATTCTTAATTTTTTCATGCCACTCCCTGTAGAAATTGTGATAAATAAAATTCTGCAGAGGGTTTACATGTTCCCAGCTAATCTTGCTCCACGTTGGTTTGGTTACTTTGGCACCAGAATTTAAAGGAAGATGAAAAATCTCTGTGCATGCCCCTGTAGTCCCAGCTACTCGGGAGGCTGAGGCAGGAGAATCGCTTGAACCCAGGAGGCGGAGGTTGCAGTGAGCTGAGATTGCGCCACTGCACTCCAGCCTGGGAGACAGAGCAAGACTGTGTCTCAAAACAAACAAGCAAACAAACTAACTCACTCCTCTGTAGCCCCAGATTTTAGAAAAGAGAGAGAAAGAGAGGGAAGGAGAAAAGGAGGGAGGGAGGATGGGAAAATGTGTAGGCATGTTAGTATAAAATTTTAAATTAATAATTCCCATTTTATGGAGATATCTGATCATCTTAATTTGCAATGGCTAAATAAGTAATGCTTACATGATTATAGACTTCTTTTCCTCACTTTTGGAAACACTTTATGCCCTCTGGAAATTCTTTTAAAAAACTTTGTTGTATCCCTTTAAAAAGTGATAAAATCATAGTGTCTAGTGCAAATTTTAGGGCAAAGTTCAGTAGGTAATTTGGTTGACTTTAAGTATTTTTCTGAAAGGCTTTTTTTGTTGTTGCTTTGTTTGTTGTTTAACTTGATGAAGACTCCAAACTGTTGAATGAATCTCAGGGAGGCTGAGAAACACAGTAAAATGTATCTTTAAGTATTCACTATGGTTTGTGCACTATGACAAGCCATCTCCATTGCTGACTCTTATGTTTTGATTCCTTATTTCATTTCCTTAAATGTCTCTGCTTTTGTTGTTACTTTATTTTGCTTCCTCAAATGCAGAGTAATTAGACATTCAAGTTTTTTGTTGAGCCCTAGAATCTATTACATTAATAAATTAACTAGTTACCTAGACATTATCCCTTTTCTTTTTTTTTCTTTGTTTCTTTTTCTAATTTTTTTGTAGAGGTGGGGTCTCAGGCCAGGCGCCATGGCTCATGCCTGTAATCCAAGCACTTTGGGAGGCCAAGGTGGGTGGATTGCCTGAGCTCTGGAGTTCAAGACCAGCCTGGACAACATGGTGAAACCCCCTCTCTACTAAAATACGAAAAATTAGCTGGAAGTGGTGGTGCACGCCGGTAGTGCCAGCTACCTGGGAGGCTGAGGCATGAGAATTGTTTGAACTCAGGCGGCGGAGGTTGCAGTGAGCCAAGATCGTGCCACTGCACTCCAGCCTGGGTGACAGAGCAAGACTCTGTCTTAAAAAAAAAAAAAAAAAGAGATGGGGTCTCACTGTGTTTCTCTGGCTGATCTTGAACACCTGGGCTCAAGCAATCTTCCTGCCTCGGCCTCCCAAAGTGCTGGGATTACAGGCATGAGCCACTGCCTAACCAACACTGTCCCTTTTCAATTTTTGTATATAGATCATCTAGGAAACTAGTTAAAATAATCTGTACATAGCAAGTTATTTGCCCAGTAGTTTATTTTTTTATTACAGAGATCTTAATTTCTTTCATTAAGATTAAGGATAGTCTTTTAAACTGTGTGTTCATTTTGGGAATGTCAGCTTATTTTTAATTGTGTTGTTTGTTTACTTATAGTAAAAATGCATATTCTTTATCACATCATTGTTCAATGTTTGATATCATAGTACAGTCATTTCCAATAAAGTTTATGCCAAATGAAGTTTGAGAAGCCTTATGATAAATCAAATTATTTCAAGCCACAGAACCTGTTAAAAGTAGCCACTTGGTAGTGCAAAATAAATTGAAAGTGATATGAAAATAGTGACAAATGGCTGTGCAAACATGGCAAGCCAAGTTCTGGACATTAGCCCTTCAACCAAAAAAAAGGTTAATCTAAGGAAAAAATACAAATGACTTTTCAATTTCTAGTTTTTAACATTCATATTAGAAGATTAAAATATAGTTCGAGTTTGTCTATGACTTTCCCTCTAGCATTTAGGGCTGGTAGAGTGGAGCTTCTAAGATGAGTGTTTTGCCCCATCACCCACGTGCTGGAAGCAGTTTTATTTCAAGATGGAATAGAAACTCTACAGGCCAAAGTTGAGAGGAAAAAGATAAATATTTGTGTTGATGAGTGGTGACCATAGAAATACTTCTATATAAGTATATGGCCGGGTGAGGTGGCTCATGCCTGTAATCCCAGCACTTTGGGAGGCTGAGGCGGGTGGATCATGAGGTCAAGAGATCAAGACCATCCTGGCCAACATGGTGAAACCTCGTCTCTAAAAATACATAAATTAGCTGGGCGTGGTGGCGCGCACTTGTAATCCCAGCTACTAGAGAGACTGAGGCAGGAGAATCGCTTGAACCTGGGAGGCAGAGGTTGCCGTGAGCCGAGATCACGCCACTGCACTCCACTCTGTCTGGTGACAGAGCGAGACTCCAACTCAAAAATAAAAGTAGAAATAAGTATATAAGGGCTTGGAATTTGTTACGTTGGTGGGAAAGACATTTTGGCTATTTTGAGTTTTCTTGACACACATTAGCAGCTCCATCTGGGAAGTCACATTTCTCTGTCTCAACTAAATTCCAAGGCCAACTTTCAGGCTTTCCTTAAAATGTGCTTTGTATTATACTGCCAGGAAATAGTCCTGGCTCTACAGCCCTCCCTCAGAAAGGTTGAAGTGATAAATTGTAAATTGAGATTCTCTTGGTGGGGGGAACCCTAGCTAGAGCTGGTTTTGAATTCCTGCAATAGTGTTTAACCTGTTCAAGGTTCTCATTCAACTTTACAACTGGCTCAGTGTGAGGGAGAAGGAAAAACCTGTTGATACAGCTCCTTTAAGTGCTATGGGTTTCAAAACAACTCTCCAGATAGCAAGCATTCCTGTGGTGGGAGGCAGCGGATGAGTGGAAAACCTTTCCCATTCATTCAAAGAAGGGAAAGAGACTGAACTTACTCCCAACAGGTGAAGTTAAGCACGTCCTGTAAGTGAATTGATTTGTTGTATAAATCAAAGTTCTGTTCATAGGGACCATCAACAATGTTCTCTGACCTGGCACCCTTCTGTTCCCCCACCCCACCCTTCTATCCTCCTAGATAACTACTGGGAAAATATTTCTTTCTCGGAGATGCCTTTCTTCCTCCTTGATGATAGTAATCATTTTTCTCTTTTTAGCTCAAAAGGAGAATTTTTTTTCCTTTGTCATGTCTGTGTGCCTTGCCTATCTAATACAGTACATTGTTTCTCATTTCCTTTGTTACTATGCTTGTGCATGTCTCAAAAACAAATGTGAACTTTTTGTCCAAACAAAGTAAGTGCATGCTTTATAAAATTACAAAGGAATGGTACAGCTGTTCTCTGATTATATTCTTAGAGTGTTTAAAATTTTGAAAGTGCTTAGGAGTTTCTTTTTAAAAATCTGTCAACAAACTTCTTACAGAAACCTATTTTGTGAAGTGTTTTATTTTTGCTCCTATGAATTGTATATAAAAATACCTAATGTGTTTTAGTAGTAATAATGCATAGTTTAATAAAGTGGAAGTTCAACAGATTAAAGCTTTTAGACTGTCTTTTTCATCTGCAATTAATCAATTACATTTAACCACAGAAGTGATTTTATATAGCATTTCAGCAGAGGTAGATAAAAACATTACCCAGTGCAACAAATTAACCTAAAAAAGAATAATAGATCATATAAGGATTATAGGAGCAAGAGAAAATGGTTGCTAATATTTATTATTCTTTGAAAGCCACAACTATTTTCCGTTTAAATTTTGTAACTGTTGTCAAACTTATTAGCAATGTGGAGAAAGGAATCTTCGGTGGTGTATTTTCACCTGTTCTGTCCCTACCTTTGTTCTGTCTCCAATCTCAGTGGTCCTTCGGGTCCTTCATATTCAGACAAAGTTACTGAGCTGTTGACAGTCTCTAGTCTCTAGTTGGATGGATGAGCTGCTCTGAGTCATCCACACTTTTATCTTGTGAGATCATTCATTCTATGAGCAATGACATCAATTTTCCAGAAGGCTGGCTGGCTGGGAATAAAGATAAAGGCCATGACTACAGAAGGAATTAAGTTAAAGGGCTTGGAATAGCATCTGATACATAGTAGGAGCTTGAGAAGTATTTGCTGCTTAAAAGTCTTCAACTGTTTTACTTTGCACCAGTTATACATCTAACCAGATCATGATGGAGCAAGTTTTCATTTTTGTTTGTATTGTAATTATAATCCTGGCTTTAAAAATATTGAGTGAATTTTCGGTGCCAAAATTAAGCATGTAAGCTCTACTTTTGCATTCCGAGCCCTCCACACTTTTATGGATTCATTTCCAATATTCAATTTCCTGTACATTTTGCTTAAGGAACTTGTAGAGAAGAATTGCTCATCTGGTAGCGCTCCACAACCCTTACCCACTTTGAGCAGTGTCACATACTAAACTTTGACATAAAATATTGCTGGCAGAGATGTTTTGGCTTTTGGTATTAATGTTAATATCAAAAAACCCCCTTAAAACACTTTCACTCTAAAAGAACTTAAGCTTTAGACAAACTCTGCTAATTCACCATTTTCTCCCCCACAAACTGGGAAGCCTCAGTTATCTTTTGATGACTTGAAACTGATTTCAATTATTTGTGTTATTGCCAGCAATATAAATGAAAAAAATAGTCAGGCATGGTGGCTTAGGACTGTTATCCTGGCACTTTGGGAGGCTGAGGTGGCAGGATCACTTGAGTCCAGGAGTTTGAGACCAACCTAGGCAACATAGCAAGACCCTGCTACAAAAAATAAAATATTAGCTGGACATGGTGGTGTGTGCCTTGTGGTCCTAGCTACTCGAGAGGCTGAGGTGGAAGGATCACCTGAGCCTGGGAGGTCAAAGCTACAGTGAGCCGTGATTGTGACCATGTCAGTATACTCAGCCCGGGGAACAGTGAGACCTTGTCTCAAAAAGCAACAAAAAAAGGGAAAATAGAGGGGGTCTGGTTTCCCTCATAGAAGTACTAGATAGATACTGGGTAGTGAATGTTTGTTCCCTCAGAGGAGGATAAAGTTCTCTAGAGCAGAACTTCACAAACTGTAGTGTAGGTGAGAATCACTGGAGATATCATCACAATGCAGTTTCTGATTGGGTAGGTTCAGAGTGAGGCTTGGGAATATGCATTTTTAACAAATCTCCAGGTAATGAAGATGTTGCTGGTCCACACTGAAATCACCTGGGGCAGTTTTTGTTTGTTTTATAGACAGGGTCTGGCTATTGCTGCTCAGGCTGGTTTCTAACTCCTGTCTTCAGGCAATCCTCCCACCTCAACCTCCCAAAGTGCTGGGAGTATAGGTGTGAGCCACTATGACCGGCCATCTGGCCAGTTTTTTAAAAATATACAGGTGTTTAGTTTCCACTCTCACCCCATCCCACCTCCCTGGATTCTGATTTAGTTGGCTTGGGTTATGGCCTGAGTACGGGGACTTTTTAAATTTCGCAGATGATGGTAATGTGCAGTCAAGTTTAAGAACCTCTAGATTCATTTATCTCCGTTTCCTCTTGGCAGTCCATTCACTTACAGACATTACTTGCCTGGCCCCTAGAGACATGTGATTTTCTGAATTAAATACCTTGCCCTTTCTTAAGGAAATCACACTAGTCTTTCAAAACCCTTTTTCAAATACCACTGCATTCTTCAGATATATAATACATTTAAAAAATTATTCTAACATTACAAAATTCTACTTCGCTCTAAATCCTATACAACTTTGCTTATAATTCCTATGGCAGTGACCACATTCTGCTTTCTAATTATGTGTATTTATCTTAACCTCCTTGATTGATAAACTACCTAAAGGCAGAGATTGTCTCACCTCTTTTTATGTTTCCTAGCAGTTTCCCGGTTCGCCCAGGCTAGAGTGCAGTGGCAGAATCTTGGCTCACTGCAAACTCCACGGCCTGGGTGCAAGCGATTCTCCTGCCTCAGCCTCCCGAGTAACTGGGATTACAGGCATAAGCCACCAGTCCGGCTAATTTTTGTATTTTCAGTAGAGACGGGTTTTCACCATGTTGGCCAGGTTGGCTTTGAACTCCTGACCTCATGTGATCTGCCTGCCTCGGCCTCCCAAAGTGTTAGGATTACAGGCGTGAGCCACCGTGCCCAGCCAGATCTAGGAGATTTTAAACTGATATTTTAATATTTCAATTTGGATTGATTGATTGATTGATTGATTTTTTGAGACAGAGTCTCACTCTGTCACCAGGCTGGAGTGCAATGACGCAATTTCGGCTCACTGCAACCTCTGCCTCCCGGGTTCAAGTGGTTCTCCTGCCTCAGCCTCCCAAGTAGCTGGGACTACAGGTGTGTGCCACCACGCCTGGCTAACTTTTGTATTTTTAGTAGAGACAGGGTTTCAACATGTTGGCCAGGATGGTCTCGATCTCTTGACCTCATGATCCTCCCACCTTGGCCCCTCAAAGTGCTGGGGTTACAGGCATGAGCCACCGCGCCTGGCCTGGATTTATCTTGTTATGAGTGAAGTTGAACCTCTGTCGCCCAGGCTGGAGTGCAGTGGTGCCATCTCGGCTCACTGCAAGCTCCGCCTCCCAGGTTCACGCCATTCTCCTGCCTCAGCCTTCCAAGTAGCTGGGACTACAGGCTCCCGCCACCACGCCTGGCTAATTTTTTGTATTTTTAGTAGAGACGGGGTTTCACCATGTTAGCCAGGATGGTCTCAATCTCCTGACCTCGTGATCCGCCCACCTCAGCCTCCCGAAGTTCTAGGATTACAGGCGGGAGCCACCGCCCCCGGCCCGGAAAATCTTTTGTTAAAGAGCCATTGATGTTTTCCTTCTGTAAACTACCTGTTTTGTTGTTGTGTTGTTAGTTGCTGGCCTATCAGTTTTTGTCTTATACGAAGTTTTGCTTTTGATAGTTAAACTTACCAATATTTTACATTATGATTTCAGGATTTTGAGACATAGTTACAAAGTCCTTTTTTACTCCAAGACTATAAATGAATTCTTCGATAGTGCATTATAGGACATTTACAGCTCCACCTTTTTACTTTTAAGTATTTGATCTTTCATATATATTTCATATATGATATAAGGCATGGATCAAAAAAATTTTTTTGCATGCCCATTTGCTGTCCAAATATCTTTTTAAAAATTATTTTTTAAAAGTTAACTGAGCCGGGCGTAGTGGCTCATGCCTGTAATCCCAGCACTTTGGGAGGCCAAGGTGGGCAGATCACAAGGTCAGGACTTTGAGGCCAGCCTGGCCAATATGGTGAAACCCCGTCTCTACTAAAAACAGAAAAAATTAGCCGGGTGTGGTGGCACGCACCTGTAGTCCCAGCTACTCGGGAGGCTGATGCAGAAGAATTGCTTGAACCTGGGAGGCAGATGTTGCAGTGAGCCGGGATTGTGCCACTGTACTCCAGCCTGGGTGACAGAGAGAGACACCGTCTCAAAGAAAAAAAGAAAGTTAACTGAGATGACCGAGCATGGTGGCTCACGCCTGTAAGTCGAGCACTTTGGGAGGCTGAGCTGGGAAAATCACTCGAGCTCAGGAGTTCAAGACCAGCCTAGGCAACATAGTGAGACCTTGTTTCTTTTCTTTTCTTTTCTTTTCTTTTATTTTATTTTATTTTACTTTATTTTATTTTTGAGACAGAGTCTCACTGTCTACCAGGCTGGAGTGCAGTGGCACAATCTCGGCGGACTGCAAGCTCTGCCTCCTAGGGTCACGCCATTCTCCTGCCTCAGCCTCCCGAGTAGCTGGGACCACAGGTGCCCGCCACCACGCCCGGCTAATTTTTTGTATTTTTAGTAGAGACGGGGTTTCACCATGTTAGCCAGGATGGTCTCAATCTCCAGACCTCGTGATCCGCCCACCTTGGCCTCCCAAAGTGCTGGGATTACAGGCGTGAGCCACCTCGCCCGGCCTTGTCTCTATTTTAAAAAGAAAAAGAAGGGCTGGGTGCCGGTGCCTCACACCTGTAATCCCAGTACTTTGGGAGGCTGAGGTGGGGTGGATCACCTGAGGTCAGGGGTTTGAGACCAGCCTGGCCAACATGGTGAAACCGTGTCTCTACTAAAAATACAAAAATTAGCAGGGCATGGTGGCACATGCCTGTAATCCCAGCTACGCGGGAGGCTGAGGCAGGAGAATCACTTGAGCCTGGGAGGGAGAGGTTGCAGTGAGCTGAGATCGTGCCATTGCACTTCAGCCTGGGTGTCAGAATGAGACTCCGTCTCACCAAAAAAAAAAAAAAAGAGAGAGAAAAAGTTAACTGACAGTATTGAGAAAGGAAAGCAAGATTCAAATCCAGGAGATCAGTTCTAGAAAAGTAAGTCATAGAGTACCAAAGTAAATGAAGTGTTGGGGAAATTTAAATATTCAATCTGTATAGCTAGATGGATAGCTAATATTTTACATAGGTGTTGTCATTACCTCCGCTTCATGGTAGGCATGGCCAATTTTTCATGGCACTTTTCCTTACAATATATTGTTTTATGCAGCAACTTTCAATTAATAAAAATAAACACATTTGCTATCCTGGTGTAGAATTTGGTTTAGAAGGAATGATAGCAAGAGATATGTCTGAAATGGCAGGTGATATCAGGGTCCTGAATGCATATTAAGCAATAGAGACAATGTGAATTTTTTTAAGGTAAAAAATGGCATGATAATACATGTGTTAAGAGAAAGGAAAGAGGTCAGGTGCGGTGGCTCACGCCTGTAATCCCAGCACTTCAGGAGTCTGAGATGGGAGGATCACTTGAGGTCAGGAGTTTGGGACCAGCCTGGTCAACATGGTGAAACCCCGTCTCTACTAAAAATACCAAAATTAGCCTGGCATGATGGCGGGTGCCTGTAATCCCAGCTACTCGGGTGGCTGAGGCAGGAGAATCGCTTGAACCCAGGAGGCGGAGGTTGCAGTGAGCTGAGATCGCACCATTGCACTCCAGCCTGGGCAACAGAGCAAGACTCTGTCTCAAAAAAAAAAAAAAAAAAAAAAAGAGAGAGAGAGAAAGGAAAGAATAATGCATTGAATGAGAGAAACCAAAGGCTTCTAATACGGGTAGACCAATCCAGGGATGCTGAAGACCTGAACTTAGGTAGTAGAGTAAAATAAAGGGGAAGGGCCATCTTCCAGAGCGAACTCAACAGGACATGTCAGAATTAAACTCAGCAGGACTTGGAAACCAATTAGCTATAGGTAGTAAAAGAGAATGTAATAAAATTGATTGACCTTTCTAGCTTGTGCATGTGGTGCTGCTGAGAATCCAGAAGAATCCAGACTGAGGAGTTAGCAGAAGGAACAAGTTTGGGGATGGAGAGATACTGATAAAAGAATGAGTGTGGTTTTCGGTTTCAGATATCAATACTATATTTGGAGTGCTTGCATTTGCCTAACACAGGGCTGAGGTGTGATGTGCCTAGCTATGGTGTGTTTAGAAATAAAGAGAAAATGTAATGCTGATGTACACGAGGAATGTACTCAAGGAAGGAAATTGCAAATGCAGAAGCTATAGAATGACAAATTAGATCTGTGAATTCCCAATGTAAAAGATAACTACTTCAGCAATGGTGAGACAGAATGAACTTGCAAATGGAGCATGTAATGAAAATAAAAAAAGAAAAAAAAACTAAACTAAAGCTGACACAAGTCTGAGTAAGATGGAATAGGAAGCATGAGGTGGTCTTAGAATAATAATTTAGTATTAGCCTCCGCCTGCCAGTCCCAGCATACTATGTCCAAGTGTGGCCTCCAGGACTTTATTTATTTATTTAGAGACAGAGTCTTCAGGACTTTACTATTTATTTATTTATTTATTTATTTTGAGACAGAGTCTCGCTCCATCACCCAGGCTGGAGTGCAGTGGCACGATCTTGACTCACTGAAACCTCTGCCTCCCGGGCTCAAGCGATTCTCTTACCTCAGCCTCCCAAGTAGCTGGGATTACCGGTGCCCACCACCACACCCAGCTAATTTTTTGTATTTTTGGTAGAGACAGGATTTCACCATGTTGGTCAGGCTGGTCTCAAACTCCTGACCTCAAGTGATCCCCCCGCCTTGGCCTCCCAAAGTGCTGGGATTACAGACATAAGCCACCGTGCCCAGCCTGCCTCCAGGACTTTAGACATTAGAATGCTGGAGAACATTCAAAGAGCAACCAAGATCATTAAAGGGTTAGAAAAATATAGCTGAGGTATAAAAGTATATTTGAGTTAGCCTGGAGAAAAGAAGAACCAATGGTGACTCCATTCACAATAAATAAATGAAGGCATTGTAGAAATACTTCCCCAGAGTTCAGAGAAAGAGAGGGGATTACATTGTAAACTGATATGCATGAAATATAGTGCAAAACTTCCTGAGGTGAAAGTTAAATATTAGAGTTACATTGGGTAGTTCATGTTGTCTAGACTTTGTGAAATCTTCTGCTTGTGAATCTTTAAAGTCTGGAGAACTACATAGGAAATCCTCTATTTAGCAAGCACTCTGTAGTTAAGGATTGAAGTTCCTGATCCCCAGGAAAAGCCTACCGCAAATACTGCCATAAAATCCCCACTCTAAGTCATCTACACTGTCAGCGCCCCTTCAAGAGCCATTCATTCATTGAATAACTATTTATAAACAATGTACGGGAGTTGTTATTTTAGATGCCAAAGATATGGAGTGAACAAAACAGAAGAAAGGAATGTATCCAATCAAAGTTTATTGAATGTTGCTCCATTTCAGGTACTGAGCAACTAGCAGCTCAGCTCTTGTAAAACCTACCTTCTTGAAAACCTGTCTCTTGCCATAGTTCCCACTTCTTGGATCGCTCATCCATTTCCTCTCATATCTCTGCCTGACTCTGGTATCTCAGAGATCAATGCAGGGGACAGAGAATCCTTGCTCCAAAAATAAATAGAGGGTTCAAGAGTCTGGATCTAATATTTTTCAAATAGAACATAAATTTTCTATAGTTTTAATTTATCTCAAATTTATCTAAGATATAATTTATTCATTGGGTTTACTCATTTCCTTTCGACTATCTGCTGTCTGACTGCTAGTAGTGGATGAGACAGCAGGATGATCAATGATGGTGCTTTTTGGAATCATAGTGAATTATATGAATTGTTGAGACAGGCAAAATTTGAATATACATTATTTAGGTTGTTTATGTAGTACATATAGATATACTATGTTTTTCTAAATGTTTGATAACAAAATATTTGGAAAGAAGGCTAACACAAAAGTACATGTTGAAAAATCAGCTGAATGTCCTTAAGTGCATATTTAGAATTGGAAATTTAATGCCATACTGATTGTGAGTTCTTTGACTTCTTTGAAGGAAGTGTTTGATGGAGTTTGTTTTCTTGGTACTGAATTCAGCGTAGGGGCAAGGACTGTTTTTATCTTTGTGGAATTCAACTATGCTGACTTAGAAGCTACCTGTAGGATAGGTTGTCATTTTCCTCCAAATACTTTGAAGCTTCCCTCTATCATTCGACCTGATTCTCAGAAAGAAGTGGCAGTGGCAGAAGGTAGAATTAGGGAGAAAAGGTCCAGAGCCAGCACTGTTGGAACAGATCATTTCACTGGAAGAATTTTCACTAATTCAGAGATTTGCAAACTAACCTGAATAAATTTGTAATAATTATAGTATGAAGTGAGCATTCTGAAATTAATTCTTTGTGTTTTTATAGAGAAGTTACCTATGATCATAATAAATACAGTGATCAACATACCACACATAGGAAATATGATAGGTGCTTCATGAAAATTTTCCCGTTAACTCTTCATAAACACCCTGTAAAGTAAGGCATATTTTGCAGATTAAAAAAACAAAAACAAACTGAGTCCCATATAGTAAATGGTTGTGCCGGGATTTAGACTGAAATCTGTCTGGGTCTAAGTCTGTATCTTTTTCATTATATCACATCATGTCTTGCTATTGTGCCTATCATTGTACTTTTTTAAGAAAACAAGTGATTTAGGGCTGGGGGCCGTGGTTTATGCCTATAATCCCAGCATTTTGGGAGGCCGAGGTGGGTGGATTGCTTGAGCCCAGCAGTTTGAGACCAGTCTGGCCAACATGGGGAAACCCTGTCTCTACAAAAAATACAAAAAATAGTTGGGCATGGTGGTGAGTGCCTGTAGTCCCAGCTATATGGGAGGCTGAGATGGGAGGATGGCTTGAGCCCCGGAGGTCAAGGCTGCAGTGAGCCATGATCATGCCACTGCACTCTAGCCTGGGCGACAAGAGTGAGACCCTGTCTCTAAAAAAATAAATAAATAAAAGAGAGAGAAGATGAAGAAAGAAAATGAGTGATTTAGAATTTACCCTTTTAAGTTCAAAGATTTCAACATTCCCGGAAGTGTTTTTTGGGTTAAGTAGGCCTTCTGAAGTGAATATTTTCTGTTTGAGGCCAAAGATTAATAGCAGTTAGATGACAACACCAACACTGTTACTAGTCAGCCATGCCTTCCAGGCATAAGTAAAGGTAATTTTTTAAGGTCAGGGAGTTTTAAAAGAGCTCAAATGTTTGAGGGAGAAATAGTGGTGAATGTGATAGTGACTTGTGAATTAAAACCAAGTTTGAGGGCCGGGCGCGGTGGCTCACGCCTATAATCCCAGCACTTTGGGAGGCCAAAGCGGGTGGATCACAAGGTCAGGAGTTAAAGACCAGCCTGGCCAAGATGGTGAAACCCTGTCTCTACTAAAATTACAAAAAAATTGGCCAGGTGTGGTGGCGGGCACCTGTAATCCCAGCTACTCAGGAGGCTGAGATGGAGAATTGCTTGAACCTGGGAGGCAGAGGTTGCAGTGAGCCGAGATGGCGCCCCTGCACTCCAGCCTGGGTGACAGAGCGAGACTCCTGTCTCAAAAAAAAAAAAAAAAAAAAAAGAACCAAGTTTGAACATCATTCATGTCTGGGCTTGAAGAATAGACAGAAAGGACAATAGCTAGAGATGCCACAGAGATAATGTCACCAAGCAATGATTACCTAGGCTAAGTCAGCTAAGCCTAGAGAGTATGATTGAAAGGGGTATGAGGAAAGTTAAGTGTGAAAGTATGTATGTAAATGAATCACTTCCCTTCAAAGTAGAATTTCAGATCCATTTAGTAAAAAGATCCATTGTATTCAAGGTTGCCCTGCCAAATTACCCAAGGGCATGTATTTTCATGACATTATTGGTCTTATGTGTGTTGTTTTCTTGACAATAGGAGTTTCCCTCCTAAGTGTAAGTAGTAATACTTAAATATTAATAAAAGAACATAGTATTTCCTTGTCCCCCACTACCCATCCTTACGCCGTGTTGTATAATTTATTGTAAATAAATTGTTAATGATACATTCTTGCACTAGAAGTGCACAATTTTTGGGTTCAGTATGTTTCTTAAATAAGAGGTCACAGTAAACCAAATACTTACTATGAAACAAATAACTGGTACTCCACAGTTACAATCTTAATGTGATTTTTACCTTGAGTTCATAGCTAAAGTTTGAGGCAATCCATTAATTGGATGCTTTAGCACTAAAACAGAAATTTGTCTCAGACAAGAAAACACTTTTTTGTTTTGTAAACTTGCTTGTTTTTGAATTTTAAATAGGGCAAAATGAATTTACCATATTATACACTTTTATGTGTATTATTCTTTTTTCTCAGCAACTTGCTTTTTAAGCCTTTGAAAATGAGAGCCTGAAAACACTGTGAATATGCTTGTAACATTGCAAAAATATTCCATCCAAGTAAGGAGGTTTTTGGTCATTTATTAAAAAAAATAACAATACAACCAACTAAACAAAAAACCACACACACACACACACACACACACACACACACACACACCGTCTTAGATATGCAGGTTGGGAAAAATTACATTAACGATTCAAAAGTTAAAGACTTTGTCATTTCCTAAAAATTTGTACTCAGGAATAAAATTAAGAGAAAGATCATTTACCAGTCAAAATCTTGTGATCCCTTCAGCTGTATTTGTATATAAAGAAGGCCTGGCCAGGTGCGGTGGTTCATACCTGTAATTCCGGCACTTTGGGAGGCCGAGGCGGGTGAATCACATGAGGTTGGTAGTTCGAGACCAGCCTGACCAACATGGAGAAACCCCACCTCTACTAAAAATACAAAAAATTAGCTGGGTATGCTGGCGGGCGCCTGTAATCCCAGCTACTCGGGAGGCTGAGGCAGGAGAATCACTTGAACCTGGGAGGCAGAGGTTACCGTGAGCCGAAATCGTGCCACTGCACTCCAGCCTGGGCAACAAGAGCAAAACTCCGTCTCAAATAAGGAAAAAAAAAAAAAAAAGGAAGAAGGCCTAAAAACAAGACAAAAAAATCACTAAAAAATAAAAAATAACTTAAAAAAAGAAGAAAAAAAGTAATAAAAGAAGGCCTGTTGTTTCCAGGTATTAAAGATACAAGATACGGTGATTGTCCACTCAGAAGGAGGGAGGGGGTGCACATTTTATTCAAGTCAGTAAACTTCAAGCCGGGCACGATGGCTCACTTCTGTAATCCCAGCACTTTGGGAAGCCGAGGCGGGTGGATCACCTGAGGTCAGGAGTTTAAGACCTGCCTGGCCAACATGGCGAAACCCCACCTCTACTAAAAGTACAAATATTAGCCGGATGTGGTCGATGGCGGGCGCCTGTAATCCCAGCTACTCAGGAGCCTGAGGCAGGAGAATCACTTGAACCCAGAAGGCGGAGATTGCAGTGAGCCGAGATCCTGAGATCCTGCCACTGCACTCCAGCCTGGGCGAAAAGAGAGAGACTCCATCTCAAAAAAAAAAAAAAAAAAAAAAGTTTAGTAAACTTCTAAAAGGGGCCGGGCGCAGTGACTCACGCCTGTAATCCCAGCACTTTGAAAGACCGAGGCGGGTGGATCGATCATCTGACGTCAGGAGTTCAAGACCAGCCTGGACAACATGGTGAAAACCCATCTCTACTAAAAATACAAAAATTACCCGGGCGTGGTGGCGGGCGCCTGTAATCCCAGCTACTTAGGAGGCTGAGGCATGAGAATCGCTTGAACCCGGGAGGTGGAGGTTGCAGTGAGCTGAAAATGTACCATTGCACTCCAGCCTGTGCGACAGAGGGACACTCTGTCTCAAAAAAAAAGAAAGAAAGAAAGAAAGAAAGATTTAAAACTGTTGACAACTTTTTTTCTTTTTTTTTCTTTTTTTTTGAGACGGAGTTTCGCTCTTGTTGCCCAGGCTGGAGTGCAATGGCACGATCTCGGCTCACCGCAACCTCCGCCTCCCAAGTTCAAGCGATTCTCCTGCCTCAGTCTCCCGAGTAGCTGGAATTACAGGCACCTGCCACCACGCCCGGCTAATTTTTTGTATTTTTAGTAGAGACGGGGTTTCTCCATATTGGTCAGGCTGATCTCGAACTCCGGACCTCAGGTGATCCGCCCGCCTCGGCCTCCCAAAGTGCTAGGATTACAGGCCTGAGCCACTGCGCCCAGCCTGACAACTTATTTTAATTAGCCAGTTATATAAGGAGTCCATTTTCACCATTATATGTCCCCACTCTTAGTCCTTTTATTAAGTACCTAATTGTGTGCAAGGCATTGCTATGGAAGATGAGCCAGGAAAATGCATATTTAAGATAAGATCTTTGTTCATTCCGGATTGCTCAGCGGACACCAGCAAAGCAGTGATACCAAAAATGGAGGAAAGCTCAGTGATGATACACTTAACCACATTTTTCTTTTTGGAGAACAGTCTCGCTCTGTCACCTGGGCAGGAGAGCAGTGGCACAATCTCCAGGGATCGAGCAATTCTCCCACGTTAGCCTCCTGAATAGCTGGGACTACAGTTGCCTGCGCCATACCTGGCTAATTTTTGTATTTATTGTAGAGACAGGGTTTCACCACATTGCCCATGCTGGTCTCGAACTCCTGGGCTTAAATGATCTGCCCTCCTTGGACTCCCGAAGTGCTGGAATTATAGAAGTGAGCCACTGTGCCTGGCCGGCCAAATTTTTACAAGCAAAGAGAAGCTCTTAATTTAAGTATATATGTACATTTTCCGATTTAAAACTAGGTGCTGATTTTATTTGAAAAATATATGAGGAATCACAAGCTCTTCAAAGCTTCAGGCCTCCTCTAAATGAGGCCCTCCCTTGCACTCTTAGTCTTGAGGAGATTAAAAGTCTCTGAGATCTTCTTATGTTTTGTGCACTTTATTATTCCCCTACAGATAGCAGTCTTATGACCAAAAACCCTAAAATGTGTCAGATTCCCCTTGTGATAAGGTCTTGCTCAGATTCAGATTGTCAGACCCTGACAGCAATGAATTCAATCCTGTCTTGATTGTCTGACTATATACTAGGGCTCCTTTCCAATTTCTTTTTCTCTTGATGGCTCTGTTCCTGAAGACTTGAGATGACAGTAACAAAATTTTAATTAGACATATAATGGAGAAAATAATACAAGTACTTTTTTTCAGGGTTGTAAGATAAGCATTACTAATCTATATATTATCTTAAAAAAAAACAAGACTTACATAATTATGTAGAAATGAAAGTAGAAGAGCTTCATTTAAATACCAAACCACCTATCTAGCTTTTAGGGAAGACCTCAGGCGTTTCTACTGCAGAGGGTAGGCTATAGTTAGAGTCAGCTGGAAAGTATTTGTGCAAGGTACAGATGAGGGTAAAAAGAATGCCAGGTAAAATATTATCAATGGGTAGTAATTTTCCCGAGCAAATTTCTCCAAAAGACATGATTTTTCTATATAGAGTTCCTCATCTGTATCCCAGGCTTACAGACTGGCTGGCAAGTTTTATTGCCAGGAAAATTGATAAATAGTTGTAGCCTGGAGATACGGTTTCTCTCCTTGCACATAAATGTCTTCCCATATCCCTTGGCTGTTTTTATCTCAAAGCATTAATCTGTATTTCTGGGGGAAAATATATTCATGATTATGCATCAGTATATTCTTAACAGCTCAAAGATTTGCCTTAAAATTGCATTTTAAAATATTACTTTTCTGAATTAAATGAAGAATTCACTATTACCTAGATCTGGAGTTTTGAACCAGAGATATGCAAGTTCTAATTTGCTATAATGACTCTAGAGAGTTTAGTCCTGAGCCATTTTTCAAAACATTTTGAAACAGTAGTTCTAGAAATCTGCATTAAACAAAACAAAATGACACCCCCACCCCGCGCCCAATGACTCACATCTACCTCAGTGATTAAAGCAAAATAGCTACAACTTCAATAATTGTCCATTCTTCCATTTTAAAATGGAATAAGCTATGAAGATGCCCATTTAAATTGTGCCAAATTTATGCCATTCTGTATACAGGAGGGCTGGCGATGTGATTCGAGCCACACCAGCTTCCCACCATTAGCAACACTCCCTAAAGGCAATTATTTTATCCAAATTAACATAACCCAGAAGACCTGAGTAGCTGAAAAATGAGGATGAGTGACTTCTGTTTCACTCTCCATGGAGCAACTATGTGAGGATGAGCAACTTCTAAGGATCTGCCAATTCTAACATGCCATATATGTTTCTTAATTTCTTTTTATTAACCCACAGCTAGACATTTTCTTGTATAATACAAAGTGAGACTGGGAAGGAATTGGAAACAAGACAGATAAGTCTGAGGGAAGGAAGATGTGCATTGTATACTGAATGGCCAGGAGCTGCATTGAGAATCTCTAAATACTGAGGGGCAGCAAAAAAGCACTGAAGAGGAAAAGAAATTCCAAAGATGGGAGAGGATGGCTATCTCATGCTTCTGGGACTGTCTACTGTGTGAACAATTTATTAAGTCCTTTGGGGAAGAGATCTCTCTTTAAAGAGACATTAAAATGCATTTTAGAAATATGGACCTCTGGTATAAGGAACATTTACAAAGATAACCGCTTTGCATTAGATCAGCAAAGTCAATGTCATTTCTACCATCTTTACTAATGCTACAATTAAAACATGTAAGTAACTACTTTAATGTTATAATTAAAGCATACATTGAAACAGTAAATATTTATGTACTATTCATCATCTGTAAGAAAACTGTGAGAAAGATTTAGATGTTCCCTCTACCCTGGGAGCTTATGAGATAACACTTGCAGGGTTGATGAATTGTCTGTACTTTGAACATATGAAATTCTCCAAAAACATTCATATATCACAGTTGCTCCATGGAGAGTGAAACAGTAAACTAAAATGCTTGAATCTTTTGCTACTTAATTTACTTTTCCCTTAGGAAAGTTTAAGATAAGTGAACTTTTAACATCTGGCTAACATCTTAAATTTTTACATATATTAATGATTGTTAAATTGCTTTATCACCTTAGCAGGCTCATCTTAGATCAACCAACAGCCACATCCACTTTAATTCATTACTGAATGCATATTTAGTATATATTATATGCCGGGCACTGTGCTAGGCACTGGGATACAGATGGAAACAAAAGGCCTCTGTCCTCATGAAACATACATTCTAGTGGAAAGACAAGTATAAAACAAATAATCGCAAGTAATTAATTGCAAATGTGATAAGCACTTTGAAGAAAAAGGATGAGGGTGAATGGGAAGGTGCTCAGGAAATTTCTTTCAACAAAAGTGAAAATTAAGCAGAGACCTGAAAATATGAGAAGTTAGTCTGGAAGAGATAGGGTGGACCAGTTCCTCCCATTTTCCAGGCGGAGATCTTGAATCTTCTTTACATTCTAACCCATTATTCTTAAGCAATGTTATCCAGTCCTACAGTTTCAAATGTAATCTAAAATGCTGACAATTCCAAAATGTATTATCTGATTCAGACTTCTCTTCAGAGCTTGACCTGCATAGTCCATTACCTACTTGGCATCTCCACTGATGTCTCTTGTGTATTAATATCTCAAACTTGAAATATCTCAATTATTAAGTCTTCATTCCTCATCACCACTTCCAAATCTGCCCCTCCTCCAAATTTCTCCTTGTTGGTAAAAGATACCTCCATCCACATAGTTGTTTGTGTCAGAAACTCAAGAGTTATCCTTGCCGGGCACGGTGGCTTACCCCTGTAATCCCAGCACTTTGGGAGGCCAAGGTGAGCGGATCACGAGGTCAGGAAATCGAGATCATCCTGGTTAACACGGTGAAACCCCATCTCTAAAAATACACACACACACACAAATTAGCCAGATGTGGTGGCGGGTGCCTGTAGTCCCAGCTACTCAGGAGGCTGAGGCAGGAGAATCGCTTGAACCCGAGAGGTAGAGGTTGCAGTGAGCCGAGATCACACCACTGCACTCCAGCCTGGACGACAGAGCGAGATTCCTTTCAAAAAAAAAAAAAAAAAAGAGTTATCCTTGACCTTCAACCCACCCCCACACACATCTTACACAGTTTATAGCCAGGTCCCATCAATTCTACCTCCAAAATATATATCTCAAGTCTGTCTCCTCTCTTTGACACTGCTTCTACACCAGCATATTTTGCTTGGATTACTGCAGTAGCACCAATAAACACAAACTCAATATTGTCTGAATACAACCACAGCTCTGGAGCCACAGACAGCATTCTGGAGGAGATTCTTTTATCTCAGTATATGTCATGGCAATTGCTTTGTTCTTACATTATACAAATGATTCAGCAAACTTTCTTTTCTGATGGCTAGTAAGGCTATCAATAACTTTCTTTTAAGACAATCTCGCTCTTGTCATCCAGGCTAAAGTAAAGTGGCGATTGTAGCTCAATGTAGCCTTGAACTCCTGGGATCAAGCAATCCTGCTTCAACCTCTCAAGTAGCTGGGACCACAGGTGCATGCCACCATGCCTGGCTATTTTTTATTTTTTTATTTTTTATAGAGATAGGGGATCTCACCATGTTGGCTAAGTTGGTCTCAAAGTCCTAGGCTCAAATGATCTGCCCACTTTGGCCTCCCAAAGTGCTGGGATTACAGGAATGAGCCACTACTGCACCCTTCCAAGGCTATCAGTAACTTAAAATTAATTTTTCCCTGTGGTACTATATAGAGAAAACTCATTTTATATGTGTGTGTGTGTGTGTGTGTGTGTGTGTGTATGGTTTGGGTTTTTTTTTTTTTTTTTTTAATAAACTGAGACAAGTTTAATAAACTGAGACAAACTCCTGGGCTTTTGACTGACTGCATTCAAGTTGGGGTTCCCACAACCCCCTCTTAGGATTCGATTACTTTACTGGATTGTCTCACAGAACTCAGTGTAGCATGTTTGTTGGTTTATTATAAAGGATACAGATGAAAAGATGTGTAGGGTGAGGGATGGTGGAAGGGATGCAGGGCTTCCATGCCCTCCCTGGGCACACTACCCTCCAAGAACCTCCAAGTATTCCGCTATTCGGAAGCTCTGTGAATCCTGTCCTCTTGGTTTTTCAGAGAAGCTTCAGGACATCAGCACTCCTTTGCCCATAGGGTGGGAGCCTTTCAGAGAAGGGTCTTAAGACCCTTAATCAGAAAGTCGGGGAAACATTAGAGTAGAAGAAGGGCAAGAGAAGGTCAGAGGCCTGCCAGAGAGGCCTAACACACCCAACAGTGTAACAAAAGACTGCAACAAGGGCAATGGTAGTTATGAACCGGGAACCATGGACGAAAACCATTATGTATCATAACACCACAGGCACCTAACCAAAAGGAAGAATTTGAGGAAGAAATTATTTTCACACGACTACTGGAAGAACTGAACTGGTTATTTCACTTGACATCTGAGTTTAAAATGTCAAGTCAAATATCCTACTAAAAAATTCAATCTCTAATTAAAACACCAAACATATTTTGGCCCCAAGCTGTACAGCTATTTAAAAAATATATCAGCATTTGGCCTGGTGCGGTGGCTCATGCCTGTAATCCCAGCACTTTGGGAGGCCGAGGCAGGTGGATCACTTGAGGTCAAGAGTTTGAGACCAGCCTGGCCAACAGGGTGAAATCCTGTCTTTACTAAAAATACAAAAATTAGCCAGGCACGGTGGCAGGCACCTGTAATTCCAGCTACTCAGGAGGCTGAGCAGGAGAATCTTGAACCCAGGGGGTGGAGGTTGCAATGAGCTGAGATCACGCCACTGCACTCCAGCCTGGGAGACAGAGTGAGACTCTGTCTTAAATATATCTATATATCTATATATATAGAGATATATATATCAGCTTTATGACATAGAGCTAGAGAGTTACAAATATAAAAATAAAAATAGAATATATATACAGCTAATTTTTATAACACCCTCAAAATACAGTATTACTTCAAAGTTTAAATAACTTGTACTTAAAAAAAAGAGAGATCAAATTGTTAAACGAAATTGTAACATAATTCATTTAACCATAATGTAGAGTTGTTGATAACCACCCATTTTTTCTGTTAGTGCTTAAAAATACTTAAACATGCTATTGAATGAAAATATATTAATCCTTGCTGGGTCTTTAAAGTGTTTCCAAAAAATATCCTTAAAAGCAATCTCAATTTGTGATCAAGAATATTGACCAGTATATAACATCTATGTTCATTTGCAACAGAGATGTGGGAAAAGTATTGGCATTTACGCAAGATCAGTTTTATTCCATTCTGAGGTAGAAAGCAATGCAAACTTTTATAGATATACTGATCATTATAAAAGACAAAGCAACTAGATTATATTTATGATGTAGGGTGAAAATTTTCAGTAAATGCACAACTACTACTATATGTACCATCACTTATTATCTTTATAGCACAATTGCTATAGCTGCTTCATCTTACCATGACTGTAACTCTTTGTGTAACATAATATTTATTGCTGAGGCTCTTTGTTCAGGGAGTTTATTTTATTATTAATTTATTTATTTATTGAGACAGGATCTTGCTCTGTCATCCAGGCTGGAGTGCAGTGGCATGATCATGGCTCACTGCTGCCTCAACCTCCTGGGCTCAAGCAATCCTCCCACCTCAGCCTTCTGAGTAGCTGGGACTACAGGCATGTGCCACCATGCCTGGCCAATTTCTTTTTTTAAATTTTGTAAAGATGGGGTCTCACTATGTTGCCCAGGCTGGTCTCAAACTCTTGGACTCAAGTGATCCTCCCACCTCGGCCTCCCAAAGATCTGGGATTATAAGCATGAGCCACCACACCCATCATCATGCCCAGCCTGTTTTGTTATTCTTATCAAAGCTTTTTCTGTGAAATTTGAGTGGTAATGTCAAATACAAAGGTCACCAGCTCTCATTCTACTTCCTTTTTTTTTTTTTTTTTTTTTTTTTTTGAGACAGAGTCTCCCTCTGTTGCCCAGGCTGGAGTGCTGTGGTGCCATCTCGGCTCACTGCAACCTCCTCGTCCCGGGTTCAAGTGATTCTCCTGCCTCAGCCTCCTAAGTAGCTGGGACTACAGGCGCTTGCCACCACGCCTGGTTAATTTTGTATTTTTAGTAGAGACAGGGTTTCACTATGTTGGCCAGGCTGGTCTCAAACTCCTCAAACTCCTGACCTAAGGTGATCCACCTGCCTTGGCCTCCCAAACTGCTGGGATTACAGGCATGAGCCACCACACCTGGCTCTACTTCCTTTTAAACAATTGTAGTACTTGATCTACTGATGTGAATTACGATTCATGGTTTCATCCATTTCTCTTAGAGTCTAGACCCATTTCTACCCATGAAGTTGGTCTCTTCATCTGGTGATGAAAAGATAGCACTTATTTATTTTGAAACCTCTAAAATAATTCTGATGTGGTAATTTCTACTCATTTCAGAGTTCCTTTAAATTAAAATATGCAATTCAATGATATTTAATGTTTGAGTTTAAAACATCTTTGTCATTCAGTTTTAGAATTATTATACATTGGAGGAGCTGAAAGTTGATTGATAGAGATTGTTATTTTCCTAAAACCATCCTTTATAACGGGGACTAGATTCTCCTTGTAGAGATAGGAACTTGGATCTTGCAAGGCACAATTAGCTGTGAACCATTTCTGCTTTTCTGTGTGCTTTTCACACAGAGGGGAAATGGATAAGAGAGCTAAAAAAAATAATTTTTTCTATCAACAAGACCAGTTTTTTCTCTTCTATTTCTCTGATGTAATCATTTTGTCTTCTGAATCTCACAGTGAAACAGGAAATTTTCTCTGACCCCTTCATGGGCAGGAACTAGAGTGTGGGCACTAGAACTAGTCAGCCATTTCAGTGGTAGCAGCAAACTCCACTCCACTCAACTCAAACCTGTTGCATTGCGCTCAACCCCTCGTGGGAGGGAGCACGCAGGTGAGCGGTTGCAGGAGGCTAGGCTAGTGTTTTCAGCACCGGCAGGAGCAAAACTCCATGTGGGACCCGAGGCAGCGTCTAAGAGGGAATACCGATGACCCCTGAAGCCCCAGAAGAGTGGTACAGTGAGGCTCTTTTAGTTTTTGCCATCTGCAGACAGGCTCAGTGGGCCCTCTGCCTTTTTGTGTGAGATAGTTGCTCTCTGCCAGTGAGGGCAGAGGGTCTAGTGTGACAGCCTGCTGTATCCCGAGCTCTTGTCCAGCATCCAGGAAAAATCAGGTCACAGGAAAGAACTGAAGGATAGTAAATGTGGGAGGTTTTATTGCCAATGGAAGTGCCTCTCAGCGGGAAGAGGAGCTGGAAAGGGGATAGAGCAGGACAGTATTCTTCCCCTGAAGTCCGGCCATCTTTGCTGGACTCCACTCTGAAGTCCCGCTGTCGAGCTGTCCCTCTGAAGTCAAACTACTTCTCTCCAACATTCAGCTGCTTCTTCTCCTCTTGATGTTTAGCTGCTTCTGGGGTCTTTATAGACACAGGGTGGGGTGGGGTGAGGCCATGGGTGGGAAAACAGAGATATCAGTTCTCGCTTTAGGCCATGGTCTCAGGCTTTTCGGCTTGAGGGTGGGGCTTCGCCAGGGACCCTGCCCTTTTCTGCCTAGAATTTCTCTGCCTCCTGTCCCTATCAACAGTGTGATATATAAAGGTTAAAGAAGAAATTCAGATTCAAAATCTTCAAACTCACATGCAGGTATCAAAAGATAGAGCAACTTTATTTTGAAAAGAACTCTGCTGTAACCTGAAAATTTACAAACACAAATATGTTTTACTTATCTTACTAAAGACCACATCCCCAGCTTTGGTGGTAGAACACTGGTTGTGTTAACACAGAATAACGAATACTTTTCTATTGATCTACGTAATCTGATTCCATTTCCTGACGCTGGATATATGCCAAGGGTTTTGCTCCTAAACACCTGGTTACTTTCTGATCCTGATTACTATATAACAGAGGAATAATGCTTCATAGTCCTTGAATTTTTAGTGTTATATTCTCATCCCCTTAAGTGTTCTCATTATGTTTTTATTAAAATTTAATTTTTTCTCTTTTATTTGATTTGCCTTCATATAAGCCACCTGTTTTAGTTGTTCAACTTGATGTGCCTCCTTCCAGCTACTGTGCCTTGTTAAATGACTTGTAATAATTTTATTTTGCTTGCTGATTTCAGGGAGTTTAGAATGTATCAAACTCTGGTAATCAGGATTTTGGGTCTTTTGAATATTGATGTATTGACAGAAATGTAAGAATATGTATGAGTAAAGATGCTTTCAACTGTAAGGAACAAAAAATCCTTCTAAAAGTCACTTGATAAGGAAAATTTTTATCTCATATAATAAGAATTCTAGCGATAGGACAGTTTCAGTGTTGAGTAATTCAGTGGTTCAACATTGACCTCAGGCCAGGTGTGGTGGCTCATGCCTGTAATCCCAGCACTTTGGGAGGCTGAGGTGGGTGGATCACTTGAAGTCAGGAGTTCAAGACCTGCCAGGCCAACATGGTGCAACCCTGTCTCTATTAAAAATACAAAAATTAGCCAGGCATGATGGTGGGTACCTGTAATCCTAGCTACTCGGGAGGCTAAGGCAGAAGGATTGGTTGAACCTGGGAGGTGGAAGTTGCAGTGAGCTGAGATCGCACCACTGCTACTCCAGCCTGGGCAATAGAGCAAGACTTTGTCTCCAAAAAAAACAAAACAAAACAAAAAACAAAACAAAACAAAAGAACACTGACATCAATTTGCCCAGATGTTTTTCATTTTTCCACTTTCCCAAATTCAGTGTGTTGAGTGTGTTGTTTGTCCTCTTGGGCAGGTTATTTCTAGGCTTCCCATATAGATGCCAAAGGCAGAAAAGGGAAATTTGTTTTCACTTCCACGTATCTTGTTAAAAGAAGAACCTTTCCTGGAGGCCCCTCTGGGTTATGGCCAGACTTGTGTCATGTATCTATTCCAGAACTAATTGGTAAGTAAAATGGAATATCAATTGGCTTAATTCAGCAGTGGTCCATGGAACCTGGGAGCCCTGAGATCCTTTCAGGGAGTTCACAAGGTTAAAATCATTTACCCTAATAATGCTAAGATATTATTTGCCTTTTTCACTGCATTGATGGTGCAGAAGCAGCAGTAGTGGATAGCACTGCCAGTAGTTTAGCACAAATCAAAGAAGTGGCACATACTAGAAGCCGTCTTCTTCACAGGCACCATATAAAGTTTCATGTTTTGATTGTTTGCTTGCTTTCCTGGCACATGCTAAAGTGCTTTAGTTATCTCAAGTCACAGTATCCCTTAAGTAATTGAATTGTGAGCTGAAATGATTGCTTTTTTTGTGGAACCCCCCCCACTTTTTTTTTTTTTTACTTGAAAGACTGACAAAGAAAATATGGTTATGTAGACTTGAATGTTTTGCAGACATTTTCTTGAAAATTAAAAATGTGAGCCTGCCATTTCAAGGAAAACAAAAGGCAGATAATGAAAGGATTTGTCTGAGATTGGTGTTGATATTAACAAAAGTGATTTTTTTACATGGTATGATGAAATGTATTTGAAAGATCTGCATAACTCAGTGAACCAGTATGATCAATGCATGATACAAAATCACAGATGGGTTAAAAGATCCATTCAAAATGCATACTAGGCCAAAAGATCTAAGGGGAACAGAGTACAAAATTTCACTTATAGGTTTTCTGATTTCACTTTGTAATTAACCTTCAGCAAACTACCACTTTTTTGAGTTTTAATGTAGTATTAAAGAAGAATATTCAAACTTATCTGAGATAGCTATTAAAATATTTCTTCCTCTTTCAACAACATATTTGTATGAGACTCAATATACATTTCAGCCAAGACAACAGACTAATGCAGAAGCAGATATGAGAATCCATGTCTTCTATTAGGCCAGGCTTCTTGACATTTTTTTCTTACTTTGAAAACTATAGTTATTTTTCTGTAAAATATTGTTATATCATATGTAATTGGTTTATTTCCACATGAAATAGTAAGTATTTAAATTTTTTTTATTTTTAGTTTCTAAAATGGTAATTATTGATAGATGTGACTCACATAAACAAATGCACTTTGTAGTCCTCAATAGTTTTAAATAATTGGCCTGGCGCAGTGGCTCACGCCTGTAATCCCAGCACTTTGGGAGGCTGAGGCGGGTGGATCACAAGGTCAGGAGGTCGAGACCATCCTGGCTAACACGGTGAAACCCAGTCTCTACTAAAAAAACAAAAAAAATTAGTTGGGCGTGGTGGCGGGTGCCTGTAGTCCCAGCTACTCAGGAGGCTGAGGCAGGAGAATGGCTTGAACCTGGGAGGCGGAGCTTGCAGTGAGCCTAGATCGCGCCACTGCACTCCAGCCTGGGCGACAGAGCAAGACTCTGTCTAAAGAAAAAAAATTAAAAAGTTTTAAATAATCCCAGCACTTTGGGAGGCCAAGGTGGGAGGATCGTTTGAGCCCAGGAGTTCAAGACCAGCCTAGGCAACATGGAGAAACCCCATCTCCATAAAAAATTAAAAAAAATATTTTTGAAGAGTATAAAAGGGCCCTGAAACCAGAAATTTGAGAACCATTTGGTTTAGACTAATAAAATATTTACCATTTGGGGCTTGGTTTTGGCCTCCCCTATGTACCTAATTCCCTCTAGTCTCAACTAAAAGCAGGATATTATTAACAAAGAAAAAGGGGAGGGAGTTGCTAATGGCTTGATGAGTCAGCAATGGTCTGCCACAGTTAAGGTGAATGAGAATTGTTCCAGTGGCATGTGGCAGTCAGCAAGCTGTAACCTCTTGGAAAATGTTGAGAAAAGATTATCATGTCTCAGGGACAGAGGCCTCACACTGCAATGCTCCTGGGCTGCCAAATTTTAGGGGAAAGCTTTCTCCATAAGCTGCATGTAGAAAGTGGACAGAGGCAGTTAGTTGGGGGATCAACTTGAGTCTCTGGCCTGCCTGTCAGAAACAAATGGCGGTCTTTGCCCCACATGAGAGGTATTTTGGTTCTTTCCCAGGGAACACAAAATATCTCATATATTTATCTCATACCAGGACTGTAGGGGTTCACTCAGCTTTACTGGGGCTCACTTCCAGGTTCTACAGTCAGCCAAGGCTGTTTTGAATGATGGATTAGTAATTATGCAAGAAAATGAATGCAGTGACAGTAAAGGGAGCAGGTAGAAATACAGTCAAACAATATTTGTATGAGATCAGAGAATAATGGTGGTCAAGAAAACAGTAATGGGTATATGTACAGCTCCTGTTGGAAGAATAGAGAAGTTATAATGCTCATTCTTAACCATAATTGAGGCACAACAGGAGCCAGAGGATTCAGGTTTTAAACAAGGGTTTCTTCTTTGGACATGTTGAGTTTAACATCCCTGAAGGTCTGCGTAGGTAGAAATGTCCACCAGGTAGTTGGAACTATGATTTGACCTTTAAAAAAGATTGAGCTTAGAGTCTCGGAAAGTGCAACATAAAGGCCATAGTCGAAGCTGCTGGAGTTGAGATTTCTTTCCCCATGTGAGATAATATGAAGTGATAAGACAAGTTAGTTAAAGTTAGGAACTTAGGAAATACCACTTAAGAGATGGGAAGAAGAACAATCCTGTATTGGAGACTAGAAAAGGTATTAGGAAGGAAGAGATCCTAGAGAAGATATTATCAAAGATGCTAAAGAAGAGAGCTCCCATAAGGAGATTGTTCTCAGTACAGTACAGGATGAAGACTGTGAAAAGTCAGTAAAATTTGCCAAGTAAGAGGTCAACAATAATTTTATTTATTTATTTTATCTACCAATTTTTTATAAATAAATAGAGACGGGACCTTGCTATGTTGTCCAGGCTGATCTCAAACTCCTGGACTCAAGCCATCCTCCTGCCTCAGCCTCCCAAAGTGCTAGGATTACAGGTATGAACTATTGTGCCCAGCCTCAAAAATAACTTTAAAAAATAAATAAGCTACTTTTTTAAACTTTTTTTTTAGTTTGTTTTTGTTTTGAGACAGTCTCACTCTGTCGCCCAGGCTGGAGTGCAGTGATGCAATCTGGGCTCACTGCAGCCTCCACCTCCCAGGTTCAAGCGATTCTCCTGCCTTAGCCTCCCGAGTAGCTGAGACTACAGGCACCTGCCACCACACTCGGCTAATTTTTGTATTTTTTTTTAGTAGAGATGGGGTTTCACCATGTTGGCCAGGCTGGTCTCGAACTCCTGACCTCAAGTGATCCACCCACCTCGGCCTCCCAAAGTGCTGGGATTACAGGCATGAGCCACCGCACCCAGCCTAAAACGGTTTTAAATTTACAGAAACATTGCAAAGATAGTACAGAGAGTTTCTATATACCCCCCATCCAGTTTGTCTTATTATTACCATTTTCTGTTCGTGTATTTGTTACAATTATGAACCAATATTGATATACGTTTATTAACTAAAGACTGTAGTTTATTCAGATTTTATTAGTTTTTATCAAAGGTCATTTTTCCATCCTAGAATCATATCTAAGTTACATTATATTTAGTCATTATGAGTCCCTAGTCTCCTCTTGCTTGTGACAGTTTCTCAAATTTTTCTTGTTTTTTGATGACCTTGGCAGTTTTTTTTTTTGTTTTTGTTTTTGAGACAGGGTCATGCTGGTGCCCCGGCTGGAGTGCAGTGGAACCATCGTAGCTCACTATGACCTCTAACTCCTGGGCTCAAGTGATCCTCCTGCCTCTGCCTCCTATGTAGCTGGGACTACAGGCACACACCACCATGCTTGGCGAATTTTCAGATTTGTAAAGATAAGTCTTGCTATGTTGCCCAGGCTGGTGGTGAACTTCTGGCTTCAAGCGATCCTCCCACCTTGGCCTCCCAAAGTGTTGGGATTACAAGCGTGAGCCACTGTATCTGACTGACCTTGACAGTTTAAGGAGGTACTGGTCAGGTATTTTGCAGAATGTCCCTGATGTTTTTCTCATGATCAGACTGGGGTTAAGAGTTTTGAGGAGGAAGACCACAGGGGTAAACTGCCATTTTCATCACATTGTATCAGAGCTATCTCCTAGCAACATGATTTATCATTGTTGATGTTGACCTTGATCTTTTGGCTGAGTTAGCATTTGTCAGGTTTTTCCACTTTAAAGTTACTCTTTTTCCCCATTTCTAGACTGTACTTTTTCAAAGGAAGTCACTATGGATAGCCCACATTTAATGAGTGGGAAGTTATGCTCTGAATTCTTATATTTATTTTATTTGATTTTTTTGAGATGGAGTTTCGCTTTGTCACCCAGGCTGGAGTGCAGTGACGCAATCTCTGCTAACTGCAACCTTCACCTCCTGGGTTCCAGCAATTCTCAACCTCCCGAGTAGCTGGGATTACAGGCGAGTGCCACCACACCCGGCTAATTTTTGCATTTTTAATACAGACGGGTTTCGCCATATTGCCCAAGCTGGTCTTGAACTCCTGACCACCTGGCTCAGCCTCCCAAAGCACTGGGATTACAGGCATAAGCCACAGTGCCCAACTGCTCTTAATACTTACAGATGGAAAATCCACATAAATTATTTGGAATTCTTCTGCAGGAGATATTTGTTCTCTGCCATTGTTAATTAATTAATTAGTTAATTTTTATCAGTGTAGAGTCATGGATATTTGTTTTATAGTTTGGATTATAATCCAAAACTGTTTATTTTGTTGCTCAAATTTCTCAGATTTGCCTTTTGGGAGCTGTTTCAATTGGCTCCTGTGACTCTTTCACATACCCTCATTCAATGATGACTCTTGGGAGAGCAATTTCACCAGAGTGGTAAACACAGCATAACAGTACGTTGAGAAGTAAATAAGTGTTGAAGAAGTGGAAGCACAAAGGCAGTTAAGTAGCACCTTAAATCAGGGTGAGGCTTAATATTTGTCTTTATAAGTCCTTAAGACATTTTAATCTCATAAAACACAGGTAGATGAAAGCCCTGCCTATGCCATGAAAAGCCCTGAAGCATTAAAAGAAAAAAAAAAAAAAAACCTTAAAAATCCCAGAGTGATCAAATTGGATGAACACCGAGGACACCACTAAAAATTTATATCTGATGAGGTTGAGCCAAAGAAAAAAGAAAATAGTTACTGTTTGTTCTTATGGCTTTAATATTTGGCATACACTAGTTTTTTTTTAAACAGGGAGTAATGTAAACGTTAATTATAATGTGAGTATGCCAGAATATTTGATGTACTTAAAGCTTCCCTATGAATGCCAACAGTGCAGGATTATAGAGAAAATGATTTGATTTTAGGTCTCATTTAAATTCCTGCAAAGACTTGATCTTCAGAAATGCTATAAAAATGTTTTCCAATGAATAGGTAATTTTTCTCACAGTGAATGTCTTCTAGCAGTAAAGCAATTTTAAAATATTTAGAACACAAAAGTTGTGTTCATTTTGTTCTCTGATCATTTCCTCAAATTAACTGATGAAGTTTTAAAATTTAACTGGGGGCAAAAAAAGCGAGAGAGAGTTGGGGTGTTGCTTGATAGGGTGTCGACAGGTTAAGGATAAAGAGAAAATATTAATTTATAACTCCTCCCACACACACTATTATCAGCAATGGTTCATGTGTTGGGTCCAGGGAAGCCATTTCCAGCAGCCATTCTAGTAGTATTCAGTCAGTACCCACTTTGCACCAAGCAATGTGCCAGATGCTGAAGATAGTACATTGAACAAGGAACAGTCCCTGCTCTCAAGGAATCGGTGAGTATAGGAGACATCCTGGTGCAGGGAGCGGGAGATAAGTGGGCCACAAATGTAGCACAGTGCAAACCTTGTGCTGTGGTGGAAGATACATGTGTAAGTGTATAGGAGGACACCTAACCCAGAGAGGGACAGGCAAGTTTATAGTGATTTATAAACTGAATCCTGAAGGACAAATAGGAAGTAATCAGAGGGTGCAAGGGGAAGGGGTGCCGAGGAGATGAGGCACTTTAAGCAAGGAAAAGCATGACAGCTGAGGAAGTAACAAGTCTTTCAGTATGGCTGGATTGTAGAGTTTTAGAGTTGCATTGTTCAATAACAGTGTAATGTGAACCACATGCAATTTAAAAATTTTTAGTAGTCACATTAAGAAAGTAAAATGAGTCAACAGAAATTTTAATAATATTCTTATTTAGCCCAATGTACTTAAAATGTTAGCATGTAATCAATATGAAAAATTATTAATGGGACTTTTTATATTCTTTGTACTAAGTTTTAGAAATCCAACGTATGTTTTATACTTATATCACATGTCAATTTAGACTAGCCAGATTTCATGTGCTCAATAGCTACATGTGACTAGTGTCTACCACATTAGATAGTATAGTTCTTTTTTTTTTTTTTTTTTGAGTTGGAGTCTCGCTCTGGGAGTCTTGCCCAGGCTGGAGTGCAGTGGTGCAATCTCTGCTCACTGCAACCTCCGCCTCCCAGGTTCAAGTGATTCTCCTGTCTCAGCCTCCCAAGTAGCTGAGATTACAGACGTGCACCACCACACCTGGCTAATGTTTTTATTTTTAGTAGAGACGGGTTTTCACCATGTTGACCAGCCTGGTTTTGAACTCCTGACCTCAGATGGTCCACCCACCTTGGCCTCCCAAAGTGCTGGGATTACAAGTGTGAGCCACTGTGCCTGGCCTGATAGTATAGTTCTAGTGTGAAGTCACGAGCAATTAATCTGCAGAGATAATATGGGAGCAGATTAGGGCAGATATTGTTTGTCAGCGAAATTGTTTAACCCGAGGGTTATGGGAAGCTGTGAAAGGTCTATGCATGGGAGGACCTGATCAAATTAGTGATGACTCTAACTTTCACGGTGGAGAATGGATTATAGGTGGACTTGATCAGAAGCCAACTAGGCCATAGATGATAATAACCTTAACCAGCGGAGTAACTTGGGTGTGGTGAGAAGTAGAATATGGACACAAGGCATCTGTAAGAATTGTAAGGAATCTGTAACAGAATTGTAAGAGAATTGTAACTGTAAGAGAATCTGTAAGGATTGGAAGTGTGTTGAGAAGACAGGAATGCCCCCTCACTTCTGCTTTCTCCCTCAAACCCCTGAGGAACACAGCAGAACCATTTTAAGGATTGGGGGAAACAAGAGGAAGAATGGCAGGATTGAGAAACAATGTGTTCTGCTTGGGACATTTTAAATTATCCAAGCGTAACATTTGCATGTGAAACAGAGAAGTCCATGTCACCAGTATACAGACAGTAACCAAAGCCCTGGGATTGGATAAAATTACCCAGGATGAGTAGATTAAACAGTATTTCTCATACCTGAATTAAAAACAAAAAGTACCTGGGAGCTGATTTAAAATGCAGATTTTTGGCTTTATCCCCAAGTTACTGGTTCAGTAGCTGTTGGGAGAGGGCTAGAAATTGCGTTTTTAATAAGAGCCCCTAGGAACTGATGCAAGTGGTGCTTAAAACACTCCTTTACACACACTAGAGTAGAATAATATATAAGAGGACCCAGAAGGAGATTGCCTGTGTGTATGGAAGGTTAGAGAACAAAAGCCCTTGAAGCAGCTAGGAAATGAGCCACTAGAGAGGTTAATGAAAAACCAAAAGTCCTGTCTGCTATTAAAGTAGAGGGGAGTGGCAGATTCTTATTTAAAGGGAACAAGACTGAAGGTGGGACAACTAGGTAGGTACCTTACTTGGTGGGACAATCAGCATGGGAAAAAAGCACTATTCTTTGCTTACTGTTCAAGGTGTCTGTCCTGGGGATGTCACCTCACCATACCACCAAATTTATCAAATTCCTTGAGGATTTGGAGGAAGTCACTGCCTCAAAGTAACAGAGAAAGTAAATAGAGTACCAGTTGAAAGTGACAATTGGATTTAGTAACTAAGGCCATTGGGTGGCAATTTGGATGACCTAGCAGGAATGGAAGCCCAGCTGCAATAGATGAGTTGAACAAGTGGGTCAAATTAGTGTAGAAAAGTCTTCTTGGCAGAGAAAAGGAGGAGAGAGAAGGCAGAGTGCATACAAGGATGTTCACTTAGGAAATGCTAAGGGATGTGTGCCCTTCTTTCACAGTATTCATCCTATTTCATTTCTATTCTGTAGGTTGAGTCAATACTGTGAAACCACAGAATCTCTGTCTCTGCTTCATAAATATACTCATTAAATAATTTATGTTTATATATTTAAATCAGTCAAATGATCTCCAGTCATACTGTCACTTCTACTAGTAATTGAATGGATAAACCATTTTGCAGAATAACTATAGCTGATTACTGATGGCTTGAAAGAAGTGCCAAGCTGCAGTAGTTTGGGGTTGGATGAGGGAGATGAGAAAGGAGGAGAAACTGGAACCTTGAATCTGAATTTCTCAGTCTCCTTCTTACCTGTCCTCTACTGCCCAATAATCTTAGCCCCAAACTGGTAAAATTCTACCATCATTCAACCATGGGTAGCCCACAAATAAGTTGATGTATCTCTGCTAAATAAGAGGTTGTCAGAACTTCATTGTTACAGTAGTTTTGTATTTGCTGTTTCCTCCTTTCTACCCAACATCATCCCCATTACCTGGTTAATCTAGAATTGGCTGATTATCAGCCACCAAACTTGTTAGTTAACATTGTTAACACCACACATTGTTGAGTACCAGCTTAGATATTGCACATATGCAGTAAATATTTAAAAGATGTGTTTTGCTTTCAACATGAATGTGGAGTGCTACAAAGTATCAAAACAAATAAAAGGAGATATAAACAGGCGTATTAGAGCTTCAGTTCTAAACAGAGTTGAACATTTAATTAGGTTAAATGTACATTCATTTTTTTTTTTTTTTTTAATTTCCTTCCAAGAGGATGGATTCGTTTTGGAATGGAGCCAATTAATTTGAAAATCTGGGTTTGGTGGCTCACGCCTGTGATCCCAGCACTTTGGGAGGCCGAAGTGGGAGGATTGCTTGAGCTCAGGAGTTCAGTACCAGCCTGAACAACATAGCAAGACCCTGTCTCAAATAAATTTTTTTTTTTTTTTTTTTTTTGAGACGGAGTCTCGCTCTGTTGCCCAGGCTGGAGTGCAGTGGCACGATCTCGGCTCACTGCAACCTCTGCTTCCCGGGTTCAAGCGATTCTCCTGCCTCAGTCTCTTGAGTAGCTGGGATTACAGGCATGCACCACCACACCCGGCTAATTTTTGTATTTTTAGTAGAGACGGGGTTTCACCATGTTGGTCAGGCTGGTCTTGAACTCCTGACCTTGTGATCCGCCCGCTTCGGCCTCCCAAAGTGTTGGGATTACAGGCATGAGCCACAGGCCCCTCAACTAAAAAATTAAAAAAATAGCTGCGTGTGGTGACACTGACCTGTAGTCCCAGCTATTCAGGAGGCTGAGGTGGAAGGATCACTTGACCCCAGGAGGTCATGGCTGCACTGAGCTTTATCACGCCACTGCACTCTAGCCTGGGTAACAGAGAGACATCCTGTCTCAAAAAAAAAAAGGAAAACAAAAGAAAATCACATTTGTATTATGTTCAAGTTTTGCCCAGTTGCCTCACCCATGACCAATCTAACTACTTTATTTATTTATTTATTTATTTATTTATTTATTTAGAGGCAGAGTTTCACTCTTGTTGCCCAGGCTGGAGTGCAATGGCGTGATCTCGGCTCACCGCAACCTCTGCCTCCCAGGTTCAAGCGATTCTCCTGCCTCAGCCGCCCTAGTAGCTAGGATTACAGGCATGTGCCACCACGCCCGGCTAATTTTGTATTTTTAGTAGAGACGTGGTTTCTCCATGTTGGTCAGGCTGGTCTCGAACTTCCGACCTCAGGTGATCCGCCTGCCTCGGCCTCCCAAAGTGCTGGGATTATAGGCATGAGCCACCGCGCCTGGCCATCTAACTACTTTATTTAAAAAAAAAAAAATGAGTGCTGGGCAGAGGTATAACAGCATCATACTGGCTAATGTCATTGCCTATACATTTTGGTAATCTCAAAACTGTTCCAGCTACAAAGCTACTGCTTGTACTTGAAATTCCTATTTAAAATATAGGGAGAGTATTACAAACTAATTCTGGAAACTTATTCTCAAAATTACATTGAAAAATTCTAGGTTTATAAAATCATTTACGTACTATAATATGGTTCAATTCCTTGAGCATTATAGACATTAGATAGTATATTTGTTTAATTTGTATTTATTGCAGTGCTTGATTTTTTACTTTCATTTTTCCAAACAGAAACGCTACCAATTAAACATTAACTTCCCATTCCCCATTTCTTTCTACCCAACCCTCTGGTAACCTCTATTCTACTTTCTTGTCTCTATAAATTTTCCTATTCTAAATACCTCATAGAAGTGAAATCATATAATGTCTGTGTTTTTGTGTCTGGCTTATTTCACTTAGCATAGTGTTTTTAAGGTTAATTCATGTTGTAGCATGTATTTCTATTTGAATTCCAAAGCTAATGTTAATGTATTACCTTGATCAAAAAAATAAAAATTAAAATAAACAATATCCTGCAAAGTATTGATCATTCTACAGGTACTGAAAATGAAGCTTAATGATCACGTTAAAGCCACAGGAAATAAGTTAGAAGAGATGGTGTTCAGATTTGATTCTATCTTTTTTTCTTTGTTTGTTTTTGAGATGGGGTCTCACTCTGTGTCAAAAAAAAGGCTGGAGTGCAGTGGCACAATCACAGCTCACTGCAGCCTTGACCTCCAGGCTCAAGCGATCTTCCCACCTCAGCTCCTGAGTAGCTGGGACTACAAGCGTGCACCACCATGCCTGGCTAATTTTTGAATTTTTTGTAGAGATGGGATTTTGCCGTGTTGCCCAGGCTGGTCTTGAACTCCTGGCCTCAAGCGATCCGCCCACCTCAGCCTCCCAAAGTGTTGGGATTACAGATGTGAGCCAGCACACTCAACAATTCTTTTTATTTTATTTTTTTATTTACTTAAGCGTACCCTGATGTGCCCAGCAATTCTATCTTCTTGAAACTTCTGCAGTTCAACAATTTCTCTTTATCCACTGTCACTTCTCACATGGGTTGTCCCTATCACAGTTTCCTAATTGTTTTAATTTCCTATTGCTGCTATAACACATTACCACATATGTGGTGGCTTCAAACAATACAAATTTGTTATGCAGCTCTGTAGGTCTGACACGAATTTCACTGAGCCAAAACCAGGGTGTCAGCAGGGCCACGTTTCTTCTGGAGGCTCTAAGGAGGAATCCATTTCCTGTTTTTCTAGCTTTAGAGGCTACCCACATTCCTTAGTTCAGGGGTCCTCACCCCCCACCCACCTCCCCCCACCACCAACCCCCTACAGACCCGGTAAGGCCGGTAGGGCCTTTTAGGAACACTGCTGCACAGCAGGAGGTGAGCGGAGGGTGAGCGAGCATTACCGCCTGAGCTTTGCCTCCTATCAGATAAGCAGCAGCATTAAATTCTCATGGGAGCACGAACCCTATGGTGAACCGTGCCTGTGAGGGATCTAGGTTGCACACTGCTTATGAGAATCTAATGCCTGATCATCTCAGGTGGAGCAGTTTCATCCCGAAGCCATCCCCCTGCCATCTGTGGAAAAAGTGTCTTCTAGGAGACTGGTCCCTGGCGCCAAAAAGGTTGGGGGACTGCTGCCTTAGCTTGTGGCTCCCTTTATTCAGCATCATTTTATCTCTCTGAGTGTCATTTCTCTTTATCTTCCTCTGACTCTCCTCTTCTTCCCTCTTCCATTTTTAGAGTCTCTTATGATTAAATCGGGCCCATTTGGATAATTGAAACTAATTTGTTCATTTCGAGGTCAGTTGGTTAGCAACTTTAATTCCATCTCCAGCCTTTGTACCCTTTGCCATGTAATCTACATGTTCATAGGATCCAGGGATTAGCATGTGGATGTCTTTATGGGGGAGGCATTATTCTGTCTACCACCCTAGTCGTATGATAATATGATTTCCCTTCTTGCCCATGATCACGTCACTTGCCCACCGAAAATTCTTCAATGGCCCTTGTTGCCCTCAGGGTAGCATTCAGACTCATTCAGGCTCCTTAATGTGATACACAAAGGCCTTCCTTACCAGTCCTGTCTCATCTCTCCCAACTCCCCATGCCCAAAACACACAACAAGATTGTGTGTTTCACTTCCCCAAACTGAAAACCAGGCATTCACTCATCTCATTCATCTGCTTGTTTGCTCTTTTCCCAGCCTTTTATCTGACTCTACTACTCATCCATAAGTCAGACTTCAGATGTGACTTCCTTTGGGAAGCCTGAGTGTATCCCCAAATTTTGGCCTTTGCTACCGTTGCAAGCTATACCTATATCTAACATAGCACTTGCCATGCGATACTGTAATTATCTCTTTAATTACCATCCACCACCACCACCACCACCACCACCACGAGACTACAGGCAACTTAAGGGTCAGCCTCTCATTTGTTCACCCTTGTATCAGTTACTTATCAGAGTGGCTTGCACACAATAAAAACACAAACTTTCTATTTTTTAAAGCAACCCTATTAACTGAGAAGCACAAACTTTTGCTTAAAGATATATCCCTTAATATTTATGTGTCTCTTTTTCCAAGACAGACTTATAGAGGATGTAGAGTCATATAAATCTAAGGACTGAAAAGTAAATGTACCTTTAATCCTCCAAATGGATTTCATTTAATTAATGAATTAATTTACTGAGGCAAGGTCCCACTCTGTCACCCAGGCTAGAATGCAGTGACAAAATCATGGCTCACTGCAGCCTCCACCTCCTGGGCTCCAGTGATCCTCTTGCTTCACCCTCCCGAGTAGCTGGGACCACAGGTGTGTGACACCATGCCCATCTAATTTTTAAAACAATTTTTTTGTACAGAAGAGGTCTCGCTATGTTGTCCAGACTGGTCTTGAACTCCTGGGCTCAAGCGATCCTCCCATCTTGGCCTCCGCCTATGCTGGAATTATAGGTGAGCTACTGAACTCGGCCCTTATCTGGCTTCTTATATCAAGACTGTGCACAGGTCACTATTTTTGCAAGAATTTCTATACCACTTCCTCTGAAAATGTTGGTAATTTAAAAAAGAAACAGCCAGACATGGTGGCTCACACCTGTAATTCCAACACTTTGGGAGATGGAGGTCGGCCAATTGCTTGAGCCCAGGAGTTCAAGACCAGTCTGGGCAACATGATGAAACTGTGTCTCTACAAAAAATTCAAAAATTAGCCAGGCATGGTGGTGCATGCCTGTGGTCCCAGCTACTCAGGAGGCTGAGGTGGGAGGATCACTTGAGTTTGGGAGGTCGAGGCTGCAGTGAGCCAAGAGATAGTGACACTGTATACTCCAGCCTGGGCAACAGAGCTAGACCCTATCTCAAAAAAACAAAAATAAAAATAGGTTGGATAATGTAAGAGTTAAGAACAGAGACTCTAGAGCCAGCCTGGGATCCTGGCTCTGCCATATTTTATGTAACCATCTCAGTTTTCTTCATTTGTGAAATAGACACAGTAATATCCACCTCAGAGGGTTACTGTAGAATTAAATGAGTTCCATTTAGAGCATTTAAATGGTGCCTGGCACATTTTAAATAATACCGCTTCATGTGGTTAGGGTGGGAAGGAAGATTGTAAAACATAAATGCTTAGAGAAAGCAACTGTCGTTGTAATTAAAATGAAACTTGGGTGTGATGAAATCATTGGAGGCTGTAGGTGAGATCATCTATGAGAAAGAAAAAGCCAAGCATGATGGGTCGCTAACCACCGGGCACTGCCAGAAGCATTTCTCATGAAACATTAGGAAGTTTCCAAATCTTCTCTAAAGACGTGTGCTTGAAAAAACAAAACAAAAAAAGAATGACAACAACAACAAAAAGATATGTGCTGGAAAGAAGAGATGGGATTCTATGAAGAATGTGAAAGTGGCTTATTGTATGAAATACAAAATATAATCCAAGCTTTACCTAGAAATAGTACAAGAAAAATTCAGAAATCCCTGCAAGCTATTCTTGTTTTGACAATTCATTTCTTGCCTTCCCTAATATTTAGAATTTTGCTGCATTGTTGCCATCAAATATTTTTTAAGAAATAAAGGTAAGCAGTATTTGCTAAGACAGAACACGTGTGTCTTGATTTTAGAAGATGTACTTGATTATTTTCATAAATGTCAGGTGTGAAATGGGTCACCTTATTAATTAAAGCCTTAGGCAAAATTTGAAATTTGATCTTATGTGATGACATTTTAAAATGGATGTATTAATTTCAACCAGTTTAACAAATGAGCCTTTTTAAAAAAATTTACGTGGTAACTTATTGTTAATTCATTTCCATGTTGACAGTTTTCCTTAAATTGAAGTGTAATCACCCACAAATACTTTTGAAGTTTGCCATATTCATGTGGATATTTATGCCACTTTTTTCTAATTCCTTTGGACTAGGAGTTATGTTCTGAAAAGTCAATTTCTGCTGTGCCAGTAGAGTTGCAAACGACCTAAAATGGCTACCTACCACACCTGTTTTTCTTCATCTTACTACTCTGTGAGTGAATGAGCTTGCCTGGAAGCAAGATTGAGAAGTTAGCAATTTGTCTACAGTTTTTCTTCTTTCCCTTTGTACCACACTACCCTCAAGAATCTAGACAACCGTGTTTTCTCTTTTCTTAGAACTTCCTCTTTAGAAAAAACCTAAGGAAAATATATTCTCACGGAGGTATAAATAGGTAATACAACTGTAGCAATTTCCCTCCAAGTTCTTCCGGTTTCAAGGCCCAGGGATGAAATGCTAACTGTGTAATTGTAGGAATTGGCAAGTACACTAAAAATACAAAAAATTAGCCGGGCATGGTGGTGGGCAGCTGTAGTCCCAGCTACTCAGGCGGCTGAGGTGGGAAAATGGCATGAACCCGGGAGGCGGAGCTTGCAGTGAGCCGAGATCCCACCACTGCACTCCAGCCTGGGCGACAGAGATGGACTCCTCCTCCAAAAAAAAAAAAAAAAGAAAAGAAAAAAATTGGTTTAGGGTGAGAAGTCTTCATGGCACTATGACGTGGGCAAATGTGTGGTCAACGTGTTAGTCTGGCTCTGGCTCTGAGTTTTTTGCTTTTGTTCATTCTTCTGAGTAGGTCTTTCTCTTTCTCTTGAGCCTGGTCTCATCTGTATTTTCGAAAGGACTTGCCATGGTCAATCAGAGGCTTTAAGCTTCTCTGTTATTGTCTGTCTTCCAGGAGAGATGCCTAATGCTAACACCTTTTATTTGTATTGCCATGGCAATACAAACCCTTAAACTAAGGGTTCTGGTTATTCTTAGGTTAGGATCATGTAGGCAGATCATAAAAAAGTTAATTTTTCTCCCCTGGGTGAGAAGTTGCTTAAATTTTTGTGTCAATTGTTTCATTTCTCCAATCTATTTTTGTCTCTGCAAATAGCCTGAAACTCGGTTTTATTGCACAAGCCTACCAATTCAGAATGATCTCAGGCGCATCAGACAAGTTTGTCCCTCACCAGAGTTGTATTGGTTTATTTCTCCCTGCCTTCGTGTGCCCATCTCAAAATGGTGGGGTCTGTGGAAGAGGATGGCCTTCCCAGATATGCAATTTTTGCTCTTTAGAAAGGAGTTTAAAAAAAAAAAAAATCCCAGCTACT
This sequence comes from Homo sapiens, assembly GCF_000001405.40. Lineage (NCBI taxonomy): Eukaryota > Metazoa > Chordata > Mammalia > Primates > Hominidae > Homo > Homo sapiens. The sequence continues at coordinate 195,650,944 of NC_000002.12, forward strand.
GTGGGTGGGGAAGGCGAAGGAGGTGGGAGGTGGAAGGATTTTGCTTGAGCCTGGGAGGTTGAGTCTGCAGTGAGCTGTGATTGCACCACTGCACTCCAGCCTGGGAGACAGAATGAGACCCCGTCTCAAAAAAAATGTTTTTTTTTTTTTATTTAGAAAGGAGTATAAGGGGAGCTGTGCTCCTCTAGTGAGAACTCCCATGGACTTCTAAAGGCCCATTTATCCTACCTTAGTCTTTAGAGCTTGCCAAAAATGAGATGGTAGAGCCATAATTTCTCAGGGATCAGAAAAAGACTACCGCATGGGTCCAACTTCCCCATTCTGACAGTGTGTTTGCCGTGTTAGATGTTACACAGTGCCACAGGTCTCGAATAATGGAAATAATTTGTATCCTTTAAATATCTCTGGCATCAGTTTTAGAGCTGGAGCTTCAATCCCCAGGCTGAAATAGTCTCTAAAAATGAATAGTAGCTATTAAGTTTGAGGCCTCAGTTTGGAATTTTACCTACATATTGCTGACATCTTCCTTTCCCAAATCTCTTTTTTTTTGAGACAGAGTCTTGCCATGTCACCCAGGCTGGAAAGCAGGGGCATGATCTCGGCTCACTGCAACCTCCATCTCCCAGGATCAAGCGATTCTCCTGCTTCAGCCTCCCAAGTAGCTAGGATTGCAGGCGCTTGCCATCACATCCAGCTAATTTTTGTATTTTTAGTAGAGATGGGTTTTCATCATGTTGGCCAGGCTGGTCTTGAACTCCTGACCTCAAGTGATCCACCCGCTTTGGCCTCCCAAAGTGCTGGGATTACAGGTGTGAGCCACTGCCCATGGCCCCCTTTTCCAAATCTTAACACCTGTTCTGGTACTTAATATCCCCACACCCCACCACATTGGTACAGCAATATAATTTAGTCTTCCTTGTACTCCTAATGACTTCATCAATGAAAAGAGTCAAATTCTGTAACTTATTTGAAGATATTTTTTTCTGAGCCAAACATGAGTGACCAATGGCCTGTCACACAACCCCAGGAAATCCTTAGAATGTGTGCCCAAGGTGGTAGTTAAGCAACAGCTTGGTTTTATACATTTTAGGGAGATATAAGACACAATACATGTACGATGTACATTGGTTTGGTCCAGAAAAGTGGGACAACTGGAAGCAGGGGCTGGTTCCAGGTCTTAGGTGGATTCGAAGATTTTCTGATTGGCAGTTGGTTGAAATAGTTTATCTACAGACCTGGAATCAATATGAGGGAGTGTCTGGGTTAAGATAAGGGGCTATGTAGAACTTGGGGATAAGTAGTCAGAAAAGAAATAAAATTTAGCCTAGGCGTGGTGGCTAACACTTGTAATACCAGCACTTTGGGACGCCGAGGCGGGTGAATCACTTGAGGTCAGGAGTTTGAAAACAGCCTGGCCAACATGGAGAAAACCCGTCTCTCCCCCAAAATACAAAAACTAGCTGGGCGTGGTGGTAGGTGCCTGTAATCCCAGCTACTCGGGAGGCTGAGGCAGGAGAATCGCCTGAGCCTGGGAGGCAGAGGTTGCAGTGAGCCGAGATCTCGCCACTGCACTCCAGCCTGGGCAACAGAGTGAGACTCATCTTAAAAAAAAAAAAAAAAAGAAAGAAAATTTTAAAAAAAAGATAAGGGGTTATGGAGACCAAGGTTCTTATTATGCCGATGAAGCCTCCACCTAGCAGGCTTCAGAGAGAATAAATTGTGTTTCTTACCAGACTTTAAAAGACGCCAGACTCAGTTAATTCTCTCCTGGATCAGGGAAGAGACTTGGAAAGGGAAGGGGATTCTCTACAGCAGGGGTCCCCCAGCCACTAGACTGGTTCGGGTGCATGGCCTGTTAGGAACGGGGCCACACAGCAGGAGGTGAGTGTCAGGCAGTGAGCATTACTGCCTGAGTTCCACCTCCTGTCAGATCAATGGTGGCATTAGATTCTCATAGGAGCACAAACCCTATTGTGAACTGTGTATGTGAGGGATCTAGGTTGTGCAGTCCTTATGAGAATCTAACTAATGCCTGATAATCTGAGGTGGAACAGTTTCATCCCAAAACCATCCCCACCCACCCCCATCTGTGGAAAAATTGTCTTCCAGGAAACCAGTCTCTGGTGCCAAAAAAAGTTGGGGACTGCTGCTCTATAGAATGTAGATGTTTCCCACAAGAGACAGTTTTGCAAGGCCATTTCAAAACATGTCAAAGAAATATATTTTGGAGAAAAATACTTAGAATTCTTTCAGAGCCTGCTATCTGTCATGTTGGTATCATTGCTACAAAAAGTCTCTTTCATCAGTCTTAAGGTCTGTTTTAATGTTAATACTGGTCATCTGTGCCTGAATTTTTTTTTTTTTTTTTGAGACAGAGTCTTCTTCTGTCACCCAGGCTGGAGTGCAATGGCACAATCTCAACTCACTGCAACCTCTGCCTCCTGGGTTCAAGCGAGTCTCCCTGCCTTAGCCTCCCGAGTAGCTGGGATTACAGGTGCCCGCCACCATGCCTGGCTAATTTTTGTTATTTTTAGTAGAGATGGGATTTTGCCATGTTGGCCAGCTGGTCTCGAACTCCTGACCTCAGGTGATCCACCCGCCTTGGCCTCCATAAGTGCTGGGATTACAAGCGTGAGCCACCACACTCGGCCTGTGCCTGAATTTTAAAGTGAGGAGAATATAATGAGGCATGTTTAACCATCCATTCCCATCATGCCTGGTACTAGTGTTTCAGGTTAACTTTGGAATGCCCTTGGCAAAGAAGAAGTGACCATTCAGTTAGTTGGGAGGCTTAAAATTTTATTTTTGGTTCACAGCCTCTCTAGGCATAGCTTTGTCTAAAGTAAACTTTTAGGCCATGTAAAAGTAACAGTTTAAACTGGAGATGAATTTAGGAAGGGGTCTTTATCATTGGTTATTACTAATCTTGAATCACGGAAAGAACAAGTGAGTTTGAAAGGCCTGATTTCTTAGAATTAGTCGTGTTCTTTTTTTTGTTTGTTTTGTTTTTTTGAGACGGAGTTTTGCTCTTGTTGCCCAGGCTGGAGTGCAATGGCATGATCTCGGCTCACCGCAACCTCCACCTCCCAGGTTCAAGCGATTCTCCTGCCTCAGCCTTCCCAAGTAGCTGGGATAATAGGCATGTGCCACCAAGCCTGGCTAATTTTGTATTTTTAGTAGAGATGGGGTTTCTCCGTGTGGGACAGGCTGGTCTCAAACTCCGGACCTCAGGTGATCCGCCCACCTCAGCCTCCCGAAGTGCTGGGATTACAGGCGTGAGCCACCACGCCTGGCAGAATTAGTCATGTTCTTTATAGATTTCATTAAAGACTCTTAATTTTGTTGTGTATGATGACTATTTTCTCCTCTGTAAGAGGGAAACCCAGGTTTATGACATGGACTTCCTTCAGCCACTGCTAAAGATTGGGGTATGAAGTAGGTTTCTTATTTCCTCTTTTGTATTAATAGTTGGTTCTTTTCAAATCCTCTGAGGGGCAAAAAGACCCTTGGATTTACTATATCATGTCTCACAAAGGTAGACTGGTCACATTTGAAATTTTAGATATGTGAACTAATATTGTGGCTGAAGCAGCATGAATAAGCTAAACAGTGAAAGGTAAACCATTTACACATAATTCAGTACCTCTCTTTCCCCCAGGTACTGAAAATCATTTATACTATTTTTATAGTTGAGATGAGCTTCTTTATGAATCAAGTGAGGTGGCTGGAAAAAGAAAATGTCTTACACTTTCAGAAAGTTTTATGATTATAACATATTAGAAAGTCTTTACCCTAACATATTTCTTATATATAAAACTGGTAAAGATAAAATGAAATTCATATATTGTTGCTGTAGTGTCCATTATTTGACTCAGCAGGTGATTTTGTGTAAGCCTGCAAGTCATTTTCTGAGATTCCTTTTCTCAGTAGGAAAAGTAATATGCTAGTATGCAGAGAATCATTTATTCTATCTGATAATTTTGCTTGAAAATCTGCCCAAATCAGTGTGTATACACTTGAAAGTAAATAAATGTTTGGGTGAGTTTAAAAAGTGTTAGGAGACACAGTCTCTATTTTCAAGTTGCTTACCACATAGTTTTCTATAGGGATGACATTTAAAATATGTAACAATTAGTAAAGAATAGGCACCAACCAAGTAGAATGGGAGTGACTAATAAGAGCTGGGTCCAAAGGGCTCTATCTTAGCCAGGTATTAACCCACTAGTTCCTAAAATGTGGAGGTCTGGGGAATCTTGAGAGGAAGGACTGGCACAGGGGTGAGAAGCATGGGGGGATACCACTCAGAGTTGCAGCTGTTAACCAACTTGCATTGAAGTATTTCAGTATTTGATTAGTTGGTTCAGCCGTACTTGTGTGTACCAGCTGAACATTAGCCTTGTATATCCATAACTAAAAAAGCAGTGTAGGTGCCCTAAAATGTAAGGACTGCAAGCGCTATATCTTATTGATATTTGAAAGAAAGGTTATGTATGTTTTAAGGGTGTTGATAATAATGTGTTCAATAAAATAAGTATGAGCCATAAAATATCAAGCTAATTTGGAAGCTTCTTATGCTTTGCACACAAAGGATGTACTATCATGATTTTATGAACTCTAAGGACTTTAGTTCTAGGATGAACCTTAGAATATATTTAAAACGATCCCCTTAATTTATCAATGAATCTGAGGACCACAGCTATTGTCTCACATTTAGTGGCAATGGTGAGACTTGAAACTAGGACTCAGGCTTAATCTCTTTTCTCCACACCTCAGGACTTCTCCCTTTGTAAGCAGGAGTGAGGTCCATGCTCTGGCTTTCCAAACAAGGAAAAGGGCATATGAGTAGTTCAGTGTTCTGAACTACGTATGGCAATCAGTAGGCATTTATCAAGCACCATTTTCGTTGTTTTGGATGTTTTTTGTAGAGATACAAAACAAAAAATAACCTTCTTTCATGAAGGTATAATATGCAGGTTAGCGGGACTACCTAGCCGTCCATACTGAATGGGTTTGGAAATCCCAACTCTTTTCTCTACCTGCTCTGTGATACCAGGCAAGTTAAAGTCTTGTGTGCCTCAGTTTCCTACCTCACCGTGTTATGGTGATTAAATTAATATATATGTGGAGTACTTGACACACAGTCAAGCCTGCGATTACTGCTGTTCATGGTTTTATTTTCTCTACTAGACACCAGTAAGGCACCCCCAGAACTCGCTGTGTTAAGTAGATTCTGGTTGGATATAGAAACACAGGCACCCCAGGCGGAATGCAGATACGCCTCAACATGTGGATTAAGTAAGAGCCAGGAAGCAGAGTAATGAAGCAAAAATAAGACGTCCAGAGTCACCTTTTAAGAAAATGTGGGTTGGTGGTTGCTTAAGAGGGGAGGAGACAATTTAGATGGGATGTATGGCGTGAGCAAAGGGCAAGAATGAGCACGGTGTAGGCACAAGTCCATGGAACTGCTTGGCTGGATCGGGATTTTTTTGTCATAGAGTGTTAAGAAATAGTCGATCAGTTGAGGAGTAGAGGAGTGAAGACCTTGGAAAGTTGCCAAAAGCCTCGAGAATTTCTCTACATGTGTGACATGTTCTCAGGACTCAACTTTTTCTTTTAGGTTTGGAAGACCCGCAGTAAGTGTGCTTTAGAATTAAATGGGTGGGAAGGGGAGCTAGGCAAAACACCTCGCACTTAGCACTAAATAAAGTTCGCTGTTGCCCTAAGAGACTGAAAAGGTTACTTTAACAAAGGGGGCGGGGTTAACTTAACGTAGATGTTTAACTCGTATACAGATGAACATTCCAGTTGATCACTCTGAAGCTTTTTGGCTAAAGCGTTTGGGTTTAGAGCTTCCATTACTCATTCGCCTTGCCCAAGGCCTCAGCAACCGACGTTCGAAAGCCAGGAGAAAAGGCGAATGATAAAGGGCGCTCCACGCATGCGTTAAGAAGCCGCCCCAACTCCCCCGCGGCGTTCTTTCTTGGAACAAAACTAGCGCGGAGCCACGGAACTCCGCAGTTTGCGTAGACTTGAATTTCCTATTCCTCGGACGATCCATGTGGAATCCGTGAGTAGTGCGACTCCTTTACGCAACTGGCGTTATCCGAAGTGAATAGCTAGGTGGCGCGTGTACGCCCATAGCGTAGCACCCATAGGCGGACGGGGTGCGGCTGCGCAGGGAGCTGAGTGGACCTTGTACGCCGCAAGCGTAGCAGGGTGTCAGACGCGCCGGTTTCTGCGACGCAGTTAGCGCAGTCTGCTTTGGTGAATACACGATTTGGTGCAGCCGGGGTTTGGTACCGAGCGGAGAGGAGATGCACACGGCACTCGAGTGTGAGGTAACTATAAAACCCCGATTTGTTTACATTCCCTCCCCCAGAACCGGCCCCGTGCGCGGCGGAGACTGCGAGTCCCGGGACGGCGTGGGGGTAGAAAGGGAGAACAGAACCGGGGAGTCGGGGCTGGTTCCCTCGGGGATGCGGGCGCTGGGGTTCCCGCAGCTGCTGCAGTCGGCGGCGGCCAGCCGAAGCAGAGCGCGTGGTGGGCAGAGTGTTGGGCGCCGCGGCTCCTCGTGTGCGGTCTGGGCTGCTGCGGGCCGCGGGATCGGGAGCCGGCGGCATCCACTTCGCGTGCGGAGCCTCGCGCCCCCCTCACCTTCCTGTGGAGGTTGGCGGAGCCTCGCGGGCCGCGCCCGGGGTGGGGGAGTGACCGCTGGGCGGGTGGCGGCGGTTAGGGGGCTGCGCGCCGGCCGCGGATGGCGTCGCAGGCGCGGGCGGGCGAGGCTTTGGGGATCTGTAGGCAGGTCTTCGGGGGCTTGGCGACCAGCGCCCCGGTTTTTTCTTCTCCAGTCCTTCTCTCTGGTCTGTAATGGGGCGAGGGGACCCCGGGATGGAGCCTCGGCACCGCTGTTCCGGACCGAGGCTAACGGACGGCGGCGCCTCTGCTCCTACTAGTTTTCTCCCGGACCAACCGAAAAGCCGAGGCGGAGCGCGGGGGTGTGAAGATCTCGGCCTGCTGGGGGTCCCTGGAGCTGAGGGTGAGGGTGGGGCCGGGTCGGTGGGACAGGCCGGGTGGGCCGGAGGTGGCGCGGCCGCACGGCTTTGTTCCGGAAAGCCCTTAGGTGGAGAGCGATGTGGGGCGCGGCAGGGGGATCGCGTAGAGGAACCTTCGCGCACCGCCTCTCCGGGTCTGGGAATCTGCTGAACTCCTTGCCTCTCCTGGGGTCCCTCGAACGCCCCAGCTAAGAAGGGCGGGGGCCTTGCCAGGGCGCGAGCAACATGACGTTCAAGGTCTTCCTGTGGCTTCTGTAAAGAAATGTTCACGTGGGAGCCTGTCCACATGGGCTGTACTAAGGATCTGGCACGAGGAAGAAATATCACTGCAGAACCTGAAGCCCTCCGTTGGAAGGGTCGTTCACTCGAGTACCTATTCTAAGTAACAGTGACACAAAACACATGTTAGAAAAAAACAAAAAGTATGGTAGGTTATACTGTTTTTTAAAAGAAACTTTTATTTATGCCTTTTGCTGTTAAGTCCTCTAATTTTACATTGGAACTGAGTCATTCTTGGAGCAAAACTAGAATAGGTTTGTATTTGTTTTCTTTTTGGATGTGTATCTAAATTGTACATAATTAAGAAAAAGCAAGTAATGGAAAAGCTGGAGATGTAGAACTTAGTTCCTTCTAACTTAGTATGCAATTGAAAGCCTCAAGTCAAGACTCCTGTGTATTGTTTTGTATTAGGACTCTATTGTACAAATATTTGAGTACCTTAATATGAGTCAGTTACTTTTTCTAGATCTTGGATCCATGCCAGACAACGCACATTCTGCAGACACTGGTTACTCCAGTGGCTCCTTACTGGAAACATATAATATCAGTGATAAGTGCTGTGAAGAAAATAAAACAATGATGTGCTGGTATGGATTTTTAACTTTTTTATGTGATGAACCACAGAATGATGGTTTTAAATGTATGAAATACATAGAATTGCAACAGAAACCAGTTATGAAATAATGAAGATATTAAATATGACATCTATATTTTAGTAAAGCATTAGTGAGGACTGTAAATGATCTTTAAAGAATTTGGCTTAAATTTAATCTAAAATTGCTATCAGGTATTTCACATCGCTGTAATTTTTGCCTGCATTCGTAACTGAAGAGATAAGTAAATGTCAGAGGTTAAGATAAATCTTTTTCTTTTTTTACCTGTCCATATTTACAAACATTCTGCGTTCCGTACATAGACGCCTGGATAAGAACCCCTGTGCAAGAATGACTTTGGTGCTACTTTAAAAAAAGTGGTTGGGGAAGACCTCATAGGAAATGACATCAATAATAGATTGCATGATAACCTATACTAGTTCTTACTGTTACCAATTTAAATTCTAACTGCTTAAAAGCTAACACGGTCCTTCCCTTTTTTTGAGCACCTGATTTGAAGTACTTTGAGTAGGCCTCAAGTGTCGTATGCAAGTACTAATCTAGGGGGTGTGCCTTTTTCAAAAGTGATTTTTGGAGAAGATAGGATGTAGTATTATAGCAAGGAAAATTCAGCATCTGGGATGATCATTTCCTTCTGATTAGAGAAATTTACCTTGTTAATATTCTGTTCACCCAACCCTTCTACCCTCAGTGTTGACCAATACTGGAAAAAATTTAGGGCTTTGGAGTGAAATTTTAAAAGTTCAAAACCTTGATCTATTAATTAGTTTGCTTACCTTGAGGAAGTTGCTTATCTTAATCTTCTATTTGAACTTCAAGTACAAAAACCCTACTCACGGACTTAACTGTGACCATTAAATGAGATAACCAAAAGGCTGAAGATGATAGTGAGTTGATTTTACCTTTTTTCTACATACAGATGTTTCAGTTCTTTCATTAGTGGTTGAAGGTCTGCGTTCTTTTTCTCCCTCCACTCCCTCCTTGACTACCCCCAGAATGAGCTTTGATGGTCTCTACTGGGCCTTTGGGGGGGATACATTATCCTGTTGTTTTTGTTCTGTTACTTATATATAATACTCATGGATTTATTTCTACTTCTCTTCCATTTTCTAATTTATAATAACATGTGCATCTTGTTTTCCCTGCCAAACTAAATTTCGTGAGGGGGTACATACTGCACAGTTTTTTTTGTCACATACTGCTTATGACACATGAATATGCAGAGCTTGTCAAGCTCTTTAATTAAGTTTAAAATGCTAATTGAGTGAATCAAAACTTAACCATTATGGTTAGGCTAAAAATGTCAGCTTGTGTTTATATAGTGCTTACCTCAGTATTGGAAATGCCATGAGTTTAGTATCAGAAGGACATTATTACTAGTGCATTTTAAAGTGATACCAGTCATAGTTGCAAAAGAAAGTACACAATGGGAAATGGAAGAGAAATGTAGGGAATCAAAACAACTAGTTTTTTCCTTTATAACGGAAGTTTTATAATTCATCTTTTATGTAAGTGTAATTCTCATTAAAAATACCCTAAAGCTTAAAGTTTGCAAGGCTGCCCAGCCTAACCCACAACAGTTTGATGCTGCCCCCTAGCGTTTGATTCCCTTCACCTTTTGCTAAAATAAGGTAATGTTTAAATTACAATTAGATTTACTTACTGCTGTAAATCTGGTCTATTTTAGTTTCCTCTGGGTAGTTAGTGTTGCTAATAAGATGGACGTAAGTGTTTTTGAACTGGTGAATTCTGATTGCTTTTAGCCCCCAGTTTTCCAAATAGGGGTGAATTTTGGGTAGAGATAGAACAATCACCAAGTTACCTTGCTCCAAAAAAGAAATTTACGTATGGGATTGTTTTCAAAGCGGGAAGTTAGCTGTGTAAATAACAACAATTTTATATATTTAATCTGGGCTTCTCCTTATCTTGAATGATATAAAAATCTACTTTCTAGATTAATTTAGTTCCATATAACTTTGTATTGCTTTGACTGTACTGATAATAAAGTTTGAAAGTGTTAAATTTACATTGTGAGCTTTTTTTTAAAATTCGAATTTATTTTCTATGACTTTTATAGAATGATTCTTAAAAAATAGTTTCAAGGACCTCTTCATAGCCACAAGATTTCCTTTTTTATATCATTAATATTATTTTATGTGAATACTATAATGAAACCCAAGTATTCAGTTTACACACAGATATTATAACACAATATACCACTACACAAAGGCAATGAACAGATAACATTCTACAAAATCTACTTTACAGAAAGGATTTTCTGTAGTCAATGCAAACTCTTAAGGTTTTAGGTTTTATTTAGATTATTGCAATATCAGTATTTCAAACTCTTTTTTTTCTTTTTATTATCCCTTATAAGTTCTATGGATAGGCCACAGGATAACTTTTAGCTTTTTCTAAAATATCCAAACATATTCTCAATAAAAAATTAGTGGAATGCTTAAAAGTATAGTAGGTATGAAGAAATATAGAATCAAAATTACAGTTTTAAATAATAGTATGTATTTATTTATATAGAGACAAGGATCTTGCCATGTTGTCCAGGCTGGTCACAAACTCTTGGGCTCAGGCAATCCTCCCATCTTGGCCTCCCAAAGTGCTGGGATTACAGGCATGAGCCACCGTGCCCAGCCAGTAATACTAAATTATTTCCAAATTAACTGCTTAGGAGACCACATACAATGTTCAGACATGTTAAAACAGGACACAATTCATTGTATCACATCAGTAATTCTGTGTCGAATACTGTTTTCCTATCAGAACGTAAGGGTTTTTTTGGATTGCCAGATACAAGGAGTGGTTATTTAATAGATTTTTAATGGTAGATATTTTTATGTTAAAAGATGTTAGAATAGGATGCTACTGGTGATACAGGTTTGCAGGCTTGTACAAGTATAAGGACAAAATCTAAAATCTTGCTCAGGTAGTGTTTATTTTCACAATCTAAAAGTAAATATTTTGTCATAACCTTTTATAATCATGTTTTATAATTACTCATTTTTAGATACTGCTGAAAGGGAGGTATCAGATAATACTTATCCTTGTATTAATATTTCTAATCAATTTTACCCTTTTATATACTCGACTTTGGGGGACAGCCCATCCCGTTAAGATTTTTAGGGATTAGAAAAGCAAGAATGTTGTAGGATGTATCCTTATTAATATCATTATGTACTTCCATAGGACGAGAAGTATTGTTATAAGAACTGTGAACTACGAAGGAGGTTAATTTTAATCCTCTATAATGAAGATTTAATCAGTGATCACTTTAGGTTTTAGATTTTCATTGAATAAAGGAAGAAGAAAAACCTCAGTCACTTTTAGTGTAGTAAGAACATCAGAGATATGTATCCTACTGTGGTGTTCCCTTTTTTTTTTTTTTGTGAGACAGTATCTCTGTTCCCCAGGCTGGAGTGCAGTGGTGAGATCAGGGCTCACTGCAGCCCTGACCTCCTGGGCTTGGGTCATCCCCTTACCTCATCCTTCCTAGTAGCTGGGAATACGGGAGCGTGTGCCACCATGCCTAGCTAATGTTTTGTATTTTTTATTGTAGAGACAAGAGTTTCACCATGTTGCCCAGGCTGGTCTCAAACTCGAACTCAAGTGAGCTACCTGCCTTGGCCTCTTGAAGTGCTGGGATTACAGGCATGAGCCACCGTGCCCAGCCTATGCTATTACTTTAATATCTATAAATAAAAAGAAACAATTTCAGATATTCCTTGCCTTCCCACCTCTAGGCTTTTTTCTAAATTCACTTTTATATATTTGAATTTTTGAGTTTTAAAATAGTGGTTTCCCCTATAATTGTCTGCTGGATTGGCACTTTAAAAAAAAATCTGTAAATTAAATTTGGATCAGCAAACTATGGGCCAAATATCCCTGCTTCTGTAAATTGTTGGAACAAAACTTGCTTATTGATGTGTGTATTGTCTATAGCTGCTCTTGCGGTAAAATACTTTAGTAGAAAAATGTTCAGTCAAATGATCAATTCATAGGTAATGTGAATTTGCAGGTGTTCTTTACCTACATAGTAGAGAAGCTTTTTGTCTCTTTCCGCTTTCCATTTTTCCTCTGCAGAGGGAATTATGCTTTATTATGCTTGGAGTCGGAAAAGGAATGTGAAGCCCTTGGCCTTCAACTGTTGGTTACCACCGAACTGTCACACTGTTTGTAGCTACTTATGTAGCTCTCTCACAGTTTACCTTTTCTAATTGAAAAGCTGATTGTGTCTTCCTTGTAACTCTCTCAGAGCAGGAAATGGATCATATTTTTATGCCGCCTATGTCTCATGTCTTCTTTCCCTTCCCCTTTCCCTCCTATCTTCTCACTCCCCTCATAAAGCAATTCAAAACTGCATGCTTACAGGCCTTTAAACAAATATTTTGGTATATTAACTCAGTGCACTTCTACTGAAGATGACTCCTTACATTATTTTGCTTGCATGTGAAGAAATATACTTTGCACTGTGTTATAGAGGAACATAGCTTCTTGATGAAAGGGGCTAGGGAAAGATTTATTTAAATACTTTATCAATATAAATGAAACAATACATGGTGTGTTACTACATTATAAAATGAGATCAGTAAAACAATGTAAGAAAACGTAATAATAAGATAGTATAATATACACATAACGTATTCTGTGTATATATACATTATAAGGCAGTGAGATCATGTTTTCTATTCCCATGGACCTTTTTTAGAAAAGCATATCATATTTTCATAATTTTTTAATGTTTGGAATATACTGTTTTTAAGATTTTGATTTTATGGTGTTTCAAGAATATAGAAGTTATGAAAAAAAAAGAAATAAGAGAAAAGTAAATTGTATATTAAAACAGAAAAAAGATTTGGGTTTTAAATTAGGATAGTCTATAGTTTTTTTCTTTTTTTTTTTTTCAACTTTTATTTTAGATTCAGGGGGTACATGTACAGGTTTGTTACCTGGGTTATATTGTGTGATGCTGAAGTTTGGGGCATGAATGATCCTGTCATCCAGGTACTGAGCATGGTGCCCAACAACTAGTTTTTCAGCCCTTTCCCTCCTCCTTCTCTCCCGTTTTTTCCAAATAAAGTGAATAATTGAATGTATATAACATCTTATGAAAGCACATACAGTGTACATATAGAATTTATTTTCAAGCAAATAATCATGCCAGTTAAAAATTGAAAATCAGAAAGGTATGCTAAAGTTAAATCACTGAAATATATTAAGAAAAAAGTTCTTTAAATTCACTGTAAATATAATTTCATGGAATATATAATTTCTAAAACAAATTCTTAAATCTTTTTCTGTGAAGATTTTTGCGTAAACACAAGTACTTAAGGTTTTTTAGTTAACTGATATGTGTGTGAAAGTGTTGGATGTTAGTGCAACTGACATTTTTCTTTTTCCTAAAAAAGAAATAGATGTTAGGGGTTTTAGTTTTTTAGGAGTTATTTTTAATTATAGCTTTTCTTTTAAAAAAAAATAAGAAAATATACACTAAAATATGGGGAGAAAAAACTTTTAAAATTTAGCAGCAGTCATAGAAGAAATTGCAGAAACCTTAATAAGTTTCATTGCATGTACATGAAAACATCTATACATGAAAGGGAAAACATGATCAAAATAAAAAGGAACAGAACTGCAGGGTTTTTGCAGAAAATGTGACTGAATCATGTTATGTAAAAGCTCATATATGTTGGAAAAAATATTGAGACATCAGGAATAACTTTAAAAATATGAATTAAAAATAAAGTAAGACCTTTTATTTATTTAAAAATTTATAATAATGTGAATGAGAGTGCTATGATCATACTGCTGGTGGCAGTATAACCAAGCTTAATTTCTCTAGAAATCAATTTGGAAAGTAAGTATATGACAAAACCTGAAAAGTGTTAAAGTTTTTATAGTTTTTCCCCTCATCTTGGAATTCATTCGAAGCAAGTAATCAAAGATAATAGCACAAATTGGAATTAAAATGTTTGCATATTGTGTTTCAGACTGCAAACAGGCTGGGTGCAGTGGCTCACACCTGTAATCCCAGCACTTTGGGAAGCCGGGGTGGGAGGATTACTTAAGGCCAAGAGTTTGAGACCATCCTGGGCAACATAGGGAAACCACCATCTCGACAAAAAATTTAGCCCAGTGTGAGGTCGGGCACGGTGGCTCACGCCTGTAATCCCAGCGCTTTGGGAGGCTGAGGGGGGCTGGATCACCTGAGGTCAGGAGTTTGAGACTAGCCTGGCCAACATGGCGTCTCTATTAAAAATACAAAAATTAGCTGGGTGTGGTAGCAGGTGCCTGTAATCCCAGCTACTTGGGATGCTGAGGCAGGAGAATTGCTTGAACCTGGGAGATGGAGGTTGCAGCGAGCAGAGATTGCGCCATTGCACTCCAGCCTGGGTGACAGAGCGAGACTCTGTCAAAAAAATGAATAAATAAAATTAGCTGGGTGTGGTGCTGCGCACCTGTAGTCCCAGCTATGTAGGAGGATGGCTTCAGCCCAGGAATTTGAGACTTCAGTGAGCTATCATTGCACCACTGCACTACAGCCTGGGCAACAGTGGAAACCTGCCTCAAAAAATAAATACTTGAAAAACCCACAGACAAATGCTTGTGAAAATCTTAAAGCTAGAATTCATTTTCTTCCACATGTGACATTATTTTATTGGTTTGTCAACTAAAATTTAATTTATAATTGCCAACTTTTAGGTTTTTTTCAAAGTTATACATGAATATAGTTTAAAGAATCAAATAGTTGTGTGAAGTTTCTTGGGGGGAAAAATCAGTCCCCTGTCTGTTCCTTTCATATTCTGCCTAGAGAGATAAGGAACCCCTTAATTCCTTTAGTTGATTATTTTGCTATTCATTACCATGTCTCCAGATAACATGTTCATTACTTGCAGCTGATTTTCAGTTCTAACCATTATCTATTTAATGAAGAATGATTTTAGTGCTCTTTCACTTCTGTGCATACCTTCCTATTTCCTGTACTCCAGTTTCTCCGTACAATTTTCATTGTAATTTTGGTTTAGAACAGTAATTGGGGTTACATTTTTATGCTATAAATATTATTTTATACAATGTGCCATTGTAATAAATGACTACTTTCCTGCACAACTTTGTTTTTTCTGGTAATAATTAGCTTGATTTTTTTGTCCTTTTATTTAATATGCATATATTAAAAGACCCCAGCTCTGTGTTTCTGAATGTAGCTATATAAGAAAGGGGAATGTGGTCAAGACTCTATGTTCAAGAATTTTATGTAGTTTTAAAAAATTAATTGGACAGAAAGCTCCCATGTTGGGGAATAAGTAGCCTCTGTGTTGTCTGAAACATAAAAAAAGTCAATGTTATACAAAGATTGACTTGGAGATTTTTTGATTATTTTTTTCCCATGACGTCATGGAAAAGAAGGATCATTTTAGCTGGCAGTTTTTACAATGGCAAGCTGGTATAAAATCAAGGATGTATAACAGTGACAAGACACTGAAAAAGGGAAGGGTGAAAATGCATGGAATAATAAAGATTTGAGGTAGTGCAGCAGTAGCTATTTTTAGAATAAAGACAGCTGTCAGTGATGAGTGGAAAGAGAACAATAAGCTGTTGCCAGGCTGGAGTATAGTGGTACGATCACAGCTCACTGCAGCCTTGACCTCCCGGGCTCAAGTAATCCTCCCACCTGAGCCTCCCAGGTAGCTGGGACTACAGGCATGGGCTACCACACCTGGCTAATTTTTAAAACATTTTCTGTAGAGATGGGGTTTGGCCATGTTGCTCAGGATGCTCTCAAATTCCTGGGCTCAAGCCATATGCCTGCTTTGGTCTCCCAAAGTGCTGGGATTACAGGTGTGAGCCACTGCATCTGGCTGGTTAGCACTGTAAGTCTGCTTCATAATGCATGTAACTAAAATCATAAACATTTTAGTAGCTTCAAAAGACATCCCAACGACTGCATTTACTAATCTCAGATGTTTGTATTCACAAATAGCAGAACAGAGGTAGCAATATTACAGGTAGCTTTCTCCAATATGGTTCCAGGTTCCCTGTAATGAAAGGCTGAAAAGCAGAAATGCAGGTAATTGTTTTGACATTTGATGAGAAAATGTAGGTTTGTACATGAATGTATAGAATACAATAAAGATAGATATGATGTGTTGTTGATTGATTTGATACTTTAAATCAAGGTATAAATGTTTATATTCTCTCTCAAGTTAGTGAAACAGGAGAACTGAGTTAATGCCCAAGCTTAATTAGCATGCACTTAACTTTTTACATGAATGAATCTCAGTGGAAAGATTGGGTTGCCTGAACTGTGCTTTTATTTATTTATTGGAAGAGTTGCAGTGGCATTCCAAACTGTGAATATGATTTCCAGTAGATTAGATAGCTGGTGAAGTAGGGGGATGAAAAAGCAAACCATGAAGCTGTAAGAGGATTTTGTGGTCCCTGCTGAGAACTCATTACTAAAATACTTTTTATCCCTTGAAGAATATTCTAATGTCAGTGAAACTGGTAAGGTGTAGTGAGTCTTTCCAACTTCTGCTCAGATACTAGTGAATTGGGTGCCTCCTGCAATCTAGAGCAGGTCTTGGATGTGCTAACGATGCATGTGCTCTTGTAATATTTTGTTAGCATTCTTTCAAAAGAGTCACAACAGAGAGACTCCTCCCCCTCCACCATACTTTTTGTAATTTAAGTGAAAGATACATAATACTACATCTAATAATGGTAATACCTTAGGTTAATATATTTAATTGCTTTACAAAGCAGTTTCGTATACATTGGTTTATTTGGTGGATAAGTGTAGGTATTATTTTCCCTGTTTTGCAGAGAGAAAACAGTGGCACAACCGGGATGAACTAGAGACAGAGGTTTCTGATTCCTGGTTCTGTACTGTATACAAAATACCACATTTAATGGATATACGAGAAGTAGGGACAGAACTCAATTTATATTATTAATAGCTTGCACTTAAATAACATTTAAATATTGCAAATAATGTAGGAAAATTAACAAATATTTTACAAAAATATGTACGTAATTTTATTTTGTTCTTATAGTTACCATAAAATAGAACAGAAATTAACAGTCCCACTTTATAAGTAGTAATAAGACTTAAAGTGGTTAAGGGACTTGCTCAAGGACTCATAGCTAATAAATGGCAGAGTCAGATCTCTAACATCTTTGACTCCTAGGCTAATCTATCTTCACTATGCACACAGCCTCACTGCTTCTCTGTTACTCTGTGTGTGCCATTACTGAATCACAGAAGGAAACTAAATTGATATTTGACTACCTACATTGCTGTCAAGATAAAGTTTGATAAAGCCATTCAGTCATATAGATACCAGCTGTGTTTATATGATTGAGGCTATAAAACTGATTTCAACCATTTAAAGTAGTCCTGTAATGAAACTTTTAAAAAATGAAGTCCTTTATGAAATTAGGAAACTGTATATACATTTATTGAATAGATTTTCACATTAAGTTTACTTAAAACATGGTATATTATCCAGGATGAGGGTTTTAGTGATTAATCTTTTGGTTTCTACCTTATTTACCTTCAGAATAGCAATCTGGAACACTGAAAAAGCTTGCTTTAAAACCTTGCTAAGCAACTTATAGTATCTTTCCCCATCATTATTAGCATATTTTGTGTGTTTGTGTGCATGTGCACATGTGCATACACACATGGGTATGAAAGAAAGAATTGCGATACAGATAATAACTTCTCATTCTTTTATTTGGTCTTCATTTTCCTTTAAAAAAATACTCCCTAGAGTAAAAAGAGGTTTTTGTTGTTGTTGTTGTTTGTTTGTTTTTTGGTTGTTGGTTTTGGTTTTAGTGAAATGAGTTAAGTAGATTACACACAGGCAATAAGTACTAAATTGATCGGGCCGGGTACTGTCGCTCGCACCCAGCACTTTGGGTCACATCCCAGCACTTTGGGAGGCTGAGGCGGGTAGATTACCTGAGGTCAGGAGTTCAAGACCAACCTGGCCAACATAGTGAAACCCTGTCTCTACTAAAAATACAAAAATTAGCCAGGCAGGCGCCTGTAATCCCAGCTACTCAGGAGGCTGAGGCAGGATAATCCCTTGAACCTGGGAGGCAAAGGTTGCAGTGAGCCGAGATCGTGCCACTGTGCTCCAGCCTGGGCAACAGGGTGACTCCCTCTCAGAAAAAAAAAAAAAAAAATTACTAAGTTGATTGGCCTCTCCAGCAGTTGGAACTAGGATTATTTTAGTATTTATCTGCTATTTTTCTTACTATGTCAGACAGTCATTTTGTTAAGTAATCTAAATTTATTCACAATGTCTTGGTTTTTTCTATTGAGTAAGTAGTATTAGGAGACAATTTCTTTTCCCTTAAAAAAAGTCTTTGTAGTATATTTTAGATGACTTTAATAAAGATCTCACAGTGTTCTGGTTTCAAGATACACAAATATGCTACTGTAGTAGACTAAAGAGCCCCTGTCTTTCAAGTCAGAGAAATGCCACAGACTTGAAATAACAGCTTAATCACGTTAGATACCTTTTCTGGGTCTTAGATTCCTTGTACATAACATTATTTAGCTAAATACACCTGAGGATTTTTAAAATCTCAAACATTCTACATTTTTATTATGTTCATCTATATGAAATAAAAAACAATCTAAGACAAAATATCTGTAGGAAGATTTGTCATGTTAACCATTTGTATATATTCCTACTGAACTTGTTATTTAGGTGTTTAATTTTATTTAAAATTTTTAAAATTTGTAGCTTGGCATTTTACACATTTCAAAACTACAATCCAAAGCCTATAGTTAAGGTTTTTGTAGGCTGGGCACGATGGCTTACACCTGTAATCCCAGCAGCTTGGGAGGCTGAGGTGGGGAGGATCCCTTGAGCCCAGGAGTTTGAGACCAGCATGGGCAACATAGTGAGAGCTCATCTCTATATGAAAAATAAAAATGAATAAATGTCTTTAAAAAAGGTTTTTGAGCTGGGCGCTGTGACTCACACCTGTAATCCCACCACTTTGGGAGGCCAAGGCGGGTGGATAACAAGTTCAGGAGATCAAGACCATCCTGGCCAACATGGAGAAATCCTGTCTCTACTAAAAATGCAAAAATTAGCTGGGTGTGGTGGTGTGTGCCTGTAGTCCCAGCTACTCGGGAGGCTGAGGCAGGAGAATCGCTTGAACCCTGGAGCTGGAGGTTGCAGTGAGCGGAGATCATGCCACTGCACTCCAGCCTGGTGACAGAGCAAGATTCTGTCTCCAAAAATAAAATAAAAAAGTTTTTTGTAAGCTTTTACAGGAGAAATTGCTATGGAGAATATCAACCCTAATTCCTTTTTTTTTTTTTGACAAAAATAGTATATATTTATTATGTACAACATGTATTTTGAGACATGTATACATTGTGGAATGTCTAAATTGAGCTAACAAATACATTATCTCACATACCATGTTTTTTTGTGGTGACAACATTCAACAATATAGACCATTTCACAAATTTGCATGTTATCTTTGTGCAGGGGCTATGCCAATCTTCTCTGTATTTTTTCAATCTTGGTGTATGTGCTGCTGAAGCACACACCCTAATTCCTTTCATTTAAGGATCTAGTTAACCTTTCTCTTAAGTATAACCATGTATTTTGTTAAGCAATATCTTTTTATTACAAAAATGCCATTTTTTTCTGGTTAGAAAATTGATTTTCTATTACAATATTTTTTAGAGTGTGTGTAAAACCTGATGAAATTTGAATAAGGTTCGTAGTTAATAGTATCGATGTCAGTTTCTTGGTTTTGAACATGTACTACAGTTATGTTAGATGTTATTGGGAAAAGTTGGGGAAAGAGTACATGGAAACTCTGAACTAATTTTACAACTTCTTGTGAATCTTAAATTATTTCAAAATAAGTTAAAAAAAGCACATTTCCCTTTGCGTATTATTAAGTATGGATGTGTTTCTAGAAATTATGTGTTACTGATTTTACTAATTGAAGGTTGGAATAAACTTCATGTGGGGAATAAAAATTAAGTTTTGGATGAAATATAACACAGCTACAGAAAAGTACTCAAATGTTAAGTGTAAAATTCAAGCAGTTTTCATGAAGTGAAGTGCAACCATGTACCCAGCACCCAGGTAAGGAAATAGGACATTAATAGGAACCCAGAATTCCTCTCATGATTCTGCCCAGTCACTCCCCACACCAAAGTATAATCACTTCACTACATATTTAGTTCTGGTTTTAGTCTTAAATACAAGAGAATATTAGTGAACTTCATTTTTTCTTTGCATCCAAAGCAAAATATTTGCATTCAAAATAGTATAATAATTAGCACAATGATTAAGTTCCTAACTGTAAATTAGCCCCACTCTTAATGCAGAAATTATACAGTGATAGAATACTTAGGCTTTTAACTGTGGTTATGTATTGGAAATCAACAGCAAAAGATGAAAATAAATTTGTTGTGGCACTGCTAGTTATTTACCGGAATCCCTTTTCCCATTTCTTGTCAGTAGCCTCATCCATTGATGTTGACAGCACCT